>NC_000001.11:114099289-114402319 GCF_000001405.40 Homo sapiens | reverse complement strand
TAACTGCTCTCCCCGCTTCTGCTCTTGACCTTTATAGTTTGTTTTCTGTATTAAACAGTGTTCTTTTTAAAAAAGTAAACAAGTCTATCATTTCCTTGCTTAAAATCCTCTAATAGCTTCTCATCATATTAAAAATGGAAACTCTCTCCTTACTTTACTCAGATTTTTACCAATCTGGCCTGTAGTCTGATTGCCAAAGACAGACTCTTTTGCATTGTCGTGTGGTCATTAGAGTTAAGTTTGGCTCTACTCTGGTGTATATACTGGTAAAAACCCTCATCCACTATCTGTGAAGACAAGATACGTGTTTAGGGTATACAAACTTGTATTAAAAGAAGTTTAGATAAATAGAAGACTGTGAATGTAAAATGCATTTCAGTTTACTCATGATTGGGTAAAAAAATATTTTTGGAGTTAGACTGAGAAGGCCATTTTCATTTTGAACCTGACTGGAATCATTTGAAGAAAGGGGATGATAACTTTCAACATTTGTCTTGCCTGTCTAAGGAATTACCATGAGGAGCAACAGTGATAATTTATTTACTTATTTATTTATTACCAAGTAATTTATAAATTTTTGCACAAAGTGTTAGATGTTGCTTTTGTGACTCCCTTCCATAAATTACCTTAGTTATCTTCCATTCTTACTTAAAGTAGAACAAAAGATAGTCTGAAAACAAAATGAGAAGCAAGGGAATTTTCTTTGGGTGTTTATGTTTAGTTGAGTATCTAGTAAACAGGGGGCTTGTGTTCAGTTTGTTGTAATCAAACTTTGTTGTGATATAGTTCTCATTCTCGAGAATGTTTTATTAGGAGAAAAATATTTCATGTGCTTTCCTTTCCTTGTTTGGGCCAGAAATGTGAACGTCTTCTGCTTTACCTCTATTGCCATGAATTAAGTATTGAATTCCAGGAGCCTGTTCCTGCTTCGGTGAGTTGCCTACCTTAGTAGCTCGGTGGGGAAGTCTCATAATACTTAAGAGTATGGGCTCTGGCGGCCGGGCGCGGTGGCTCACGCCTGTAATCCCAGCACTTTGGGAGGCCGAGGCAGGCGGATCACGAGGTCAGGAAATAGAGACCACGGTGAAACCCCGTGTCTACTAAAAATACAAAAAACTAGCCGGGCACGGTGGCGGGCACCTGTAGTCCCAGCTACTCCGGAGGCTGAGGCAGGAGAATGGCATGAACCCGGGAGGCGGAGCTTGCAGTGAGCCGAGATCGCGCCACTGCACTCCAGCCTGGGCGACAGAGCGAGACTCCGTCTCAAAAAAAAAAAGAAAAAAAAAAAAAAGAGTATGGCCTTAGACTAAGTTGTATTACACCTCAGCCTTCTGGAATAAGCTCTTCAACCTCTCTAAGACTCAAGTTTTCTGACACGATTTTTTACCTCATTGGGTTGTTCTGAGGATTATATAAAATAACCTATGTAAAATATTTAGCATAGTCTATAGTCATTGAGTTTTGTAAGGAATAAAGGCTCTAAAATGCTGCAATAAAAGGAAGATTAGAGGTGTTTGGTGCCTAATAAGTGGGGTAAGAATATTCTACACACATTTTATTGCTAGCCATCAGTTGTTGAATAGTACATTATTACATACCAGGCCTGTTAGAGAATATTAAATGGTAGTTGACTTGTTTACTGGGTAGCCTGAGAAATGAATTTTAAATCACAAAAGGTATAGACAGAAGGAAGATGTTTTGTACAAGCAGTAATCATCTGTTTCTGGAAAATTTGTCTCATCTTTAAGTGCAGGGATTTTAAAGTAGAAAATGACTTTCAAATGTTTTCTTTTTATGGACTATTAAAGTAGCTTCTTGGCCGGGCATGGTGGCTCATGCCTGTAATCCCATCATTTTGGGAGGCCTGGCAGGCAGATCACTTGAGTTCAGGAGTTCAAGACCAGCCTGGCCAACATGGTGAAACCCCCTCTCTACTGAAAATATAAAAATTAGCCGGGCGTGGTAGTGCATGCCTGTAATCCCAACTGCTAGGGAGGCTGAGGCAGGATAATTGCCAGGGGATGGAGGTGGCAATGAGCCACAGTTGGCGCCACTGCACCACTGCACTCCAGCCTGGGCGACAGAGCAAGACTCCATCTCAAAAATCAATTAGTCAATCAGTCAATAAAATAGCTTCTCTAACTTTACTTTTATCCCAAGGGTAGAAATTTTTCGCCAGAGTTGGGGTCAGAATTCCCTAGCGTGAACACTAAATGGTTAATAAAGTTAGTAAATTTTTCTTATGTTCTTAGTCTTACTTCCTCTGTTACTAAGTCAAGACTTCGTGATGTAAATGATATTCCCTGTTATGTTTTCCAAAAGACATCATATTCTAATTGTAACATTAATATATTTTGTAAATTTTTTTCTTTAAAAAAAAAAGAAAAACTCCTAAGGAGTCATAAAATTCTGGTAAGTCAAATGTTGCCTCAAGGCTACTGGTTGGTTACCCTTGCTAATTGCTTTCTTTCCAAATCTTATTATTAAAAGTAGGACTTTGGGGACTTGGACTAACCATGAAGATTGGCACATATGCCACATAAGATTTGGTTTTCATGAAGATGTAAAGTACATACGTCTATACTCAAAATTTGCAAGCAGCTGGCTCTATAATAATTTTTTTCCCTAAAATTAATATGCTATGCATTTTCAAATTAAACAGTTTGGCATTTTTGGAGAATTCTTATTTGCCATTATGTGCTTATTTTAGATACCAAACTACTATAAAATTATAAAGAAACCAATGGATTTATCCACCGTGAAAAAGAAGCTTCAGAAAAAACATTCCCAACACTACCAAATCCCGGATGACTTTGTGGCCGATGTCCGTTTGATCTTCAAGAACTGTGAAAGGTTTAATGAAGTATGTTAACTTCCAACCTATAGAGTCTTGATTTGTTAGTTTTTGTTTGTTTCCTTGTTTTATTTTTCTGCTGACTTTAATTTTATTAAAATTTTTTTTTCTGCTAAAGTCCTGTCAAAAGTAACATCTGATTGTATTAACAGCTCCAGTGAAGAAAATTTATTGTGTATAATTTGGAGTATATACTTAAATATAATAAATTAAGAATATTATCAAATATCCTTTTCTAAATGAGTTGAGGATTGGCATAAGTATGGAAAGTACTGTCAGTAGTTACGTATATTTTGTGGAATATGATTATAAACAGCTTACGTTTTGGGTACTATTAGGAAAGTTATCTGTACCCATGTCCTTGCATTTTATTATTGACAACATGAATGTAGAACCTTAAAATAACAAACTAATCTCTGGTGACCCATCTTGAATAGTAGCCCAGAGTATATAATACTAAGTTTTCTTATTTCAGCAGTGTGACTTTGATTAATTTTGGTTATGTTTTTTGGTTTGGGGAGTTTTTTGTTTTTTGTTTTGTTTTGTTTTGTTTTTTTTTTTTTTTTTGAGGGTAAGTTTGAGTTAGCCATGCCTTGAGAAGAAATGTATTATATACCTGTTTCAGGGAAATTGTTTTTATTAGGGATAAAATCGATTCTATTATTGTTATGGAAGAGTTTCATTGTAGGAGAAGAAAATGGAATTTAATGAGAATCCACAAAATCTTTTAAAAGATTAATACTAAAGTCTCTTTATTGCTGGTGTAATTTGGGTGCCATATGATTATTACTAAAATAAATCACATTGGATCCTGTAACGTATTCCTATAGCTGCCTCTGGAAGCATCCAGATGGCATTTTAAAATCAAAAACAAAACAAAATCCTCATAAGGTGAAAATTCTAAGTCACCTTTATAGCAGTATGGCACAGAGTATATTAGTAAAATCTCACTAGTTTGAAGTTATATTTAGTCCCAAATTCTGTCTTATTTTTCAGTGCAGTTAAATTATTTTCAAATAAATATGCTTTCATGAACTATAGTTGATAAGAAGACCCATGTTTCCTGCCTCAGTAATAAATAGTTTATGATTAACATATTGCTATACAGATAGAATTTTTATTAAGTGGTTTGTTGAAAGTTTGTCAGTTTTTTAAAGCAACGTTTCTTGTATAATATGCTTCACAAATATTTTTCTCTTGGATAGATTGATGTGTTCAGACCAATTCCTATTCAGATTGACCTTGATAATTCAAAATAAGACAATTACTGAGGTTTCACAGTAGCTTTAGTAACAGGGCTTTGTAAAGAAAATGGTTCCATGTTCTGTAGAATTTTAGAAAAGCACTTTATCTGGTTATAGCAATTTGTTCTCCCTAGTATGGCTGACTTTTCGTCGCCAATCCTATGCAGTCTCATAACTTTAGAAAGGATTATAATTTCCCTTTTTTTTTTTTGACTCTGGTATCCTTTTTAGATGATGAAAGTTGTTCAAGTTTATGCAGACACACAAGAGATTAATTTGAAGGTAAGCTTTTCAGACCATGCAAACTTGGTGAAGGAATATGCATTACCAATAGGTGAATATTCCTATCTTTTGCTTGCAGGCTGATTCAGAAGTAGCTCAGGCAGGGAAAGCAGTTGCATTGTACTTTGAAGATAAACTCACAGAGATCTACTCAGACAGGACCTTCGCACCTTTGCCAGAGTTTGAGCAGGAAGAGGATGATGGTGAGGTAACTGAGGACTCTGATGAAGACTTTATACAGCCCCGCAGAAAACGCCTAAAGTCAGATGAGAGACCAGTACATATAAAGTAAAATGACATGGATTTAAATCAATTGTTTAAAAAAAAAAAAACGAAAAAAAAAAAAAAAACACAAAAAACCCAGAAAACTTTTAAGTGTTGCTGGAATATCCTGCCTACAGTGGGCACCTCCTTGAAGAAGCTGATAGCTTTTACACAGTATTAGATTGAAATAATGGACAGAAACACATTCTTGTCAAGAAAGGGGGAGAGAAGTCTGTTTGCAAGTTTCAAAGCAAAAAGCAAAAGTGAAATGATTTGAGGATTTCTGTTCTAATGGAGATGATTCTCTGATTGTTAGAAATGGCAAATATTGATGATTGTGTGCTATTGATTGGTGCAGGATACTTGGTATACGAGTAAATACTTGAGACTCGTGTCACTTGATAAATTTTCTTTTTGGACTAGGTCGCACAGTTATTAAAACAACTTTTAACCCTCCCCCTTCACACACATACATATCAGGTTGTTTTCTAGTTAAAAACCCAAGTAGCTCAGATTCTACTTTAATGTCAGTGCAGATTTGCATTGAATCATGCCATTATGTTTTTTCTCATTTTTATGCTGTTGGGTCTTAGTTTTTAAATTGATATAAAGAACTCAGCAATGGTTTTATTTTCTACTCATACTTAGGGTTTAGGAAACACTACCACTAGTTATCATTTAATCAACTTCAATGGTCTACTGAAACAAAAATGGTAACTTTTCATTAGTGGATTATTTAGAGTTATAGTAGTTGTTTCCAGAAAACACTTCCTCACAATTGTACTTCCCAATCAAATCATGTGATCATACAGTTATTCCCATGAAAGGCAGAATGTTTGTTTCAAAATTAATCTAGTTTTCTGTACATTTAAATTTGAGAAGGTGACAACTGGCTCTTTTCCAGTCTTCCTTCATGTCAGTTTTCTGATAGACCACTATTGGCAAACAGTATCTGTCAACTACCAAATGTGTAAAATTTTCTGTATTTCACTTTGTCTTATTTGTAAATAGTGAACTAAAACTTTTGGCAGATCAGCAACATTTGCTGAGCCTGTTTTTTAAGCTAATGTGTATTCTTACTAATGTTCCTATCAAGAATGGATTTGTAATATATGCTGTCTATTTCTAATGTTCACATTCATATTTTGAGGTTCTATCTTATTTTAATAGAGAACAGACTTCTCAAAAAATCTTCAGAAGCAGCTTATTATTGAAATATCGAAATATTGAAATAAACCCGGTGGGGTTAGATTACTCATCTGTCCACCAAGTGGGACATTTGCATGGACTGGGGGCTTAAAGGACTTAGAAGAGACCTGTAAGTAAATCCTGAAAATGAGCCAATCCCCACTTGAATGGTTACTGGAGTAAACCCACCTTTACCACCCCAATTACAGCACCCGAGGCCGATAAACCAACTTGGCTCTGGTTCATTTTTCTTTTCTTCATTTGTGATGCTCAGATTCAAAATGTGTGTTCTACACTGTTACAGGCTTCTCTTTTGTTTGATTAAAGATTTTAGTCCTACTTTTGTATGGACACATTAGAATATTCAGAGACCAAAATAGAAGAATTTGCTGTTAGATATTTTTCAGAAGTCAGCAGATTTGTGGCAAATCATTTATTTGCCTTTTTAAAAATTCATTTAAGCAGTTCAGAGAGTAGACTACTCAGAAAATTATTTCACGTAATTGTCTAAGAGGTCAATATTTTTTAATGCATATTGAATCAAATAAAGTGCTCTAAAGAAATTATTATACAAATTCCTTTGGGTTGTTTTTCTTTTCTTAACAAGGGGTGGGGGTAAACAGGAATATGATTCAGGCTTTCTGGTTGTGTATTTAAAGAGTATTGATTTTATTATTACTATTGATTTACTTTATTCCTGGCTTCCTTTTCACTTTTCTTTCAATTTTTAAAAAATAATTTAAGCCGTTGAAAATATACCAAACTGTTGAAACATTTTACTCAAATTTTAAATTCCTAAAAATGTTTTTTAATAAGAGGGAGAAAATTATTTAAAAATACTTATGCCTATGCCAATTTCCCTCTTTTTTCACAAAATCCATGATTTCAGTTTGTAAGTAGACATATATCTAAGGGCACATTTTTGGAAAGTGAGGAATAGCAGCAGTATAACTTCATTTTGTCAGGCCTTTGAGTTCTAATATTTTGTATTGCTCTTCAAATGGATCCTTTTAAAAAAATTGTAGATAATGAGTCATAAATAGATTCTGCCAACTGAGGGGAGAAACATTTTAAGTAAATATTTTTCAGTATTTGGGGCCTTAAAAAATAATTGTGTTTCCTTAAAATTACATGTTAGATAGAGTTTTTAGGTTTTTTTGGTTTTAAGATTGGTTAAAGCAATTTAAAAGCCACTTTTTTGTCAACATTTAATAGCCTCCACTTCTGTTAAGATAATGTATACTGCTGAGGAATTACTATTAATAGCTATCAACATACCACCATTAAATTAAGGTATTCACTTTAGATTTTTTATTAAAGCTTTTTTCTTGCACACTGATCGTTGTGTTTCTAAGCTGATTTTTTCAGCTCTAATATACCTATGGTTAAAAAGTATAAAAACTTAAATTGATATTTAGATATATGTTTTCCTATTAGTTTATGTTTTAAAAAGACAAAATTGTATCTGTCAGTCCCTGAAGGCAGTTTGTTTTTATACTCTCTCACATTTGTATTTGTTTTTTAAATGGCAGTATTTTAGAAGATTTGGAGAAAAGTCCACATAATAATGTTTTCTTAAAAGCTTTTAAAGTTTTTGCTGTACTTCAATTTACTTCTTCCATCAGAAAACTAAGAACAAAGTGTTGCTCAGTCTGTTCCGCTGACCTAAATTTGTGTTTTCAGCACTTGGCTCAGCCAATTCACTGAGTGAAGGAATTGCTTTATGAGGCAAAGCATGTGAAAGTTCTAAAGTATGGTTAGATTGTAGGTCGTGCTCTATATGGAAACATCAAACCATTACTACAGAGAAATGATAAGGCATTGGATCCACTATTGAAATTATTATTTTTGGATCAACAAGTTGGTACTTTCTGACTTCTGTATCTTAACATAAGGGAATTTTAGGTAATGCTAAGTCAGTTGTCTCATTTTTTGTGATAAGTTTTGGAATTTTTAGTTAATTGAAATAAATAATGCTTTTAAATAGAAGTAAAAGGTTTATAAGTGTGCAAATTGTAGATTTATCAATTACCTCAGCAGGTATCCTGCCATGTAATTATTAGTGATTAGTGTTAATAAGATAATAGATTCAGGTCTTCCAACTATGCCCTTGGATTGTGGCCTACTGTATGTTATTAAATGGTCTCTTACTATCCAAAATGGGAGTAGATGCTGTGGCCCCGTCTCCCTTGGCTTTTACGTCCCATATCCACCCCCATTCATGTACAACATGTGAAATATAAAAATCTCATTTCTTGTCAAAATCAGCACTGCTTATTTGCATACTCAGCATCGGATCAGTGAGTAGTTTTATAAAAAATCCACGCACCCAACTCCCTTAGTTAAAACAGATTCTTAATTCATACCATGAATTCTTAATTTCTGTACCATCTATGTTAATGATCTGCTGAAGGTGACTCAAGATTTTCAAGGTGTAATACAGTTTGATCATGTACCGGACCTGGATATTTAATTTTTTTTCCCTCACAGTTAATCTCCTCCTTGATAAAGCAATAACACTGCTTTGAGTCTGTTGCCTAATAGCATGTCAGAATCCTCTCCTGGATGGTGATTTTATAGGAAAGTTTGTATGCATATCACCCAGTCTATCTTTTAAAAATTAAGAAATTTAAATGTATGCTGGAAGTAATGACACTATATTGTGGCATTTTATTTTAAAAATTGGGGAAAGTTGCATATTTTTTTAAAAGTAAGTGTTTGAGTAAAAAAATTGAAGGTACTTTTTTAAGGAAAAAAATTTATATGCCACAGTTTACATAGACATTTCAGATTCAACACGTACTCTTGAATATAATGGTTTCTTTTACTTGGTCAAAATGCATGTATAGCATTTCTTTCATCTTAGTTCCTTGTGTTTGCCTATGTGGTCCTTTATATATTTTTTATTGTATCGAAGAAACAAAACTATCTTCAAAAATAAGTTAATTTGGATATATTTGTCATATCAAACTACAAAGTGTACAAAGTTAAGTTTAGCCCTTTTCTAGAAAGTGATCTTTAAAATTAAAAATGCTCCTCTTTTAAATTCACCAAATTTATGTGTGGGAAGGCACCAAAATGATTTTGTAAGTGCCACTGCAATATTCCCTTTCAAGTGTGGCCTAAATTTCAATCTTAAGGATGGAATGCATGTCTGCTCCTTGTTCTGAAAAATGTAGGCATCTACTACATTTTAAAACACAGTGAAACATATACATAAGCCTATAAAAAAAGATTTGTGCAATTTGAAAGCCTGTTAATTTTTTATGTAGACATACCTACACACGAAAGGGTTAAATTCACAGCCTTACTAGTTCCTTGCTTCCAGTATTTCAATTGGTCTCCTCCCCTCATTATTATTATTACTACTAGTACTATTATTTTTGCACATAGTTAACTGCCCTTCAATATGATTCTTAAAAAGTGCTGTTTCTGTGGTATCGTATTCTCTAAATAATCATATTTAATTTTTTAAAACAAGGTTGCAGTTTCTAATTGTTTCGTTCCTGTGTTTTTGCTGGTGTGTAATAAAAGCAAGTTTTTTCTTTTCATGGTTATTTAATACATTAGCTGCCTGTAAATAATTCTTGTTATAATGCTCTGGAATGTGTTGTAGAAGTTGTATTAGATTAGTTTTAAACCCTTGTTTGAAAGCCACATTGTTTTGGTTATTTCTATTAAATTAGAAAATTGAAAAAGTTTTCAAATGAATTTCTTTTTTTCTTCTTCTGTGAGTTGAAACTTAATCATAGTTTTAAATCATTTTAAAAATTTACACTGTGTGCCAGGCACCAAAGATACAGTAGTGAACAAGAAGATATAGTCGTTGCCTTCACAGACTTTAGACTCTGTGTTAGAGTAATCAATGTTATGATAGGGATTAACAGAATATAATTGTAATGCGTAGGAAAGGATCTAACCCAAACTTTGTTGCCAGGAAAGCAATTTCTTTCACTCATAAAAGGACAGTGGACAAGGAAAAGAGAGAGTGAAAAGAGAATACAACATGTAGAAGACTGAGTGAGAGAGAACATGTATGTATTCCAGGAACTGAAAAGTTAATTAACTGAAAGTTAATCTGAAACAGTGTAAGTTGGAGTGGTAAAATACTACACTCAAAAATTGAGCAGAGTCCTCTTCAAGCAGAGAGTCTTGTAAGTTATATTAAAGGGTTTGGGAATTACGCTGAGGCCAACAAGGAGTCCTTGAAGAATTTTAAGCAAGGTGGGGACTGGAGGGGTGAAATAATCAGATTTGCCTTTTTGAAAGATCATTGTTGCAGTGAAGAATGAGTTCTGCAGAATATTAGAGGTAGAGACCCAATTGTATGCTCTAAGTAATTCAGGTGAGCCCTTAATTAGCTATCTGGCAGTAGAATGGGAGAATAGCAGTCAAACTTGAGAGACTTAGTAAAATGGACCAGTAATTGAAGCCATGGAGTTGCTAGCACCTATTAAAATTAGGAAGAGGAGGAGAAGGGAATAGGTTATGAGGGAAGCAGGGGAGTGAGTTCAGTTTGGGATGTATTGAGTGTGACCTACTAATGGAAAATTAAGGTGCAGGTTTCTATGGTTCTGGTGCTCATGAGAAACCCTTGGGCTGGAGATAGAGCCTGTGAGATCCATCAGTTAGGTATCATATTTGTTTTTATTCATCACTGAATATGTCTAGTGCATGGTGGCCATAAACATCTAAGTTTAGCTACTAGTATAAGTGGTAACTAAAGCAGTATAAGAATATGATACTGTCTAGGAAATTTATAGAATGGGAAGAGCAGAATAGTTACAACAGCAGAGGAAACAATATTTAAGAACTAGGAAAAGAAAACACAAAGGATTCCTGTGGATTAGGAAAGCCAGGAGAGTGATGATAGAAGATGAAAAAGAGATTTCAAGTTGGGGTGTTGGGGGTGTTGCTGATGTCAAGTGTTGAAGTAAAGATGAAGTGGCCATTGAATTTAACAATATAGAAGTTATAGATGATCTTGATAAAAGCTGTTCCAGTTTGAGCAGCAACAAGTGTACAGTGGGTTAGGTGAATGAGACATAGAAGGAATGATTGAATATAGACTATTTTTTCAAGAAATGGTTTTTAAAAAAATTATACAGAGCTTAAGGCCTTGAATAACCAAGTAAAACATCAGAATGGGAATTCATAATTGTTACCCTTCTAGAAGGATTTTATATAGTGGAAAAAAATACAAGTTCTGCCATTGTCCAGATTTGGGGTTGAACCCTTGTGTTACCAATATGACTTTTCTCAGTTTTACTTGGCTTATTTGTGAAATGAGGATAGTCATATCCAGCTCATGAAATTAATATGGAGATGAATTGAGATCATTTATAGCACAAGGTTGACACACAATAAATTCTCAACAGATATTGTTTCTTTTTTCATATCTTCTGTGTCATGAAAGGGTAGGTTCAAAATGTAATTTCTACCTAAGAAAAGGCTTTCATACTGGAACTCAAGTCTTTCAGGTCTATCCTCAGCCCTAAATATTAATGTAATCCTATATTAATTGATCCTTAGACTGCAAAACTCAACAACCACCCATATTAGGCTCCGGACTTTTAGGGAACAATAAATGTAAACATGAATTAGTAGGATAGAACATCTTATGGAAGATTTTGTCTCAAGCATCCCCTTTTCTTATTACCTTACCTCAGTTGGTGGTAAATGTATCAGCAGTCTTTCATTTGTGAACATGTTACCGTTAGTGATCTGGAAAGGCAATACTACATAGGGGCATGCATTTCTGGCAGTATGACAGACTGCATGCCCTGAAGAACCCTCCTGATGGTACAAAATACCTGAAATGCTGGGTGAGATTTCTTTAAAAAGCGAAAATCTTTAAACTCATCGTAGAGCTAACAAAGAAGATACTCTAAAGCTCCACTTCACCACCTGTGTAGTGTTTTTGCCAAGAACATTTGACCTGAATCTAATCACGTGGAATAATTGAACAAAATCGGAATGTAGGACATTTACAGGACCACTGGTTTGGATTCTTAAAAAGTACAAAACAAGTGGGGAGGCTGTTCTATATAAAAATGCAATATAATCAATATGCAATGAAATACAGTATAATCAAATGTACTACATGAACTTTGATTTCATTTTGAATTAAACCCAGCCATTAAACATATTTTAGGAACATTTCAGAAAATTCATATATGAATTCTTACATGGAATAGTTTTCTTAGGTGTGACAGTGGTTTTGTGCCTGAATAGAAGAATGTCCCTTTTCTTCAGAGATGTATGCTGGAATAATGAGAGCTGAAGTGTCATTCTTTTTGCTGTTTTCCAGTAGGCAAAACTGTTGTGGGTGTATAAAGCATATGTGAGATAGTGCAAATGCAGCAGAATAACAGCCAGTGAATCTTAATGTAAAGTAGATAACTGTATTTTGATGTTGTTTCAACATCTTGGTAGATGAGAAATTTAAAAATAAAAGGCTTAGTGTGGAATTGAACAAAAAAGCATGAATCCAGAGAAATAACAATATTAAAGGGGACATTTTCCCTGACAGTTATCCCAGTCTTTTTGTTTGTGACGACTTTGGAATGGGCTAAGCTCTAGAAGAGAAACAAAGCCTAGTGGCCAACAGTAATATGAACTCAGAGTGAGACAGTCTTCCAAAACCTGGAACCTCAAAAGATGATACACTCAGTGAAAGAATGCACCAGAATATGCTACCTCAGAGTGGAAAGTAAGAAAACTGGATTGAGAGAAGGAAAAAAACACCTGATAATTTGTATCCACAAGCTGACAAATCAATTTAGAGCCAAACTCATACTACCAATGTGGTTAGAAAAATTAAGCTAAGAACTTTAGGAGGCCAACATGAGAGGATTGCTTGAGCCTAGGAGTTGGGTACTAGCCTGGGCAACATAGACCATGTCTGTACAAAAAAATTTTAAAAATTAAGCCAGGCATGCCATTTTTAACAAAAATATTAGGTGCATACCTGTAGCCCCAGCTACTTGAGATGCTGAGGTGGGAGGATTGCTTGAGCCTGGCAAGTCAATGCTGCAGTGAGCAATGATCACACCATTGCACTCCAGCCTGGGCAACAGAGCAAGACCCTGTCTCAAAAAAAAAAAAAAATGCTAAGAAGTTAAAGTGGTCAGGTTTGAAGTATTCTGGGCACTTAACAAAAACAAATGTTAGTACACTCTTGAAACATTTTAAACAATCTCAAAAAACTTCCATAGGTAGTATTCTGATAATTTTGGACTCATACTCAAATTCACAAAGTTTTGAAAAGTCATTGTGAATACATTAAGAGAAATAACAGAATCTGACCTGCAAAGACTGCAGATTTTGGAATTACTGGATTAGAGTATTCAAAGACACACAAAATTTTTTTTAACAACTCTAAAATTCGGATGACAGTGCAGCATTAAATTGACACAAAATGATGTGTTTTTCAGTACTTGATGGCTTAGATTTATTGAAATACAGTATGTGTAAGGAATGAAAGAATATCCAAAGATTGAGAAGGAACAAGACAAAAAATGGTGGGGGTGGAGGATAAGCAAGAGCATATGACAAGAAAAATAAGATTTGGAAACAGTGAAACATCTAGACATGAAAAGCAAAACAGATAAAATGAGCCAGAAGACCAAGATGAAGAAATTATGTAGAATGTATGAAAACTCAACACCAGGGACATTTTGAAAGGTCAATGAACATCTAATAGACTACCAGAAAGAGATGATAGAATGGTTTGGGATGATATTTGAGGGTATTTTAGCTGAGAAATTTTCCAATTTGATGAAAGTCATCCTTGCATTTGAGGAATCAAGAAAATAATCTGTAGACCCATTGAGCTAATTTGTAGATGACAGACAACGTGGGAAACCAGAGTGGTGAAACTCTTGATAAGCAAACCACTAAAAATAGTCTCTAAAAGAGCAAGAGAAAGAAAGCATTATCTACAAAGTAACAGCAGTTAGTGTGACAGCTACTTGATAACAATGAAAAACAGAGGAGAGTGGTATATTTTATGTGCTGAGAAGTGTCAATCTAGAATTCTGTAGCAAACAAAACTATCAGGAAAATGGGCCAAAGACATTTTGGATAAAAAGAGTTTACTACCAACATGTCCTCATTAAATGAACTTAGGAAAGTTTATTCCAGGAATCAGAATTAAGATCAGAAAGAACATGTAAGACGTAAGAAGAGATGGTGAGCAAAGAAAGTGGTAAATGAGGCCAGGCACAGTGGCTCACACCTGTAATTCCAGCACTTTGGGAGGCCAAGGCGGGCGGATCAACTGAGGTCAGGAGTTCGAGGCCAGCCTGGCCAAGATGGCGAAACCTCATCTCTACTAAAAGTACAAAATTTAGCCAGGCGTAGTGGTGCTTGCTTGTAATCCTGGCTACTTGGGAGGCTAAAGCAGTAGAATCGCTTGAACCCAGGAGGCAGAAGTTGCAGTGAGCTGAAATTGCGCCACTGCACTCCAGAGCCTGGGCAACAAGAGCAAAACTCCGTCTCAAAAAAAAAAAAAAAAAAAAAAAAATATATATATATATATATATATATATATATGGTAAATGAGGGTAAATTAATAATGAGGCTGGGTGTGGCAACTCATGCCTGTAATCCCATCACTTTGGTAGTGTCAAGGTGGGAGGATCGCTTGAGGCTAGGAGTTCAAGACCAGTCTGGGCAACATAGTGAGATCCCATCTCTAAAAAACAAAAATGTAAAAATGACGATACTGATTTTTATGAGTTAAAAGAAAACTGGGCCGGGCACAGTGGCTCATGCCTGTAATCCCAGCACTTTGAGAGGCTGAGGCGGGCGGATCACTTGAGGTCAGGAGTTCAACACCAGCCTAGTCAACATGGTGAATCCCTGTGTCTACTAAAAATACAAAAATTAACCGGGTGTAGTGGTGGGTGCCTGTAGTCCCAGCTACTCGGGAGGTTGAGGCAGGAGAATTGCTTGAAAACTCAGGAGGCAGAGGTTGCAGTGAGCTGAGATGGCGCCACTGCACTCCAGCCTGGGCAACAGAGCCAGACTGTGTCAAAAAAAAAAGAAAACTGAATGACTGGCGTGATAGTGTGAAGAGCTGTGCTTACCCCCTCCTCAGGGAAACTGGTGATAATTATTTTCACCAGTTATTTATGTAAAACAAAATATATGTAAAATAAAATATAACCATGTAAAATAAAGCTATTTATTTATGTAAAGCCTCTGTAAATGATCCTGTGAGCAAACAGCAGATGAGAAAAACAGCTATTCAAGGAAATGCGAAAATTGTGTAGGAAATGGGAGTTTGTGATATTTAAACCTAGATTGCTTCCTTGCTTCCTCTATGCTTATTAATGTGGAGACTCCAGACTGCTGCAGCCAAGAACACAGGGCTCCCTTTTCCTCACCTCCCAGTTGGAGAACCCTCTTCTTGGGAAAAGCAGGATGTTAACAATTCTTGGTCTGCCCCCAGCTGCTTTTGCTGAGGTTAAAACCCAGGGGAGTGCAGTTGAACATTATGGGTTCACATCTTCCACTCAGCTCCCACTTTGCCACCAGAGGCTTTACGTTGGGTGTGGCATGTTTAGAATACTGGGACACAGATGATCTTTCCCCTGGCTCATGAGGTGATAGTTCTGTGCCAGAAGAGTTAAGCTGAGAAGGCTTCAGGCTGCTGCCCAACCCCCTCCACTAAGCACTCAGTTTCTAGGGTGGAGATAGAGGTGGTGGTGTGTCACACAGAAGCTTGCCATTGTTACAGTTCCAATGCCCTGGTTTAGAGATTTTACCTGGGAACTGAACCAGATGAAATAACCCCTAATGTCTTCCAAAACAAAGGGACTTCATTTGTAACACAGCACAGATAATTTCAAATCTCAGGACATACCACTAGAGGTTGTGGTAAAAAGCAACTGAAGAGATTCAACATCTGTATAAACTGTAGACCAGCTAGTTTGCAGGAGAACCAGGGAATAAGACAGCTCACAGGACCTCTCCTGGGATTAGAACAAATGTGAAACCTTTTCTTCAAAGGAGTCACAATATGATAGAATTAGCTTGTAGAGCAATTTATGACTCAGAACATTGTTGAAAACAGTAGAGCTGGCAATTACTGGAGATCAACAGCTAGACATGGTCGTGAATAGAGTAAGCTGGGCCTAGAAAAAAACACTGTCATCCCAAGGAGACTGGGCATACCCAGTCATGACAACCTGAGGAGCAACAACAGAGGCTTAATACTGGTGGATGGGAGGGGCTACACTAAAATAGCCAGTCACTAAGCAGTGACAAACCCCAGGGATATGAGAAGGGAACGACTGGTATCCAGAGTTGCTACAACATATTTAAAATATCCAGTCTGTAACAAATACAAAAGCATGCAGAGACAGGAAAGTACAACTTATACACTAGAAATAAAGCAAGGAACAAAACAGTGACTATGAGGCCAGGTGTGGGGCCCATGCCTGTAATCCCAGCACTTTGGGAAGCCAAGGTGGGTGGATCCCTTGAGGATAGGAGTTTGAGACCAGCCTGGCCAACATGGGGAAACCCCATTTCTACTAAAAATACAAAAATTAGCGTGGTGGTGCACACCTGTAGTCTCAGCTACTTGAGAGGCTGAGGCAGAGAATCACTTGAATCCAGGAGGTAGGGGTTGCAACGAGCCAAGTTCACACAACTGCACTCCAACCTGGGCAACAGAGCGAGACTCTCAAAAAAAAAAAAAAAAAATTGAGAGTGACAGGATGTCAAGTTATGAGAAAAAACTTGAAAGTTGCCATTAAAAACATTCCCAGAATTAAAGGAAACAATAATTGAAGAAGAAAAGGAAGGTGCAATGACATTATATCAAATATCAAAGAGATACCGAACTAAGTAGAAATTCTGGAGTTGAACAGTAACTGCAATAAAAAATTCATTACAGAAGCTCAGTAGTAGAATTGGCAGAAGAAATAGTAAATGAACTTGAAGAAAGATTGATAGAGATTAGAGGAAAAAGAATTTTTTAAAAGTGAACATGGCCTCAGAGAAATATGTGTGACCTTTAAGGACACCAACATACACATCATAGGAGTTTCAGTAGAAGAGGAGAGAGAAGGGAGCTGAAAATACATTCAAAGAAATGACAGCTAAAAATTTTCCCAAATTTTTTGTAAAACAATAACTTACATATTCAGGAACCTATATGAATTCCAAGTAGCATAAACACAAAGAGTTTAAAAAACAGACATGTCCTAACAAAAACAAAAAAGCTAAAAGACAGGAGAAAAGCTTGAAAGTAGCAAGAGAAAAGCAACTTGTTACTCGCAAGGAAATATCAACAGCTGACCATTTTAGGAGAAACAACAAAGCCAGAAAGTAGCAGATCACTTTCAAAATGCTCAAAATAAAAAAAAAATGTCAACCAATAATTCTATATCCAGCAAACTACTTTCAAAACTGAAGGTGAAACACAGACTTTCTCAGATAAAAAGAGAATTTGTTGCTGGGAGACTTGCCTTGCAAGAAATACTAAAAGAGGACTCCAGGTTGAAAGCAAGGGACTCCAGATAGTAATTTGAATACATACCAGTAAAGGTAATTGTGTAATTATATAGGACAGTACAAATGAATATCTCCTCTTGATTTTAAGAAGAAACAAATTATATAAACACTATATATAATAGTGGCCCTATAAATATGAAAATGTAATGTTTATGAAATTTTCTGATAATGGTACAAAGGAAATGAGCAGGAAAGAGCAAAGGTGTACGGAGCTAGAGAAACTGCAGTTGGTAAAGTAATAATAGCAATGTGTTGTTGAGTTTGTAATATTAATATGTATAACTATCACAAAAAGGAGAAAATGAAAATAGAGATATATAAGAGCAATGTTTGCATGTAATTAGCCTAGTTCTGAAAGATGCATATGGTAAAGCCTAGACTGACCTAAAAATTCAGGACTGTGCAGTGGCTGAGATTATATGCCTGTAACCTCAGCACTTTGGGAGGCTGAGATGAGAGGATCACTTGAGGCCAGGAGTTCACAACCAGCCTGGGCAACATAGTGAGAACTTGTCTCTACAAAAATGTAAAAATTAGCCAGATGTGGTGGTGAGTGCTTGTAGTCCCAACTACTTGAGAGGCTGAGGCAGGAGGATCACCTGAGCCTGTGAGTTAGAGGTTACAGTGAGCTATAATTATGCCACTGCACTCTAGCCTGGGCAAGAGAGTAAGACCCTCTCTCTCAAAAAAAAAAAAAAAAAAAAATCAACAAAGTTTCTCTTGTAATGAGAAACTATTAAAGAAATGAAAATACGACCAGGTGCGATGGCTCACGTCTGTAATCCCAGCACTTTGGGAGGCCAAGATGGATGGGCAGATCACTAGGTCAGGAGTTCGAGACCAGCCTGGCCAATATAGTGACACCCCCTCTGTACTAAAATTACAAAAATTAGCCAGGTGTGGTGGCGCGCACCTGTAGTCCCAGCTACTTGAGAGGCTGAGGCAGAAGAATCACTTGAACCCAGGAGGCAGAGGTTGTCAGCCGAGATCGCGCCATTGCACTCCAGCCTGGGCGGCAGAGTGAGACTCTGTCTCAAAAAATAAAAAAAAATAAATGAAAATACTACATTAGAAAATAGTCACCAAAAAAACTTGGTAAGACATGGAAAACAAAAAAGGACATAAATCCAACAAATCAGTAATGTTAAATATGAATAGGTTGAACAATCCAATCAAAAGACTGACTGAATTTTCTGAAAACTTTTTTTTAAAATTTTTTATTTCCATAGATTATCAGGGAACAGGTGGTATTTGGTAACATGAGTAAGTCCTTTAGTGGTGATTTGTGAGATTTTGGTGCACCCATCACCAAGCAGTATACACTGAACCCAGTTTGTAGTCTTTTATCTCTCACCGCCCTCCCACCCTTTCCCCAAGCCCCCAAAGTTCATTGTATTGTTCTTATGCCTTTGCATCCTCATAGCTTAGCTCCCACTTATGAGTGAGAATATACGATGTTTGGTTTTCCATTCTGAATTATTTCACTTAGAATAATAGTTTCCAGTTCCATTCAGGTTGCTGCTGCAAATGCCATTAATTCATACCTTTTTATGGCTGAGTAGTATTCCATTATATGTATATCACAATTTCTTTAACCACTTGTTGATTGATGGGAATTTGGGCTGGTTCTGTATTTTGCTGTTGAGAATTGTGCTGCTGTAAACATGCATGTGCAACTATCTTTACATATAATGACTTCTTTTCCTTTGGGTAGATACCCAGTAGTGGGATTGCTGGATCAAATGGTAGTTCTACTTTTAGTTCTTTAAGGAATCTCCACACTGTTTTCCATAATGATTGTATTAGTTTACATTCCCACCAGCAGTGTAGAAATGTTCCCTTTTCACTGCATCCATGCCAACATCTATTATTTTTTGTTTTGATTGTAGCCATTCTTGCAGGAGTAAGGTGGTATCGCATTGTGGTTTTGATTTGCATTTCCCTGATCATTAGTGATGTTGAAAACCTGATCCAACTGTATACTATGTACAAGAGACACAGTTTAGATTCAAAATAGAAACAGATTGATGAAAGTAAAAGGATAGAATAAAATATGCAAATAGCACCTATAGAAAATTAGAGTGGATATACTTTAAGAGAAAATGGATTTTAGAACAAAAAATTATATGAAGGGACATTTTATAAGATTAATCCCTCAGAGAGATATAATAATTATAAATATATGCACCTAATAATGGAGCACCAAAATACATGACACAAACACTGACAGAAACAGAGAAATTGACACTTCAATAATAATTGCTGGAGACTTCAGTACCCCACTTTCAATAATGGATAGAACCACCGGACAGAAGATCAGTAAGGAAACAGAAGACTTAAACCACACAATAAACCAACTACCTAACAGACATCTGTGGAATACTGTCAACAAACAAGAGGATATACATTCTTTTCAAGTGCTAATGAAACATTCTCTAGGATAGGCTTATATGTTAATCTGTGAAACCTCAATAAGTTTAAAAAGATAGAAACGATACGGCTGGGCACGGTGGCTCACGCCTGTAATCCCAGCACTTTGGGAGGCCGAGGTGGGCAGATCACGAGGTCAGGAGATCGAGACCATCCTGGCTAACACAGTGAAACCCCGTCTCTACTAAAAATACAAAAAAATTAGCCGGGCGTGGTGGCGGGCGCCTGTAGTCCCAGCTACTCCGGAGGCTGAGGCAGGAGAATGGCGTGAACCTGGGAGGAGGAGCTTGCAGTGAGCCAAGATTGCGCCACTGCACATCCAGCCTGGGCGACAGAAGGAGACTCCGACTCAAAAAAAAAAAAAAGAAATGATACAAAGTATGTACTCCAGCACAATGGAATGAAATGAGAAATCAATAGCAGGAAGAAGTTTGGGAAACTTGGAAATACGTGGATTATTAAACAAAATACTCCTAAGTTAAGTAGTGGGTCAGAGAATAAATGAAGGAAAATCAGAAAATACTTTGAGAGGAATGAAAATGAAGACACAACGTAACAGAACTTCAGCTAAAGCCCAGCTTACGGAGAAATTTATAGCCGTAAATACTTATGTTAGGAAAGAGTTAAAATAACTTAACATTCCATCTGAAGATAATGGAAAAAGAAGAGCAAATTAAACCTAAAGCAAGCAGAAGGAAGGAAATCTAAATCAGAGCTGAAGTTAATGAAATAGAAAATAGAGAAAACCAAGAAAACCAAAGCTGGTTCTTTGAAAAGATCAACAAATGTGACAAACATTTAGCTAGACTGACCAAGAAAAAGAAGACTCAAATTACTATAATCAGAAATGATTAAGACATTACAGAAATGAAAGTATGAGAATAAAATGAACAATTGTATGACACTGTATTAGATAACCTAGATGACATGTATAAATTCTTAGAAACACATGAACTACTGAAAGTGACTTGAGGAAACAGACAATCTGAATTGACTTAAAACAAGTAAAGAAGATAAAACAGGCTGGGCGCAATGGCTCATGCCTGTAATCCCAGCACTTTGAGAGGTAGAGGCAGGCAGATCACTTGAGGACAAGAGTTCAAGACCAGCCTGGGCAACATGGTGAGACCCCCATCTCTACTAAAAATACAAAAAGCCAGGTGTGGTGGCACGTTCCCATAATCCCAGCTGCTGAGTGGCTGAGGTGTGAGAATCGCTTGAACCTGGGAGGCAGAGGTTGCAGTGAGCCAAGATTGCACCACTGCACTCCAGCTTGAGTGACAGAGCAAGACTCTGTCTCAAAAAAAGAAGAAGATGTCAAACTATGTTTTGGCAGACATGGTCTTATATCTAGAAAATCCCAAAGAATCCACTAAAAACTATTAGAACTAATAAATGAGTTTGAGATTGCAGGATACAAGATCAATATACAAAAATCAATTGTATTTCTACACACTTGCAATAAACCAACTGAAAATGGAATTAGGAAAATAATTTCATTTACAATACCATCAGAAAGATTAGGATAGAAATAGTTTAACAAAACAGGTATAAAATTTGTACTCTGAAAACTACAGAGCATTACTGAAAAAAGAAAATCTGAATATTTGGAAAAATATCTGGTGTTCATGGATCAATACTCAAACTGATATACAGATTCAGTATAATCCCTATCCAAATCCCAACTGACTTTGTAGAAGTCAGTTTGTAGGGTCCCACACTGTCACCTAGGCTGGAGTGCAGTGCTGTGAACATGGCTCACTGCAGCCCTGAACTGCTGTAGTTGGAACTACAGGCATGCACCACCACACCTGGCTAAATTAAAAAAAAATTTTTTTTTTATAGAAATGAGGTCCCCCTGTGTTGTCCAGGCTAGTCTCAAACTCCTGAGCTCAAACAGTCCTCCCACCTCGGCCTCCCAAAGTGCTGGGATTACCTCACCCAGCCTAACTATCCACTTTAAATGGATACATTTTATTTTTTATAAATTATATCTTATAAAGTTGATTTTAAAATAATATTTATTTTATCTCCCTAACTTGGTCCATTACAGAGGGCTAGAAACTACAAGCAAGCTATTACCAATTCTTAGGTTATAATATGGTCTTGTGACTGAAACACCGGTCAGTTGCTAGCTGCACAAAGTTCAATTAACAAGAGTAAGTTCTAGTATAATGAAAGTGATTTATTCCAAAGCTATCTTTACTTTTGGAGCAGAAAGCAGACACTTGTAAAAGGCAGAGGAGGAAGTGAGCAAGGTGGGTGTCTGTTAGCTAGCTTGGTGTCTTATCTTCTGAGCAGTTGGGTTGACATCTGTGGGCAGAGATAAGTTGTAACTAGGTAGTGAGAGAGTAGTGGGTGTATGCTTTTGACTGTTACCTCTCCAGATAACCTCCTGGTGAGTGGGAGTTCCACAGAGGGCATGCTTTGGTTTGTAAATTGACTGTTAACTCTTGAGAGTTCTGTCTTGGAGCACATAGTTGAACTTGCCATGTAGAGAGTATCTGGTGAATGGGGAGGTAAATGGTAAAAGGCTTTATTTGTATTTCTTTTTTTATTTTTATTTTTTGGAGATGGAGTTTCACTCTTGTCGCCCAGGCTGGAGTGCAATGGCATGATCTCAGCTCACTGCAACCTCCGCCACCCAGGTTCAAGTGATTCTCCTGCCTCAGCCTCCCAAGTAGCTGGGATTACAGGCACCCACCACCAAGCCTGGCTAATTTTAATTTTTATATTTTTAGTAAAGATGGGGTTTCACTACATTGGCCAGGCTGGTTTTGAACTCCTGACCTCAGGTGATCCACCTGCCTTGGCCTCCCAAAGTGCTGGCATTATAGATGTAAGCCACCATGCCAAGCCTTTTTTTTTTTTTTTTTTTGACACAGGGTCTCTCTATCACCCATTCTGGAGCATGGTGGTATGATCACAGCTCACTGTGACCTTGACTTCCCAGACTCAATAATACTCCCACCTCAGCCTCTTGAGTAGCTGGGACCACAGGCTTGCGCAACCTTGTGTTGCTATTTTTTTTTTAATTTTTTATAGGGAAAGGGTCTCATTATGTTGCCCAGGAGACCATCCTGGGCAACATAATAAGACCCTTTCCCTACGAAAAATAAAAAGTTGCTCCTTCTGCCTTGGCCTCCCAAAGTGTTGTGATTACAGCTGTGAGCCACTGTGCCCAGCTCTATATTTGCATTTCTAAAGGGCTAAGTAGGAAGTGGAGAACCAGATTAAAAAAGGATAAGAAAAGATAAGAACACATAAAAAAAATAATTAAAGTATATCTTAGAAAAATGGGACTACTCAGTTACGAATCTCCACTGCCAAGTTCAATTCCATTTTTATGGGATTTGGACACCATATTCATTCTGGCTACTTCCTGCTAAAATGGGGCATAGTCATTGGGAATCAGAACGGAAGAGGTCTACTTGGAGTTGGAAATATTCACGAGTACCCAGACTTACAGATTATGTTGGAGCAATATGGTGCAAGGTCTCCAGAGTCCCTGGGAAAGCGTGTCTTGCATTCCCACACAGAGGGTGCAATAGCAGTAAACACCGCAAGAGAGGGATATGCCTATCCCTGCAATTAAGGCCAGTGTTACAAGCAGCTTTTGCCACCAGGATGGTCCTGACCCAGATTTGGATAGTAACCACTGGTCTAGGGACAATGTGGGGTCAGATATAGCTTTGATTTGTTGGTGCACATCTTGCAGGGCTATCTGAGACATTTCCCAAATTATGTGGGATGTATATATAGCAGTTGGTCTTAATTATCATGCAGGGTCCCCACTGCCAATTGTAACCAGATATGATGACAGGTTAGCTAAATATATATTTAGCAGGCTACAGAAAGTATGAGTACCCATGAAGGTAGTCCCAAGCCATGTCTAGTTCTTGAGAATGGACCAGTTTAGGTGAATAGCTGTGCCTCATCCAGGAGGTGGCATTGCAGATAGGCTAGGCCTCTGCATGTAATGAAGGCAAACAGATTTTTAGTAAGAGGCATTCCTATGGAAACAGAAGAAAAACAAATCTTAACGTTGGAAACAATCTATCCAGATGTTAGACTAAAAGCATCTTTAAGTTATAGAGGAGACAGTGGCAGTCTGACATGTCTTACTGTACTACAAGGAATAATGAATAATGTAGTAGTAATTTCATTGAGTCCATATTAGAAAAACGGAAGAAAAAATTGAAAGCATTAACTTGGGACTTGTAGCCTGGAAAGAATTCAGGATTTAGTCCAAATTTCAAAAAGATAATAAAAACTCAAAAACAATGGACAAGACTGGAATCTAACAGGAGGGGTACTATGATCTTTTTCTGACACAATTTTTCTCCAGTGTCCATGTTTACTAAAGATAAGTCGTAGTAGGACAAATGTATGTGCAAAATTAAGTTTTAGTCTTGTTATACTTGGTCTGAGTATTTGCATAAAGTGCAGCAAGAACAATTATTTGCCATATAGGCTGTTTTTAAAATTAAAATTTACTTTGCTGGAACTTTGATCCATAAGGAATTTTAGATTAGATTTTTTTTTTAAGCCTTAAGCTCAGCCACATATTTATCTGTGCCCGGAAATACTTATATGGATTTGAGTGAATTCCTATCCTCTTGAGGTGCCAAAATAGCTTTGAGTCCCTGGGCCTGTCGGAAAATGACATTTGTTACACAGATCAGGAAACCCTGTATAGAGACTATGTAGACAAGGTGTGAAGCCAGTTTTCCCAAGGGGCTTTTTATTGGCTGTATAAGTCAACTTTGATTCCTTAGTCTGTTTCCATCTGAAAGTATGCCATTCCAGTCAGAGCCTTGGTAAAATAACCAGTTTCTCCAATGGTGTCCTGTCACAAAAGAAAACAGATTCTTATTGAACTTATGCAAATAAGTGTACTCCCATAAATTAAGTATACTTACAAATAGTTTTCAAATTCTGGGGAAATCAGGTAGAGAGAAAGAAATACACTCCAATTTCTAAGAGTTTACTTTATCCAACTGTTAAAAGCTGCACATAGCTTCAAAGAAGGGTTTTCTCAACTCTGAAAAACAAAAAGAATAATCAAATGCTTTAAACAAAAAGTAGTAAAAGATTACTTCAATCTTTTGTTATTTCATTCCATGCAATTAACTCCTGTGCTGCTCAATATGGAATCAGCAATCCTCATGAATATATCAGCTTTCCATGAGAGTCCTGGAAGCTTTTCTCTCTATTCAGTCCAATGGCACAATCTCTAAAGTTATCAGAAACCTATATTTAAGAGTACTCCTCAGAGTTCTATAGCTGATTATAAACTGCCCTATGAAAGGATCAAAGTAAAACAACCATCGTGGAAGACAAAAGTCTTAGAATGGCCATGGTTAAAGACATAAGTGACTAGAAATTTTGGCTACTTTTATGGCATACAACAATTTTACATAATAATCACTACTGATAACATATTAAGATATATCAGGATCATAAGAATCTCATGCAAGTTTGGAACACATACTGATAAAACATTTATATAAATGTAATCTAAAGAAGGTTAAACACCATTTCATATTTCACAGTGCTTTCTGTATGATTTTAATATGCCAAATCAAATATGCCTCTTTTGGACTTTAGGGTACTGAATATCTAAAAGGAATAATCAGAGCAAAAAAAAGGCTTAATTTAGAAATTAACTTTGGAAAGTTTGTTAAATATCAAATGTTTAAACACTTGAGATTACAAAATAGAATTCCAGGTCATTATAAGAAAAAGGGAAAAATCTCTGCTCATTGATAGAGGGTAGACTCAGCTTTCCAAAAAACCCAATAAAGACAGCATGAGGCCAACTAAATCTGTCTCTATTCTCTTCCCTTTTTTTCTTCTGTCACTTGTTCAAAAGGCAAACAAAAAGCTTTTGTTATCTTTTAATATTACATGAAAATTCTGTTCAAAACAGAAAGCTGGCCAGGTGCAGTGGCTCACACCTGTAATCCCAGCACTTTGGGTGGTGGAAGAGGGAAGATCACTTGAGGCCAGGAGTTCAAGACCAGCCTGGCCAATATGGCAAAACCTCGTGTGAACTCCAAATACCTGAGACAGGTCTTAGTTAATTTAGAAAGTTTATTTTGCCAAGGTTGGGGATGCACACCCGTGACACAGCCTGAGGGTCCTGATGACAGGTGCCCAAGGTGGTCAGGGAACAGGCTGGTTTTATACATTTTAGGAATACATGAGACATCAATCAATATATGTAGGATGTACATTGGTTCCATCCAGAAAGGTGGGACAACTCAAGCAGGGAGGAGTCTTCCAGGTCACAGGTAGGTAAGAGACAAATGGTTGCATTCTTTTGAGTTTCTGATTAGCCTTTCCGAAGGAGGCAATCAGATATGCATTCATCTCAATGAGCAGATGGATGGCTTTGAATATTAAACAAAATGGAAGGCAGGTTTGCACTAAGCAGTTCCCAGCTTGACTTTTCCCTTTAGCTTAGTGATTTGGGGGCCCCAAAATTTATTTTCCTTTCACATCTCCCCCCTTTAAAAAAATCTTTTGGAGAAAGCATTTTATAAGAAAATGAGCCTCTGGTCTCAGGTTTTTTCTGATCTCTCATGGCTAGGATGGTTTATTCTTAGAGTTATTAGGAAAGCTCATTTTTAGCAGGTTGAGAAGTCTCATGTCCTATGAAGAGAAAATAAGGGGAGGAAGGGAGAAAGACAACAACAAACAAAAGAACAATCCTGGAAAATCAATATAGGCCACATTACTCTGAAGTCCATACATCATTAGGCAGTTATGAAAGTGGCTTATGTATGCAAATAGATGGCTGTTATTTTCTACCTAAGTTTAAGTTGTCTAGATTCAGTTCACAGGGATTTAAGAAAACATAGCCTAGTTTTCAGAGATTTAAAATTGGGAAAAATGGGGGGTGAAGCAAAAGAAAGGAGAAAAAAATTGTAAACATTGTTTTGGAGACTTGCATCCAGGAAAAATTAGAATTCAGACCATACTGTAGAAAATAATAAAAATTGAAAAACATTAGGCAAGACTAGAATCTAACAACAGGTATACTATACTTTTTGAAACATAATTTTTCTCTCTCTAGTTTCCCATTTTTACTAAAGAGAAATCATGGTAGGACCAATTTGCTTTATTATACTTGGCCAGATTATTTGTATAAAATGCAGCAAGAAAGGCCAGGTGCGGTGGCTCAGAGCTGTAATCCCCACACTTTGGGGGGCCGAGGCGGGCAGATCACAAGGTCATGAGATCGAGACCAGCCTGGCTAACACAGTGAAACCCCATCTCTACTGAAAATACAAAAAATTAGCCAGGCGTGGGGACACGTGCCTATAGTCCCAGCTACTTGGGAGGCTGAGGTAGGAGAATTGCTTGAACCCGGGATGCAGAGGTTGCAGTGAGCTGAGATTGCACCACTGCACTCCAGCCTGGGTAACAGAATGAGACTGTCTCAAAAAAAATGCAGCAAAAATAATTTTTTTTTTGAGATGGAATCTCGCTTTGTCACCTAGGCTGGAGTGCAATGGCATGGTCTCAGCTCACTGCAACCTCCACTTCCCAGGTTCAAGTGATTCTTCTGCCTCAGCCTCCCGATTAGCTGGGACTAAAGGCACATGCCACCATGCCTGGCTAATTTTTTTTGTATTTTTAGTAGAGGTGGGGTTTCACTATGTTGGCCAGGCTGGTCTCGAATTCCTAACCTTGTGATCTGCCCACCTTGGCCTCCCAAATTGCTGAGATTACAGGTGTAAGCCACCATGCCCATCTAAGAATAATTATTTTTTACATAGGCTTTTAAAATTGGCTTTGATGGAACTTTGTTCCATAGAAGGAATCTCAGATAAGACTTTTTAAAACCAAGCCCAGCCATGGATTTGTACCATCAAATACCTGTAAGTTGGGTGAATTTTTCTCCTCTTGATGTCCCAAGATAACTTGGGGCTCCTGGGCCTGTCAGAAAGTGACATTCCTTACTTACCACAGGTCAGGAACTCTCTACAGGGACTATGTACAAAGTATGAGGCCAGCTTTCCCAAGGCACTTTTATTGGCTCTGTAAGTCAAGTTTGATTCCTTACAGGAATGCACACCATTCCAGTCAAAGCCTTGGTGAAATAACCAGTTTCCCCAATGGTGTCCTATTTCATTTACAAATGAAAACAGATTCTTATTGCACTTATGCAAATAACAATATTGTCATAAGTTAAGAATGTTCACAAATAGTTTCTAAATTCTGGAGAAATCAGGTAGAGAGAAACAAATATGCTCCAAATTTTTTTCATAGGAGTATATTTAATTGTTAAAAGCTGTCAGTAGGCTGAGCATGGTGGCTCACACCTGTAATCCCAGCACTTTGGGAGGATGAGGCAGGCGGATCACTTAAGGTTAGGAGTTTGAGACCAGCCTGACCAACATGGAGAAACCCTGTCTCTACTAAAAATACAAAGTTAGGCATGGTAGTGCATGCCATAATCCCAGCTATTTGGGAGACTGAGGCAGGAGAATCGCTTGAACTGAGGGGGCAGAGGTTGTGGTGAGCCAAGATTGTGCCATTGCACTGCAGCCTGGGAAAAAGGAGCAAAATTGTGTCAAAAAAAAAAAAATCTGTCAGTAGCTCAAAACAAAATTTCCTTGACTCTGAAAAACAAAAGGATCAGCAACGTTTTCAGCAAAACGTCAAAAAGATTACTTCAGTCTTCTTTTACTTCAGTCCATGCAGTTAATTCCTATTCTGCTTGATATTCATGAGCATTTCAGCTCTCCATGAGTCCTGAAAGTTTTTCCTCTATTCTGATGTCACAATCTTCAAAGTTATCAGAAACCTGCATTCAAAAGTACCTGTTTGAGTTTTATAGCTGATTATCAAACCACTTTCTAAAGAGGACCCAAACAAGACAATAATTGTTTGTGGATGACAAAGAGTTTTAGGGCAGCCATAGTCAAAGACACAATTCACAAGGAAATTTGTTGCTTCTGTGGCACACAATAATTTAACATAACAATTATAATTATTACTGTTAATGTACAGTAAGTCATATCAGAATTATAGGAGTTTCTCCACAATTTTGGAACACATACCAATAACATATTTATACAAATACAGCCCAAAGAAAACCAAATACCATTTTATATTTGACAATGCTTTCTGTAAAATTTTTATACCAAATAAGCCAAATATATCATTTTTGGGCTTTAGGGAACCTAATATCTTAAAATATTAATTAGATCAGAAAAACACATAATTTATAATTTGATTTTGGAAAGTTTGTCAAATATCAAAGGTTTAAAACACTTGATATCACAAAATAGGATCACAGATCATTGTAAAATAAGTCATTCATTTAATAAAAGTGATAAGGATTTCAACAAAAGACAAAAACCTTCATTCTTTGAGAGAGGAGACTTAATTTTCCAAACAATAAGCCCTAATGAAAACAGAATGAAGCCAATTAAATTTGCTTTCCAAAATTTTATAAACAATCTCTAAAATTTTTATATTGACTACAAGATATAACTTCCATAAGCCTTTTATAAACTTTATAACATTTATTAAGGAGTTGGTTAATGCTTCAAGAAAACTTTGTCAATCTGACACAGGGGCCCATATGCTTGCATCAGTGTCTTGCATCAGTGTGCCTTTGACATTAATCATTAATTTATAGAAAAACTGAACTTATTTTATCTGTCAAATTGGCCCTGACAATCTCACACACCCATCTCTTCTGCAATAGTCTCTGGGCCCTGAGGAGTTGAATAGCTTTAATTTCTGGCCCTGTGTCTCAGGAATGCAGTTTATTTTGATTGGCGTCTTCTACCAGGCCTGAAGATGAGACTTTAATTACTGTCAGGGTTTAAAATTTAGCAGGACTTGGTGTCCTTTTTAGACCCAGGAGTCAAAGCCCTGTAACTGAATGTCACAATGACTTTAAAAGTACATACAGAAAGATACACAGATGCAATAATCTTAATTTTAAAAATGTTTATCACAGTTTTTTTCTAAGCAAGCCAAAACTTCATAATAATGGCATAGAAAATATTTTGATAGAATGTAAAATGTGTTAGGCCAGTTACCAAAAAGCAAAAGAAAAGACCTTCTGCAGTGTACAGAATATTATGTTGAAAGAAAACATTTCCTTTAGACCTTTAAGAAAACATTGTTAGTATCAGGCCACAACAAACATAACTCGAGGGAAAAAAAATTTATGTGAGCTGAAAATAAGTTGAAGGAGAGCATTTCTATTTCATGCCTTTTAAAAGGGGAGAGAAAACTAAGCTTTCTTACCAAAAAATACCTCTTTATTTCTATAACTTTCTTTACATCTCTGTTATTTCCTTGTTCCCTTTACATTGTTTTATACATAACCTTTAAATAAGCTTTGAATTAGACACGAATTGTTCACCTTTTTAAAAAGGACACTTTTGTTTTTTTTGAGATGGAGTCTCAGTCTGTCACCCAGGCTGGAGTGCAATGACGTGGTCTCTGCTCACTGCAACCTCCGCTCCCGAGTTCAATCCATTCTCCCGCCTCAGCCTCTTGAGTAGCTGGGACTACAGGCACATGCCACCACACCTGGCTAATTTTTGTATTTTTAGTAGAGACGGGGTTTCACTATGTTGGCCAGGCTGGTCTCAAACTCCTGATCTCATGATCCACCTGTCTCAGTCTCTCAAAGTGCTGGGATTACAGGCGTGAGCCACTGTGCCCAGCCAAAAGGACACTTTTTTTTTTAAGAAAGGATGTTTTCCTACAATATATATTTTTATTGAGATATCTATTATTTAATTTAATATACCTTTAGATTCTAAATTATGAGAAGTTTGTCTACAAGTATTTATCCCATTATGTTTACCTAATTATTTTATTTTAATTGTTTATCTAGATTATTTATGAAAACTGTGATAGTCATCATTTAAACTTATGAAATTTGCCATTGCAAAATTATAACTGAGATAGTGAAAAAAGACATGACCTGAGTCCATCTTGCTTCTAACCTCCAACCTGTCCTTGTTCATTCCTGGACATAAGTCAAATTCACTTTGAGAGAAAGAGAGTTTATAGTTAAGCTTTGAAACAAAGATGATAAAAGTCTTTTCCCAAACAAACCACCTTACTGCCTGTGGACTACATTGCCTAAAACCATAAGATTAGAAGTTATGATAATTTTACTAAATAATTCAAGATGTAGCTGTTTTCATTAAACCAGTATCAATATCTTATTTATTAAAAATTACACAAGTGGCTAGGTGCAGTGGCTCATGCCTGTAATCCCAGCACTTTGGGAGGCCGAAGCGGATGGATCACCTGAGGTTGGGAACTTGAGACCAGCCTGACCAACATGGAGAAACCCTGTCTCTACTAAAAATACAAAATTAGCCATGCATGGTGGCGCATGCCTGTAATCCCAGCTACTCAGGAGTCTGAGGCAGGAGAATTGCTTGAACCTGGGAGGCGGAGTTTGTGGTGAGCCAAGATCACACCATTGCACTCCAGCCTGGGCAACAAGAGTGAAACTCTGTCTCAAAAAAAAAAAAAAATTACACAAGCAAAGATCATTCTGTTTTGGGCTGGATTTATAGTTTCATAACCCCTGTGTTAAATTTTGACACCTTATGGTATTTGCCAGGGAAAAGTATGATATTGCTTGATCAATAAATGCAAACAAAAATGTTTGCTGGCAATTCTTAAGACAGTTCTAATATTACTTTACCAATACTTTTAAAGCTAGCTTATTTATTAAAGATTTTACTTAAGTTACATAAACTTGAAAGAGTATTTGACTAGTCTTTCCTTTTTTCTGAGAAAGTATTTGATTTAAGTGCTTTTATTTTTCTTTAAGCCAATTAATTAGACTTCTTTTCTATATTTTTAGAAGTGAAACATTGTGTACACAATACATAAATACATAGCTGTATTAGGCATACTGATGGAAGTACATCTTAAAGATTCCTAAGATCTCCTTTTTTTTTTTTTTTCCTATCTTAGACTTGCAAACTCTTGATAACCTGTTTCATTATCCTGGCAGTTGTCAGCTAAATAGCTGTAAATCTGCATATTGAAGGAAACAACTCTTAGATGAAAAATCAGATAGCAAAATTTACATCTCAAGGTACAGAGAGATAAAGTCTGGTGGTGCTAGAGGGAGATTAAAGATGGATGTCAAATCAAACATAAAATTATAGAAATCTATCATAAGATTGTATGAGAAGCCCAATTTTATTTAGATAGGGATTACCTATCTTTTAAATGGATCTCTGAGCTCTAGGCAGAGTCCACACTGAATTCTTTGTCTCCAAAAAGGGAGAATTATTATGAGGCTAGACCACGTGATGTTTTTACAGTGCACTTAAAATTTTTTTTAAACATAGACATTTCTAAGTGTCTAAACTACACTCTTCCTTAAAAGTCCAAGAGTAGTCTCTGTTGCAATAACTATTTTAGTCAGTAAGTCAGGTGACACAATACAAAAGCAAGCAGTTTAAGAGCTGAGACAAACTTGTCTGTTTACACTCTTGGGGTTCCACAAGGAAAAAGGAAAAACATGTTTCTCCCTCAAAGGGAGCCTGGTGCCTTCTCCATTTTCTTTAGGGAACCCCAGGCTATTATAAACTATTTTACATCCCTCATGCAGCAGAGGGTGCAAGAGAAAGGAGAGACAGCAGAAGTAAATGAAGAAAACGGAATTCAGTCAACTAAGAAAAACTTTTTTTCAAAAAAGAAGAAAAGACAAGGTCCTAGAAGAAAAAAAGACAAGGCCCTAGGAGAAAAAAACAAAGCAAAAACATGAAGACCTTTTAAATACAAACACACACACATGCACACATATACACACACATCTTGGATGTTAGCTTTTAATTCAGCTGACTTTTTACCATTGAGCTCCTTTAAAAGAACCTTTTTAAATCTCATTACCATATTTCAGCTAGGACAAATTGCTGCTATTAAGGGAGGAGACCACCCCTCATATTGTCTTATGCCCAATTTCTGCCTCCAAATAAAAAAGAAGTAAAAACTAAAAGGCAGACAGCCCAGCGCTGCGCCCTGGGCCTGGTAGTTAAAAATCAACCCCTGACTTAACTGCTTGTGTTATCTATAGATTCCAGACATTGTATGGAAAAGCATCGTGAAAATCCCTGTCCTGTTCTGCTCCATTCTGATTACCAGTGCATGCAGCCCCCAGTCATGTACCCCCTGCTTGCTCAATTGATCACGACCCTCTCATATGGACCCCCTTAGAGTTGTAAGCCCTTAAAATGGACAGGAATTGCTCACTGGAGGAGCTCAGTTTTTTGAGACATAAGTCTGCTGATGCTTCCGGCCAAATAAAGCACTTTCCTTCCTCAACTTGGTGTCTGAGGGTTTTGTCTGCGGCTCGTCCTGCTACATTTCTTGGTGCCCCGACCAGGAAGTGAGGTGATTAGCGGACGGTTGAGGCAACCCCTTAGGTGGCTTAGGCCTGCCCTGTGGAGCATCCCTGTGGGGCACTCTGGCCAGCTTTAGCGACACAAATCCTGAGAGCACTCCCGGGTAGGCAATTGCCCTGGTGGAATGCCTTGCCAGAGCAGTGCACGGTAGGCCCCCATGGAGGATCAACGCAGTGGCTGAACACCCAGAAGGAATTGGCGCTTGGACTCCAGACATCTGGAACACGGTAAGACTGGTCTTGGAACTTGCCCACTTGGAAACATGGCCTGATCACCCATGGCGTGCCTTTATCAGCGACTTGGTTTTGGTTTTGATTTTGACTAGATTCACACTGCTTTGGTTTAGATTTTGGTACTGGCTTTTGGATTTGAACTGTTTTGGCTTTGATTTCAGTTCTGACTTGGCTCAAATTGCTTGATGAATGAGTAACTCCTTATCCATGCTTTGGTTTTAGTGTGAATTGCTTGGTGAGTGAGTGGAGTGAGTGACTTTTTGCCCCTTTTTCCCTTCCCTCTTTGTGGTAAGAGCGTTATTCTGTCTCCTGAGAGAGGAAAATGTGTAAAACACAAAGTAAGCCTACCCCATTAGAAACGATGTTAAAGAATTTCAAGAAAGGATTCAATGGGGACTATGGAATTGCTATGACACCTGGAAAGCTTAAGGCTTTGTGTGAGATAGACTGGCTGGCATTAGAGGTGGGATCACCATCAGAAGGAAGCCTAGACAGGTCCCTAGTTTCAAAGGTATGGCCCAAAGTAACTGGTAAATCAGGACCAGATCAGTTTCCACACATAGATACTTGGTTGCAGCTGGTTTTAGACCCCCCACAGTGCTTAAGAGGACAGGCAGCAGCAGTGCTAGTGGCAAAGGGACAGACAGCCAAGAAGAAAGAGTACCTCCACTCCCGCTGGTCCCTCCCCTAGAGGAAGAGGAAGGAGAGAGGAGAACAGCAGCATAAGCAGCTGGCAAAGGCAAGGAAAGACCAGCAGAGAGAAAAAGAGAGAGAGAGAGACAGACAGACAGAGAGGAGAGAAAGAGAGGGGAAGAGAGAGAGAGCGAAAAGAGAGAGAGAGGAAAGAGAGAGGAAAAGATGCAAAGAGAGAAAAGAAGAGAGAGAGAAAGAGACAGGCAAAGAGGGAGTCAGAGAGAAAGAGAGAGGCAGAGAGAGAGGAAGAGACAGAGACAAAAAGAAAAAGAGAGAGAGACAGAAAGTCAAAGAGAGAAAGAAAGAAAGAGAGAGAGAGATATACAAGTAGTTAAGAAAAAAACAGTGTACCTGATTCCTTTAAAAGCCAAGGTAAATTTAGAACCTATAATTGATAACTAAAGGTCTTCTCTGTGACCATATAACACTCCAATACCACTTTGTTGTCAGTGTAAACAAGGGCGTAGCGTGGAAGCACTGAGGCCACTGACAACCTGTAGCCTTCCTATCAAAATTCCTTAACCCGGTAACCTGCAGATGGCCCAAACACATTCAATCTGTAGCGGCAATGGATTTGCTAATAGAAAAAAGTAGAAAAATAACTTTTAAAGGAAACCTCACTGTAAGCACACCTAACCAGTTCAGAACTATCCTAAGTTAAAAAAAAAAAAAAAAAAAGAGAGAGAGAAAAAGGTGGGGGAGAATTTATGTAAAAAGAATGTTATATAGTAAACTCTTGTCCTAAAATAAATTAACTGGTTGTTTAAAGAAAGGGATGTTTGCAATAAGTCAGAAAGTTGAGACATGTTGAAGAATTGTCTGTGAAAGTAGTGAAAGAAGAAAAAAAAAGTGTGTTATAAAAAAGGAATTTTTGCAAGAAGTGTTGTATAATTGAAAAGTAATTAGGCCTCCTGAATGTAAAACTATTGAAGAAACACTTTATGTGCAAGGTGTATAAGAAAAGTAAAATATACTTTTAGTAAAAGGATTATAAGGAGGCATAAAAATGTGGATTTTTACCTACATTAAAAGGTTAAAAAAATTTTTTTGTTTTGAAGGTTTAAGCAAGTTTTAAAATGTTAATTGTAAAGGAAATTCTGTGTGTAAACATATTGGCTAAAGTTAAAGGGGCATCATCCAGTTTTTCTGTGAACTGGACATTAAAGTAAAAACAAAATGTGTTTTTCTTAAAGCACTAACCTGCTCTTTAACAAAAATTATAAAAGGTTAAAAAGAGTCTATAAAAATCTTACCTTATGGTCAGACATTAAAAATTGAATAAATATGTCTACAAAGTTTTATTAAAACTAAGTTTAACATTAATAACACACTAATATAAAGGTGAAATTTAGCTTATCTGGTTTGAAAATCATACAGAAAGCATTGTCAAATATAAAATGTTGTTTGGCTTTCTTTGGTCTAAAAACTAATAAAAATAGGTGCTAAAGGAAATTTCCCAGTAAGAAGGCACCAAGAACTATAAAGTCTGCTGCTGATGTCCCCACATTTAAAACAAAAGGTCAATTTCTTAGAAATTATATACTTGGTTTATCTTCCACTTTCCTTTCCCTCAAAACTAAAAGTCTTTTAGCACATGTACCACCCCTAGAATTTCCGGTAAACCAGCACCAGCCTGAAGATTACATTCTCATCAAAGGGTAGAAAGAAGAAAAACTCAAGCCAGCCTGGGAAGGACCCTACCTTGTGCTGCTAACCACTGAGACTGCTGTTCATACAGCAGAAAGGGGATGGACTCATCACACCTGAGTCAAGAAAGTGCCACCCCCTCCAGAGTCGTGGGCCATAGTCCCAGGAGAAAACCCAACCAAACTAAAGCTAAGAAAAATTTAACTCTTTCATCTATTATATTATACTTTCTTCTTTCCTCGCTCTATTGCTGACCATCTAGTTATTAACACAACCAAGTCAATTTTGCCTCAAACTATTGCATTTAATGCTTGCCTTGTTATACCCTGTGGGGACTTGCCAAGTCAAAGACAGCTCTCTACTTCAGAAAAGTACCTCTGTCCCTCCTGACTCTCCTCAGACTGGGCATTAGTAAATTGGGACCATTTAATCTGAGGAGATTTTGATAAAGACCCCAGTGTCAACCAGGAGTCTTGCCCCCTGATGTAGAGCTTTTATGCCGTAGTTGGTCCAACGTTCTGTGGACCACTAAAAAGCAAGGATGGACTGCCCCAACCGGTTTTTGTAATTTCCTAAAACCATACATTCATTTTACTAGAGGATCATAGAAGTTAAAGACTTAAAACAAACTTTGGCAATTAAGACAGGATACCAAGATGCAAATGCCTGGTTGGAATGGATCAAATATTCCGTCTGCACATTAAACAAAAGCAATTGTTATGCTTGTGCACGTGGCAGGCCAGAGGCCCAGATTGTCTGCTTTCCACTAATGTGGTCCTCCAGTTGACCAGACATGGGCTGCATGGTAGCTCTTTTCCAGGATTCTATAGCCTGGAGTAATAAGTCATGCCAAGCTCTCTCTCTGCTATATCCTGAAGTTCAGCACCCTGCGGGTCAGCCCCCAAGGGCCATCCAGCTTCCGTCTCCCAACACTAAGTTCACTTCATGTCTCTCATGACAGGGAGGAAACTTAGCATTCCTTGGAGACCTGAAAGGATGCAGTGAACTTAAGAACTTTCAAGAGCTCACCAATAAGTCAGCCCTTGTTCATCCCCGAGCGGATGTGTGGTGGTATTGTGGTGGACATTTACTGGACACTCTGCCGAATAACTGGAGTGGCACTTGTGCTTTAGTCCAATTGGCTATCCCTTTCACCCTGGCATTTCATCAACCAGAGGGAGGGCAGGTGATAGAAAAAGGGTGGATCTGGTTATCGGATGGAAGAATAGCAATGCCACAACTGCTAGGAGCCGCAGTCGTACTAGCTGTGCATGAGACCACCCATCTAGGCCAAGAGTCTCTTAAAAAGTTGTTAGGCCGGTACTTCTACATCTCACATCTGTCAGCCCTTGCCAAAACAGTGGTGCAGCAGTGTGTCACCTGCCAGCAGCACAATGCTAGGCAAGGTCCAACCGTCCCACCTGGCATATAGGCTTATGGAGCAGCCCCCTTTGAAGATCCCCAAGTAGACTTCACTGAGATGCCCAACTGTGGAGATCTCATCCCTAGGTTTGGACTGCCCTTACAAATCGGCTTGGACAACAGGTCAGCATTTGTGGCTGACCTGGTACAGAAGACAGCAAAGGTGATTGGGTGTGGATCAAGGATTGGAATGTAGCCCCCCTTGCAGCCATGGTGGAAAGGACCCCAGACCGTTGTATTGACCACTCCCACAGCTGTGAAAGTAGAAGGAATCCCAGCCTGGATCCACCACAGCCATGTGAAACCCGCAGCACCTGAGACCTGGGAGGCGAGACCAAGCCCAGACAATCCTTGCAAAGTGACTCTGAAGAAGACAACAAGCCCTGCTCCAGTCACACCTGGAAGCTGACTGGTCCACGCACAGCTGAAGTATGAGGAAACTCACAGTGGGACTTATTTTCCTTAAATTTTGGACTTGTACAGTAAGGACTTCAACTGACCTTCCTCAAACTGGGGACTGTTCCCAGTGTATACATCAGCTCACTGAGGTATGGCAAAAAGTTAAAACTGTCTTTTTGTTCTATAGTTATTATAAATGTGCTGGAACTCTAAAAGGGACTTGTTTGTATAATGTCACCCAGTACAAGGTATGTAGCCCAAAAAGTGACCAGCCTGATGTGTGTTGTAACCCATCTGAGCCCTCTATGGTAACAGTTTTTGAAATAAGATTAAGAACGGTCACCTGGTGGGGTCTAAACCATACTAAGAAGCATCCATTTAGTAAGTTTCCTAAGTTGCAAACTGTTTGGGCCCATCCAGAGTCTCACTGGGACTGGCCAGCTCCAGCTGGACTATACTGGATATGCAGGCATAGAGCCTACACCAAGCTACCTGACCAATGGGCAGGTCGTTGTGTCATTAGCACCATTAAGCCATCCTTTTTCCTACTGCTTGTAAAAACAGGTGAGCTCCTAGGCTTCCCTGTCTATGCTTCCCGAGAAAAGAGAAGCATAGCCATAGGTGATTGGAAAAATGATGAGTGGCCCCCTGAAAGAATCATACAGTACTATGGGCCTGCCACATGGGCACAAGACAGCTCGTAGGGATACTGAACCCCCATCTACATGCTCAACTAGATTATACGGTTAACAAGCTGTCTTAGAATAATCACTAATGAGACTGGCAGAGCTTTGACTGTTTTAGCCCGGCAAGAAACCCTGATGAGAAATGCTATTTATCAGAATAGATTAGCCCTAGACTACTTGCTAGCAGCTGAAAGAGGAGTTTGTGGGAAATTTAACCTTACCAATTGCTGTCTACACATAGATGATCAAAGGCAAGTAGCTGAAGACATAGAGATATGACAAAACTAGCACATGTGCCTGTGCAAGTGTGGCATGGATTTGATCTTGGGGCCATGTTTGGAAAATGGTTCCCAGCGCTAGGAGGATTTAAAACCCTTATAATAGGAATTATAATAGTAATAGGAACCTGCTTACTACTCCCTTGTTTGCTACCTGTACGCCTTCAAATGATTAAAAAGCTTCATCACTACCTTAGTTCACTAAAATGCTTCAGCACAAGTGTACTATATGAATCACTATCAATCTGTCTTGCAAGAAGACATGGGTAGTGAGGATGAAAATGAGAACTCCTACTAATGAGTAAAGTTCTCAAAGGGGGGAATAAGGAAGGAGACCACCCCTCATATAGTCTTATGCCCAATTTCTGCTTCCAAAGAAAAAAGAAGTAAAAACTAAAAGACACAAATGAAATCCACAGGCAGACAGCCCAGCACTGCGCCCTGGGCCTGGTAGTTAAAAGCAACCCCTGACTTAACTGCTTGTGTTATCTATAGATTCCAGACATTGTATGGAAAAGCATCATGAAAATCCCTGTCCTGTTCTGTTCCATTCTGATTACCAGTGCATGTAGCCCCCAGTCATGTACCCCCTGCTTGCTCAATCGATCATGACCCTCTCATGCAGACCCCCTTAGAGTTGTAAGCCCTTAAAAGGGACAGGAATTGCTCAGTCAGGGAGCTTGGTTTTTTGAGACATAAGTCTGCTGACACTTCTGGCCAAATAAAGCCCTTTCCTTCCTCAACTTGGTGTCTGAGGGGTTTTGTCTGCGGTTCGTCCTGCTACACTATTAATATTTATGATATACCAAGTATCAAACTAGAAAGGGCTTGATTTAGGATCCAAACCCAGGTTGTCATGGCGGGAAAAAAGAAGGCAGAACGCTTAGCTATGGAACTTCAGCATGGTGCAACAGCCATTGCTCTTTCTGTTCAGCCTGGCTAACAAAAGGGTGGCCTCATTATGTAAATAAAGCCCGTTAAGTAGTCAAAAGCAAAAATATTTCTTTTTTTTTTCCTTTTGCTGGCTGTTTTTCTCCCCCACCACACCACCTTTTTGTGTGTGTGTGTGTTGGGGTTGGGGGGGAGTTTAGCCACTTCAGAGGCCTTGTTCCTTGTAATTTGGAACTTTCCTTTGGATTTGATCAAGTCAAATAGAGTTGATCAAACCCAATGGGAAAAAGATGGAAACAACAACAAAAACAGAAACAAACAAACAACAGCAACAACAAAAAAGTTAAGCAAAACAAATGATGGCACAATTTATTATTATTGTTGTTGTTTTATTTTTTATATAGTTTTTGAGATGGAGTCTCACCCTGTCACCCAGGCTGGAGTGCAATGGTGCCACCTTGGCTCACTGCAACCTCCACCTCCTGGGTTCAAACGATTCTCCTGCCTCAGCCTCCTAAGTAGCTGAGATTACAGGCACCTGCCACCATGCCCAGTTAATTTTTGTATTTTTAGCAGAGACAGGGTTTCACCATGCTGGCCAGGCTGGTCTCGAACTCCTGACCTTGTGATCTGCCTGTCTCAGCATCCCAAAGTGCTAGGATTACAGTCGTGAGCCACTGTGACTGGCCCATGATGGCACAACTTACATGATCACTGAGTGCTCTAATGGTAGGGAGAAATTAAGACCAGCTGCTTGTTAATCTTAACTTTAGCCAAGACAAACTCCAGTTCAGTTACTTAACTAGAGATGGGTCTCAGGCTGAAGACTGCCTCCAAAGAGGCATTCTTTTGAGTTTCTGAGAAGCAGGAAAAAAAACTCAAATTAGTCTTCCCTGCTGGAAATGAGTTCAAACTCCAGGAAGGAGTTACTTGCCTTCCATTGTCATGGAAACAGGAAAAATTTGCCTTCCTTTTGTTGGAATCAAGTAAAACTCCAAAAAAAAAAAAAAAAAGGAATTGTACAGCAAAATAAAGTTTAGATTTGGGGACATCTGGGATTCTCTGGAAGGGATGCTTCTGGGCCTCAGCAAATTGTCCTATTGGTTTGTCCATAAAGATAGCTCAAGGTGGCTAGGCACAGCGCCTCATGCCTGTAATCCCAGCACTTTGGGAGGCCAAGGCTGGCAGATCACGAGGTCAGGAGTTCGAGACCAGCCTGGCCAACATGGTGAAACCCCGTCTCTACTAAAAATACAAAAATTAGCTGGGCCTGGTAGCGGGCACCTGTAATCCCAGCTACTCTGGAGGCTGAGGCAGGAGAATCATTTGAACCCGGGAGGCGAAGGTTGCAGTGAGCTGAGATCGCGCCATTGCACTCCAACTTGGGTGACGGGGTGAGACTCTGTCTCAAAACCAAAAAACAAACAAAGAAAAAGATAGCTCAAGCTGCTACCAAATACTGATAGGAGACTTGTCAAAGGTCAGGAGCACCTCCACTTAGAATCCCTTTATGGTTGCCAAAATCTGAACCCCGAATACCTGAGACACGTTTCAGTTAATTTAGAAAGTTTATTTTGCCAAGGTTGAGGACATGCATCCATGACAGCCTCAGGAGGTCCTGACTACGTTTGCCCAAGGTGGTCGGGGCACAGCTTGGTTTTATACATTTTAGTGAGATATGAGACATCAATCAATATATGTAAGATGTACATTGGTTCCATCCAGAAAGATGGGACAACTCAAGCAGGGAAGGGGCTTCCAGGTCACAGGTAGGTAAGAGACAAACGGTTGCATTATTCTGAGTTTCTGATTAGCCTTTCCGAAGGAGGCAATCAGATATGCATTTATCTCAATGAGCAGAGGGAGGACTTTGAATACTAAATAAAATGGGAGGAAGGTTTCCCTTAAGCAGATCCCAGCTTGACTTTTCCCTTTAGCTTAGCGATTTGGGGGCCCCAAGATTTATTTTCCTTTGACACCCATCTTTACTAAAAATACAAAAATTAGCCAGGTGTGGTGGCGCATGCCTGTAATCCCAACTACTTGGGTGACTGAGGCATGAGAACCACTTGAATCCAGGAGGTGGAGGTTGCAGTGAACTGAGATCACACCAGCCTGCACTCTAGCCTGGGCTTGTGAGACCCTGTCTTAGAGAGAGAGAGAGAGAGAGAAAGCCAAATTTCACCTTTGCATTAGTATCCTGTTAATGTTAAACCCAATTCTTAATAAAACTTTATAAATAAATCTATTTAATCTTAATTAGTTTGACCATAAGGTAAGATTTTCATAACCTTCTATAATCCTTTTCGATTTTCTGTTAAACAATAGGCCAATTCTCAAATACACATTATTATTTAAACACATGGGCCCAGGTTCTGGCCCTACATCAGTGTGCTTTTATGTTTAAATTATGGAAAAACTAAGTAATCTCCTTCAAATCTTAGCCAACTTACTCATACCCACAGAATTTTCTTTATAAGATCAATCTTTCACAAATCTTTTACAACTTGTTTAAACCTTTAGTTTTGTCCTATTACCCTTTTAGGTTAGGACAATCCTTTAAAACCTCTGAACTAGAAAAAATTACATTCCTACAACAAAAACCATATTTTCATGCTTTCTTATAGCCTTTTGCCAAAAGCACATTCTACTTTCCTTATACATCTTGCATGTAAAACTTTCTCCAGTAATCTCAAGTACATGTTACAATGTTAACTCTTAGCAACTCTTATTTTTGGTAAAAGATCCAGTATGTAAGCAATTCCAGACAGAAAATCAGAAGCTGTCCATGAAGGGAGAAAGAATCAATAAATGGCAAAAGTCCCACAACTATCAACACAGAAAGGGCTTATTCCCAAAGCCAGGAACTAAACCTAGGCCACCAGTGTGAAAGTGCAAAACCTTAGCTACTGAACTATAGCACACAGTGACTGCTATTGCTTTTCCCAGAACGAGTCTAGAGCAGTTATTTTTGAGCTTGCAAAAGATTTTAAGTATTCAAGAGAATTAAGTCTAGACATGACATTATCATGTGCCCTTTTTAGACTGAAGAGTCAAAGCCCTGTAAATTTAACATCACAAGGACTTTAAAAGCAATACAGAAAGTTACATGGATGGAATAACCTTTTCAAGTCCGTAATTTGAATTAACTTTTTGATAACCTTTGAATTAGACAAAACTATTCTGTTTCTCAGTAAGAACACATCTCCTTTGGCATATTTTATATGAACCTAGGAAGTAAGAAATGTTCAACTGCCTGTCAGATGTTAGCATTTTATAGATGAGAACCATTCCACAATTTTTGGAACATATTTTCCATCTAATAATGCTTTTTAAATTAATTGATTTTTTTTGAGACCATGTCTCACTCTGTCACCCAGGCTGGAGTACATTGGCATGATCACAACTCACTGCAGCCTCAACTTCCTGGGCTCCAGTAGTCCTCCCACCTCAGCCTCTTGGGTGCCTGGCTAATTGTTATATTTTTGATATAAAATATAAAGATATAATATATTTTTATAGTGTAATTTTGATATAAAATATATAATATAATATAATATAATATAATATAATATAATATAATATAATATAATATAATATAGAGACAGGATTTCACCATGTTTTCCAGGCTGGTCTCAAACTCCTGAGCTCAAGCGATCCACCAGCCTTGGCCTCCAAAAGTGCTGAGATTACAGGCATGAGCCACTGTGCCTGGCCATAACCCTTTTTATAAAATTGCAAATGACCCAGACATCCCATAAGCATCCAAAATGATTTTAAGATTTTAAATTTTATAAAAAAGCTTACTTACAAACATTTATCTCATTTATATGTACCCATTCTTTCCATTTTTCACTGTTTATTTAGACTATTTATGAAAACTGAGATACCGTACAAAGGTGGTCATCATTTAAAGTTATTTCCCTGCTAAGCATTTTTAAAGCTTTGTGAACATCAGATGTCTATCGAGATAAGAAACTTAAACATATGGGCATTTTTTCAATAACTCAGAAGATTTAGTTGTTTTCTTTAAACAATATTAAATGTCTTGTTTATAAAAAATTACACAAACAAAATCATTCTGGTTTGGCCTGGGTTTATAGTTTTATAGTTCTTATGTCAAATGTTGACACCTAATAACATCTGGCAGAGATAAATATGAAACCGCTTGATCAGTAAATCCAAGCAAAAATATATATTGACAATTCTAAAGGCATTTCTAATATTATTTTACTACTAATTTTAGAGCCATCTTATTTATTAAAGATTTTACTTAAGTCACATGAACTTGGAAAGCATTTGGGCTTATTAATTTATGAGTACTCCTTTAAGCCAATTTGGTACCTTGTGGCCACAACACATAACAAAATATATAAATGTACCTATAAACACACACTTACATACTCATATAAAGCAGGCAGAAGAGAAAACAGAGGAAGATAGAGCCTGGCCAGCCTTTGTGTAGGAGCCAAGTCTTACAAGCAGGGTGTGAGGAAGAAAGGAGGGGAAGAAAAAAAGGTAACATGATTGAAAGGAAATTCCAGAGCCTTCCAGCCATTACACAGTGCAGGGAGTACCCCCCACCATTCTCGCTTATCTTCCATAGCAAAGGAATCAGGGCTCATACACAAAGTCATACATTCATATATGCAAACAGTGTGCTTCCAAATGAGTCCCCCGTGAAGGGGGCTGGGTGAGGTCCTGAATTCTTCTCCCCCATTCCAAATGGCTCCATGGGCCAGTGAGTCCAATCTAAGCAAACTCTCATGGTGCCACAAATACAAACAAATACAAACGCATAAAATGTCAAATGGTGGCACTATTAGCCAAGTAGGGCAGGACCCCAGTCACACCCCAAAAGTGGCAGAGGGTGATTGGTTGCACTTACTCATCCACTTCCAAATTTTGCTGGCTGTTCAGAAGTCACTTCCTGATTAAAGAATGCAACCCAACCTATCTACAGTCTTGGCAAAGCATTACTTTGAGTCTAAAGCCTTTACATCCCACTACCAATCTGTAGAAATGACAGAACACAGAGAAACATATTGAAATGCACCATAATTATGCAGTCAACAAATTTCAGAACTCAGGTTGTGCAAAACTCTACAGGTAAAATGCCCTGTATTCTTCATAATCAGCAGAAAAATTGCAAGGCAATAAAAGGGATGGAGGAGGGAAACCTGTGCATTAAAAGAGGCTTAAAAGACATGCTGTTAGGCTGGGCGTGGTGGCTCACACCTGTAATCCCAGCACTTTGGGAGGCTGAAGTGGGCGGATCACTTGAGGTCAGGAGTTCGAGACCAGCCTGGCCTACATGGTGAGACCCCCGTCTCTACTAAAAATACAAAAATTAGCCGGGCCTGGTATTGTGTGCCTGTAATCCCAGCTACTTGGGAGGCTGAGGCAGAAGAATTGCTTGAACCTGGGAGACAGAGGTTGCAGTGAGCTGAGATCGCACCACTGCACTCCAGCCTGGATGACAGAGGGAGACTTCGTCTCAAAAAAAAAAAAAAAAAAAAAAAGGCATGCCTTAAAAAAATACTGAATAGAATGCATTCAGGTTATAAATTCTGTTCAGAATACCTGAATAGAATGCATTCAGGTTATAAAATCTTAAAGAAACACAAAGAACCGATTAAGTCACAATGGTGGTTACTTTTGGAGGAAGGGAGTGGGCTGTGATAGGAACATGTCAGAAGGTGGGACTTCTGGGGTGGCCAGCAGAGTTTTATTTCTTGGTCCAATTAATAGTTATGTGGGTGTCAACCCAATCAAAATTCACACAACTACATTTGTATGATTTTTCTGTATCTGCACTTTATTTTACAATTAAAAGTTTAAAATGAATTTTTGTTTTTATTTTTATTTTGAGACAGAGTCTTACTCTGTCATCCAGACTGGAGTGCAGTGGCATGATCTCAGCTCACTGCAACCTCCACCTCCCAGGTTCAAGTGATCCTCAAACCTCAGCCTCCCCAGTAGCTGAGATTACAGGTGCACACCACCATGCCCAGCTAATTTTTACATATTTTGATAGAGATGGATTTTTGCCATGTTGGCCATGGTGGTCTTGAACTCCTGACCCAGGTGATCTGCCCACTTCAGTCTCCCAAAGTGCTGGGATTGCAGGCGTGAGCCACGTGCCTGGCCTAAAATGAATTTTTTTTTTTTTTTGAGATGGAGTCTCGCTCTGTCGCCCAGGCTGGAGTGCAGTGGCACGATCTCAGCTCACTGCAATCTCCGCCTCCCAGATTCACACCATTTTCCTGCCTCAGCCTCCCAAGTAGCTGTGACTACAGGTGCACACCACCACGCCTGGCTAATTTTTTGTATTTTTAGTAGAGACGGGGTTTCACCATGTTAGCCAGGATGGTCTCGATCTCCTGACCTCGTGATCTACCTGCCTCGGCCTCCCAAAGTGCTGGGATTACAGGCATGAGCCACCGCACCTGGCCCTAAAATGAATTTTTTAAAAAAGATTTTTCTCTTCTTTTCTTTCTTTCTTTCTTTCTCTCTTTTTTTTTTTTTTTAATTTGTTGAGACGGTCTCACTCTGTCACCCAGGCTGGAGTGCAGTGGCACGATCTAGGCTCACTGCAACCTCTGCCTCCCGGGTTCAAGTGATTCTCCTGCCTCAGCCTCCCAAGTAGCTGGGAGTACACGCAGCTACCACGCCCAGCTAATATTTGTATTTTTAGTAGAGACAGGGTTTCACCATGTTGGCCAGGCTGGTCTCAAACTCCTGGCCTCAAGTGATCCACCCGTCTCAGCCTCCTAAGTGCTGCGATTACAGGCGTGAGCCACTGCACCGGGCCTAAAACAAGATTTTATGGACAACTTTATGCCAGTAAATTGGAAAATTTAGACGAAATCAACAAATTTCTAGAAAAATTAAAACTGATGCAAATTTTTATAACGTTTGAGAAATGCATCTATAGTTAACCTTTCATTAAAGAAAACTCCACAGATAAATGGCTTTCTAAACTAATTCTAGGCCAGACATGGTGGCTTACGCCTGCAATCCCAGCACTTTGGGAGGCCGAGGTGGGCAGATCACCTGAGATCGGGGGTTTGAGACTGGCCTGGCCAACATGGTGAAACCCCATCTCTACTAAAAATGCAAAAATTAGCCAGGCGTGGTGGCAGGCACCTATCATCCTAGCTACTCAGGAGGCTGAGACAGGAGAATCGCTTGAACCTGGGAGGCAGAGTTTGCAGTGAGCAGAGATCGCGCCCTTGCACTCCCACCTGGGTGACAGAGTCTCAAAAACTCTGTCTCAAAAACAAACAAACAAAAAACCAAAAAAACTAATTCTACGTATATGAGGAGGAAATAATACTTATTTTGCCCAATCCCTTCCAAAGGAAGTGAAAGAGGGAGTACTTACCAAATCATTTTCTATTCCCCCTTTTTCAAGGCAAGAAAACCCAACTGATGAAGTGTCTTAAACCTTTCATGCTTTGCTGGTTCCATAGACTCATGGACTTTTCATACACAATCTCTCCATTCATCAGACCTCATCCTTTATTGCCTCATCACATTCTGTTCCCATTCTTCCACTTCCATATTCATAACCTTTTTGCCATGTTTCTTTTCTCTCAAATCAAACCAGACCAGATGTTTCAGTCAGCGCATAACTATTCGCATCCAAATTTGTACAAGAGGTCAGCTAACTGCTGAGTCTCAGTCCTACAGGACACCTACCCAATTTTAGTGGGGATGTACATAGTGGAGGTCAGAGGCTACCCATCATGACTGAAAGGCTGATTCCTTTTCAATTCACCAACAAACTGCATTTATTTATTTATTTTTTTATATTGAGACAAGTTCTCACTCTGTTGCCCAGGCTGGAGTGCAGTGGCGTGATCATGGCTCACTGCAGCCTCAACCTCATGGGCTCAATGCATCCTCCCACCTCAGACTCCCTAGTAGCTGGGACCACAAGCATACATCACCACTCCTGGGTAATTTTTTAGTTTTTTGTAGAGATGGGGTGTCACTATGTTGCCTAGGCTAGTATCAAACTCCTGGGCTTAAGTGATTATCCAACTTGACCTCCCAAAGTGCTGGGATTACAGATGTAAGCCACCACATCTTGGCAGCTTCCATTCTCCTGGGCATCAGGACTCTATCACTCTAGCTATCTCTAATCTCTTCAGCTGTCTACTAAACTCCTCTTCAACTGGCCCACATTAGGAGGATTTAATGAAAGTCTTAAACCATACATTTTGTGGATTCATCAATGCTGAATTGTAGTAGCTGGCAGGAGAATTTATAATTGTGATAAGCGAACTGCTATCACTGCTTCTCCTGGAATTATAAAGGGAGACTGAGCTTGGGGCAACCTGAGTGATTTCAGAGACATGCAATATCTCATAGGTGGTGAGGAGGGAAAATGCTCGGTTTGTCTATGACAGACGCTTTCCTGGGTTTGAGACAGCAATAGTAGCCAGTCCCTATCCTGAAGTCTGGGTAGTGGGAGGATGCCTACTGTTGCTTGGATATTGAATGTTTCTGTTCCACTGAAGTGGCTGCTGAAGTATAGAGTGGTACCTCCTCTTCATCCTCTTCCAAATCTGAGAGTTGAAAGACAGCATCCCCAGGTGATTGGGTAAAACCTTTAGAGACAATACCAGGTTGCGGGGTCAAGAACAGTTCTCAAGTTCGGTTAAACAAGCCATTGCCAATGGTGCAGTTTGTGATCCTTTGAGGGGCTTGACTTGGAATTTTTCTGGCACAAAACCTGGAAGGGATCGGCACTACTGAGGCCTGTGATCCCTACCTGGTCGGTGCAGAGAAAGGCAAAGCTGTCTGTGGCCAGGCCCTTCTTTCTGGCCATTCAGAATCTCCATCTTCTGTTCCCATTCTTCAGCAAGACTAAGGCAGCAGCAGGACTAACTCTAAGACAATATAGACCATGTTTTAAAGATATTTAGCTACAGTGAGAAAGAGACAGAGAAGAAGTAAGCATGAAAGGGGATAGTTTGTTTATTAATGAGATAGTGGATCAAGTTCAAAGATGGTATGAGGGACCAACAGAGGAGAAGTTCGAGACTGAAGAGAGCTGGGATAATCAATTGAGTAAGTGTCCCAGGGTGGGATCAGCAAGGAGATGTGTGGGAGATGGGATCCAGAGCACGATGGTAGGATTTGCTTCTTACTTCCCCCACCCCCTAACCACGTTCTATTTTGGATGAAGAAAGCTTCCCTTAAGCAAACCAGACTAAAGGGAAACCAAGGATGGCCTTGCATGTCTTAATATTTCTTTATGTTTCAGACTGGCTTTTGCACTTTCCTGCAAGCTGACTCACACAGTCAGAAGGCCCTACCTCCTCCATGTGAAAACGGAGAGTTAATTTGCATGCTGCTGCCTTTGCCAAGCCTTCCTGTCTTACGTCCCCTCCCAGTTCCAGTGGCCCTCCCTCCTCCCCCACAGCTGGCCCACTGCCCACCTGTACTGTGGTACTGTCTGCCTGGAGTCTGAGGTCTTGCCTGCTCTACTTCCTGACTGAGCTTCCCCTGCACGGCAGAGAGGTCCTTCTCACCTAGCATCCTACTGAGGGCCTGCCACGGAGTAGGTATTTAATGAATGCTTCCCAATTCAGATGAAAAGAAATCTCATTCCATTAAGTTATTGATTTCGAATTGAAATTTTATCATTAATTGTGGGAGGCAACCCTGACTTCTTAGGCCCAATCCTCTCCTGTAGGTCTCCTAGAGAAAGACATGATTGGGAAGCAGAAAGGGTTTGATAGCTCAGCCTTCCCCATCTCCCCTTGGCTGCTCAGCGGAGCTGCCTCTTGAGAAATGCTGAGCTGCCTGCCAGCCCGTGCAGCCTGTCAGCTCCCATCTGCCAGCCCCATCTGCTCTTCCCCAGCCACACTGCTGTTCGCTGCTGCTGCTGGGCCCTCTCCTATCATCTCTGGCTCGGCCTCTACTTGCTGCCTCTCAGCTTCTCCCCAGGGAGCTGGTTGCCCTGACTTCCTTTGCACCTATTCTCCTCCTCCTGCCAGTTTCGGCTCAATTACCCTCCCCACACCGACTCATTCCTCCTGCAAGGGGTCTGAGGCTCCACTATCGAGCAGTCAAAAGGAAAAAAACATGGAGCCTTGCCTTTCCACCACACACACCACCTCCAACTCAGGCAGGCAGTCTCCCTGCTGAGGTTGAGGAGGGCAAGGCCTGAGGGTCTTACAGCAAGACAGGTCTCCTTAGGTGGGCAGCAAGCTCCTAGGCTGGGAACGGACAGAATCTTACTGCTCAATGGAATCTCAGATATCAAGTCTAGAGGCAGATGGGGAACAGCAACCCTGGAGGAGAGGCATATTGACCGGGGTGACACTGTTGGCTCCCTACAGAGCAGAGACTGGAACACAGGTTTCCTGACTTCATCCAGCCAATATTTACTGAGCATCATCTGTGTGCCAGGCAATTGATTAGATCCACACCTACCTCAAGAAGCTCATGGTCTCGTTTGCACTCCCAGCACAGGGCTCTTCCCAGTCACAGCTGCTGATATAGGATAAGTTTTAAGGCATTGCTATAAGCAAAAATGATTGCCATCTTCCTAACTTCATGCATGGCAAGGGCTTAAATGTCCTCACATCTTTATCCAACAAATTGGTCTCACTTTTCCCAGCCCCAGGTTTACAACAGCAGGGTTCACACAACCATCCTTTTTGCTTGTGGGGTGAGATTGTCCTAGGGGTGCTGGAGAATAACCTGGGTTTTACGCAGTGGTGATCAGGAGACCCCAGAGGCTTTGTCTCTGCAGCCTGCCTGCCTCCGACATGTTAACAGCAATCAGTATGATTTTGACCAATTTTTCTGACTTCACAGTTCCCGGGAAGCCCTTTTCTACATCAGACAGTTCCCTGTGAGCAACACCAGCTTTCCCAATGCCCTAAAACTATGTCCCCCACTTCTGTGACTTGATGTGTGGGAGACCACCATTAGTGTCTTTCCACAAGGTCATGTATTGTCATATTGATTCATTGAATCCAAAGACCTCTAGAAAAGTAACAATAGCCAACATTTATGAAATGCTCATTTTGTTCTAGGCCCTGTTTTAAGCACTTTTGGTGTAACAATTGTTTTAGTCTTCCTTGATGATTATGAAGTGTGCTACCATTATTAGTCTCATTTTAGAAATGAAGAAACTGAGGTTTAGAGGAGTTAAATAATTGCTCAAGATCCCAGTTGCTGGGAAGTGGTAGACCTCAGATTTAAACGCAGCTAACCTGACTTCAAGTCTATGCACTTCACTGCTATACCTCCCTGCGTTTGGTGCATGAAGTCACTATGACCTTGGTACCAATTCATTCCTCTGGGGCATTCCTCCATGGCAACTATAGAACAAGCTTTCGGGTGGGATGTCTACAATAATTGTGTAGGTGGGGAGGTGGTGATCCATCTTGTCCATCAGTTCCCATTGCCTCTGGGCCTGGCCTGACATGAGTTGGGACAGCGTCCACCACATCAGGAATGTGGCACTTGCCAGGGCCCAGGAGCCAGTGGCTGAGGTGTGGGGTGGGTGGATGCCTGGGAGCTCGGAGATGCTGGAGCACGTAGGCTCAAGCTTGCAGTGCTGGCCTGTCTTCTACTGCTTTGCTCTGGACATGTAAGAAAACTGCGTCCCCAGCCTGGCCAGTCAACAAGCCAAGAGAGTGGCATAGGTGGGTGGCAGTGGATGGAGGGTGCTGAGCACAAAGGCCAGCACAACCTCAGTACCCTCCACTCTCACATGGTCCGACTCCTTTTAGCCCCAAGGAAGGGAGAAGAGAACATGCTGTTTGGAGGAGGCCGGGAAGAGCCCTGGAGGCACCGACTGGCCTCAGGATACTCCCATGCTCCTGGGGCCCTGGAGCAGTGCCTCCTCTACCTACCAAAGTTCTTTGGAGCAAGGCAGGGGATGGGCAGGCATCTGAAATTGAGCACCAAATGACAGGGGTGGGCAAGGGGGCTGGGCGGTGAAGGGCGCTGCAGGGAGGACTCTGGTGGAGCAAGGGCCACTGACAATGTCTCCTCACCATCAGCACGGAGATCCCTGCCCAGGATCTGCAGCCCTGTCCCCATTGGTCTGCACTCAGGGGAGGCTCAGATGTTAACATCTCTGGTTCTTTTAGAGACTAGGACAGGACAAAAGAGGAAAGGACGCATTTGCCTGTGGATGGAAGAGGCTAGCCAACAAGAAGGGCACTGTCTCTAAGTGGTGGGTTAGGAGAGGGTTGACAGCTCCTGCACGTGGCCACCAAGTCAAGTCTCTTTCCCAGCCTCCCTTACCTGAGCAAGTCCTGCGAATGACAAATGAGCTGAAATCATACACCTTAGTTCCCAGAATGTTATATTCTTGCACTTAAGAGGACTGAGTGTGTGTTCCCATGTCTTTCCTGGCCTGCTGGCTAGGCATTGGCAAGGACTGTACTAGCCATTTGCAGCTGCAAACGGAAGCCATGCCTGAGGATGGCAGAGCCACACACCAGCCCTGGACCACTTGCCTACCTCCGGACTGTCACCTGGAGAGAAACTTCTTTCTTGTTTAAGCAGTTTATCCTTTGCCGGAGGACACGTGCTTCCACGTGGAAAGGCAGAGTGGAGCAAGGAGTGGTGGGTGGGCATTGCAGGATGCTTCCATCCTGACCAAGTAGACTGAATGAGGGACTTTACCCAGCTCTGGAGCTGGAGCTCCCATTTTCATGTGGAATTCATTCAGCAGGACACCGGCTATGTCCGCAGCCCCTTCAGGAGAGTGGCCTGAAGGACAGCCTTCTTCCTAGTATCACTGATGAGACCTGGGCTGGGGGAAAGCGGAACCCGAGGACACCCTGTGCCTGAGCTGGGAAGCAGCCTGCAAAGATAGGCTGGGCCAAGCAGATGCTCTTTTTGAACATAAGAAAGAAAGAATCTGCCGGCCGACTATCGTGCCGGAATAATGACATGGATAAAGTGAGCTGCAAAGTTCACAGAAAACATTATTTTCCTCAAGGACACAGTGCAGCTGTAAAATGTCGTAACTGTCTTCTTTGAGTGACTACTGTTTTCTCACTCACTGAGAAACTTTGTCCTCTAAAATATAGACTATCAGAAATTTCACTGTTTGAAATTACATCAGTAAGAATAAAACACCTCTCTGTTGCTTAGAGGATCTCAGTCATTGACACAGGGAAGTAGCCTTAATTTACAGTCCATGTGCAGAGCCTCAGGTAAGGGGTTTCTGGACACAACATTTTACATATATCCCAACTTTAGATTCCAAGGTCAGAGGTCCTTGGATTCACTTTGCATTCCAGACCTGACATTGCCCCTTCACATTCAGCTTTGCCTTGCTGTGAGCCTAGTAAGACACTGATCATTTAAATGTCACGTAAACACCACCTTCCCCAACAATGTATAATAATCAATCTCCTACATTTGGTGAGATGCCTCATGGTTCCTCTGGTGTGTGGCTCTTTCACTGCAACAAGTCAATAAACCTGGCTTTGTCAGGTCACCCCACATTTGTCCCTGGGGGCCTGAGGCTGTTTGGTCTAAGATGGGCATTGGAATTTGTGAATATGGAGAAAATCACGCAGCATGGGGACTTCAGCTGAAGGATCCTGCTGTAGGGCAAGACCAAGAAGTTGAGTGAGGGTCTTGGAAGGCTAAAGTTACAAGGAGGTAGAAACTATCTAGAGGCAGAAGCTATAGGACAGAGAAAAGGTAAATAAGGGAGAGTAAAAGAAGCAGCAGCGAGTCTTAGTTTGAGGAACGGAGTAGACATTCAGGGCTGAGGCCGGCCGCTGAGCACGGTGGAGTGCTTGGCTGGTCCCAAGAGCCACTCCTCCCATCCCAGCTCCAGGGCTTGGAACGTTATGGTCCTGGGTTAGTCTGTAACTCTCTATGCTCCTTGCAACCCAAGTAGCTTAACTGAAACCTATCACCTCTCCTGTGCCACCAAAAATCTTAGGTTGTTGCAAGTCAGGACCGGGCAGCTTCAGAATGGTTGGACCCAGGGGCAGAGAGCAGGCACTGTTCCTACAGTTGGCAACACCTGTGGAATGGTGGCCACGAAGATCCCTGTTTGGCCAGGATTCCTGTGCTCAGGCTGTCTTTGTTCAGCCTGGTGGGGACACTCGGTGCCCAGCCCACAAGATGGGCCTCCCACTCAGGGCAGTTAGGCATGGCCTGAGGACACCCGAACGTTTCCCTCAGGAGCCTGGGAGCCTGCTGAAGACTGGCCAACAGGCCTCGTGTCTGCTCAACCCATCCTCCCACCTTGCCATGTGTCTGCCTCTGCCCAGCCCCCAGCCCTTCAGGCTCTGAGCCTCCTCCTTCAAGTCCGCCTTCATCCTGAGTTTTCAGGAGAGACACGTCTCAGGTGTAGGCACAGGGGAACCATCCCTGAAGGACAAAGAGAACCAAAGCAGTTTTGACAAAGAGCACTCAGGAAGCTGAGAGGAAAAACATTTGAGATGGCAGATGAAAGATGTTATGTGAATGCAACACATTAGAGTGGTTATGGTTGTCAGAAAAAAATAATAAATGAGCAAATTTGAAAGCCAACTGACTAAAGTCTTTGAACCACACCACATATACCAGTAAAATACAAATAATATTGGATCTTGAAATACGTACTCTTTCCTTTAGTGGGGAGTCTATTATTAGGTAGAGCTTCCCAGAAATTCCATAGGGTCTTCTCTAGTTCTTTAGTAAAAACACCATTTTGTAATTATTTGATAATTACAATGGATTCATTTATTATATTTCCAAGTCATCAGGTGTGGCATCTGGGGAGAAGTCAAACAAAGGAAGCTGGGAGCTCCCCCACGGTATGAGGCCCTGTGGAGAGAGGAGGCTAATGTAATATTAATAGAACTGGCAGAGCAGGGCAGAATCGGGAACGTATTCAGGGCCTGAGGCTGAGTGGCTGCCTGCAGACGCTGCTTTGGGGTTCCTAAGGCAGGTCATTCAAAGATGACATTCCCTTAAGAAATCATCAGACCACACCTCTCAGTTTGGGGCTTGGAGAATGCAGCTCCTGAGATGGGGTCTGCAGGTCATGATGGGGAGAGGAGTGGGATGGAGCTCAGGGCTGGTTTGGGTGGAAGCTCAGTGCCCAGGGGTTGCCCGTCCACGGCAATGCTCACACCCAACACAGCACATGATGCCTTCTTCTTGGCAATGGCCCTTCTGCTTTCTGTACAATCACAGTCCAGAAGCATTAGAGCTTCACGAAACCTCAGAGATATGGTCAGTCGCCTCCTCAGGGGAGGCACCCAGGGCTAGTGCCCTGCCTAGGGTTTCATAGGTGGTGGCAGGCCCAGGCCCAGAACATACATCTCCAGACGCTGGTCTGAAGTGCTTGCCATCAAGCCTAGTCCTACATCTGCTGGGACCCCAGTGCTGTGGGGAAGGGATCTGGTGCTGTGGGGAAGGGATCTGGTGCTGTGGGGAAGGGATCTGGTGCTGTCCGGAAGAGATCTGGTGCTGTCCATACCCATCCGCGTGTAAATGTTGTGTGGCTGGTACAGTTTAGTAAGGAAAGTGTCAAAGAAAGGCAGTGTGAATATTGGTCTGCGAGGTATCAGCGAGCCAGTAAGCAAAGAACTTGGGAGGTGCGTGCTCTCTCTCTCTCTGACACACACACACACACACACACACACACACACACACACACAGCAAATTTCGGGAGGCAAAAAGCTGTGGGATTGGAGTTGGAGAGCTCAATTTCTGTGAGATCTTAATGAGATGGTTCTGAGAATCTTCAAAAGCTAGACAATTACAAGACACTGGAATTAAAGTTTTGCAAATACCTGAGGGAGAATACTAGCTCAGGCCCTCAAAAGGTAATCACCTGTCCTGAGCAGCCAGGACCGGAGGGTCCTGGGCCAGAAGACCCTCAGGGCAAGGGGCCATTGCAAAGACGATCATGACCATGATTACCGTCATGATTGTTATCCTCGGAGAGGGGCTGCCTGCCACAGGGAATGTGCGATGGTTTCAATCTGAAAACAATCCCTGAGCTGCATGTTCAGGTAAACTCATGCTCTAGAAGCAAGGTGCTGTCGTGCAAGTTGCTGGCACAGCCTTCCGCAGCCTTCTTGCAATTCCGGGCTGCACCCGCGAGGGCTAGCGTCACGGTCCCTCTTCTGAGGCGCGCTGGCGCCCTCTAATGGACACTGCCGAACAGGACGCCACGGCGCTGCTGAGGCGCGATGGCTGCGAGGCCGCTAGGGGCGCTTGCAGGCGGCACAGACTGGTGGAGCCGAGTGACGCGGCCGCCAGAGGTTTGGGCCGATTTTGGAGACCGGTGATTAGGTTTCTTTCTGCCTGATTCAGTCCTGCTAAGTTAAAACGTGCAATAATCCCTTACTGCCAAGGCACACGTTTCTCTGTGTTTCAGGGGTATCAAAAGCATTTGCTAAACAAGTCAAACCCGTCGTTCTTTCGGTCTATTCTATCAGTGCCTGGAGAGGAATCTGGAAGAAGGAGGTGGAGAAGGAAGGAAGGGCGTGGAGGGTGAAGACGGCCCTGTGTTCCCCTGGGCTGGCCCGGCCCTCCTTTCCCAGAGCTTTTCCCCCTCTCGCCGTCACTCCCGGGGGCCCTGGGCCAGGAGGGAAGGGGGATGGAGGGGAGGATGGGATCCCAGGGGAGGGTCTGGGTGCGCGCCCCCACTGCAGGGCAGGTGACTTCGGAGGCGCTGGAGCCAGCGGAGCGCAGGCCTGTCATGCAAGCCGACCCTGCGGTGGGAGGAAAAGCGGTCTCTCGGGGGAAGGCTCCTGGCAGAGGCCTTTCCCTTGATCGGCTCACTTGGCTCTTCTGGCAATGCGGTGCCCTTCGCAGGCAACTTTCCAGGGGTCAGAATCACAGTACGCCAGCCCTGGTTTACTCCCCACAAGCGTCTCAGTCCATCACTCTGCTTTGTGTTGTGCTTGCTCTGAGGCCCAGGCTCATCCTGTACAGGCCTCATCCAGTAGCTCAACATCTGTCTCCATTCCCTCTCCCTGTCCTTTCCCCAGAACCTCCCACCAAGAACGCTGGTCTCCTATTGCTTTCACAATAGGTCTTGATGGCCCAGAAAACCCGAGCGCAACTCTATGGCATCCAAAAATGTGTTCCCCATTACTACAGGCAGGGGAGAGCTGGGTCTTTAAACACCCTGGAGGTGAGGGGCATACACGTGTGCCTTCCTGCCTTAGAGTAGGCGGAATCCTAAGACATTAAAGAAAAGAAAACAAGACAGCTGATTTCTGAATTAAGCCGGATTAAAATTCATACTAAGCTGTACTATTAATTTAAAAAGCTCTTATTTACGGTCTACTAGACACTGGGCACTTTAAATTCAATAAATTATCTCTCTCTCTTTTTTGTTTTTGTTTTTGTTTTTGTTTTTGAGTCGGAGTCTCACTCTGTTGCCCAGGCTGGAGTGCAGTGGCGCGATCTCGGCTCACTCAGCCTCCACCTCCTGGGTTCAAGCGATTTTCTTGCCTCAGCCTCCTGAGTAACTGAGATTATAAGCACGTGCCCCCATGCCCCATGGCTATTTTTTTTTTTTTTGTATTTTTTGTAGAGATGGGGTTTCGCCATGTTGCCCAGGCTGGTCTCTAACTCCTGACCTCAAGTGATCCACCCCCCTTGGCCTCCCAAAGTGCTGGGATTACGGTGTGAGCCACCACGCCCAGCCTAAATTTAATAAATTCTCACAACAAGCAAGTTAAGTACTGTTTTCTCTGTTTTCTACATGAGAAAACTGGTAATCAGAGAGGTTAAAGACTTGTGCAAAACTACACAGCTCTCGATGTCAGTTGAAATAGGTAGGTTATGCTGCCTTAATAAATAGCCCCCATATTCCAGTGGCTCATGTTAAACCAGTCGTGGTTTATTTCCTATAAACATTCCATGTGCCTCACTCTGCTCTGTGCTGTGCTTGCTTGGAGGCCCAGACTAATGGGGCCGCCAGTTGTGGGACATTGCTGGGTGCTGGGTCAGAGACCAGAGAGCTCTGGCGGGTCCCATCAGCAACTGCAGGCTCTGGCCCAAGGGGCAGGTGGGCTTGGCTCACAACTCCCTGCCTGAACAAGATTCTCTACCCTTTCAGCCTCATGGGAACCCAGAGATGCAACTCTACTAAGTGTCCAAGCAGAGACCCCCTGATGCTGGTGGTTAAATCCTTGGTGATTAAAGACGGGACAGAGGGTGGCTTCCCCTCCCTACCTCTGGGTCTCACTCGACTTCCCCTCCCTTCTCCTTTCCTCCCTTCCCCTTCCCGCCCATGTCTCTCCCATCTCTGCTTCTCTCTATATCATAAAACCATTCACAGTTTTCTCATGGGTTAACCCATGAGAAATACAAATAGATGCAAGTTCTCAGGGTGTATTCAATTCATTCTAAATATCACTAAATGAAACTGTCAGTGATGGAAACTACACTGGATAAAATTTGTCACTGAGTAAAACAGAATAAATCTACTTGACCAAATTTACAAAATTTGATTGGAGAAAAAATGGTTACGAAAATTCCCAGTTGCAGATGCTGTAACTGGTAGAATCCATGGGCCAAAAGCTGATGATGAAGCATCTTAGAATTTAAATGAAAAAAATTATTGCCAATGAGAATAATTTCAATAATGTGAAAATGAAAAAATGGAGAAAATTGGAAACTGTTTAACTGCACAGAATGGAAAATGGATTAAGAAATTAAATTGGGGCCAGGTGTGGTGGCTCATGCCTATAATCCCAGCACTTTGGGAGGCCCAGGCAGGCAGATCACTTGAGGTCAGGAGTTCGAGACCTGCCTGGCCAACATGGTGAAATCCCGTCTCTACTAAAAATACAAAAATTAGCCAGATGTGGTAGCACACGCCTGTAATCCCAGCTACTAGGGAGGCTGAGGCAGGAGAATTGCTTGAATCCAGGGGACGGAGGTTGCAGTGAGCCGAGATCATGCCATTGCACTCCAGCCTGGGTGACAGAGTAAGACTCCGTCTCAAAAAAAATAAAAAATAATAAATAAATAAATAAGATAAATAAAATTTTTAAAAAATAAAAATAAGTAAAAATTTTTTAAAAATAAAGTAATGAAATTGGGCCAGGCACAGTGGCTTATGCCTATAATCCCAGCACTTTGGGAGCTGAGGCTGGAGGATCCCTTGAGCCCGGGAGTTGGAGGCTGCAGTGAGCCATGATTGTGCCACTGCACACCAGCCTGAGTGAAGAGTGAGACCCTGTCTCTAAAAAAATAACATATAAATAGGCTCAGGAGCAGTGGCTCATGCCTGTAATCCCAGTACTTTGGGAAGCCAAGGTGGAGGAATCACTTGAGGCCAGGAGTTTGAGACTAGCCTGGGCAACATGGCAAAAACCCGATTCTATGAAAAATACAAAAATTAGCTGGGTGTGGTGGCATGCACCTGTAATCCCAGCTACTCAGGAGGCTCAGGCAGGAGAATCGCTTGAGCCTGGGAGGTGGAGGTTGCAGTGAGCCAAGTTTGCACCACTGCACTCCAGCTGGGCAACAGAATGAGACTCTGTCTCAAACAAATTAATAAATTACTTAAATTGGATTAAAGGAGTTCACTCTGAAAAACGTGACCTCCATGTTCATGTCAATGACCCTTTACTGGCTTATAGCCCTTCGTGGCATCTGTGAATGTCACCAACCCACTTTGTATCTTATTTACACATAGAACAATTCCAGCTCCAAATACTGAACTTGGAGCTCCATCTCTGTACATGTCTCTTCACTTTGTACTTGTTCCATTCTCTATCACTCCCCTTTTATACATCACTTTCTCTCCTTCCCTTAAATGTTTCTGTTCCAGAGATTCCACCTCCAGCTTATTTCTCTCTCTCTCATTGAGAGCAACTTCAAACCACCTCATAGATTTAGCTACTACATTTGTGCTGTGGCCACAAAATAGTTATCTGTAACTGTAACAGTTACAATTCTTGGCTTCAAATAACAGCAAGAAGAATGACAGAAGACTGATTAACTTAAGCAGGAAACAGAAATTATTGGAAAGATACTAGGTTTCTCATGAGTGGACAAGAAAGCTGAAGAGACTAGGCTTAGAAATCGGGCAGGAGTGTGGGGGAACCATGGCCAGGACCCCCTCCAGGGTCACACCACAGGGCAACCTGACTGAGACCTACTGTACGCTCTGAGGGCACAGACACTGCTGCTGGCACCACTGGCGCTGGGCAAAGGCCACACCACTGAGCTGCCTGAGGGAATTCTAACTTCCTTGCTTCTTGGTATCACTTGCCCAAGAGCTGGGCCACATGTAGGTCCCCTGCCCATGCTGTGGCTGCCAGGGGGAGGGGAAGGAAGTATTTGTCTTAGTGGAGGAAGGGGCCTTCTTCTCACCATGATTCACACAGTGACAGGTTCTGCAAACATAGGAAGTGGGTTCAGAGGCATGGGACCCACAAAGCCCAAGATATTTACCGCCTGGCCCTTTCATCAGTGCTGTCCCACCCCCTTTTAAGTAAAAAGGTTGAATGGCCACAGACTTGAAGGTTGACCAGTTACAAGATTTTTCAGGCCAGGCTGTGTATCTTTGGCCATCTGTTTATTAAAAAGTTTTTTTTTCTTTTTTTCTTTTCCTTTTTTTTTTGCTTCTGGTTGGTTCAAAGTGCTAGTAACAACAGCGAACCATCTTGTCTAAACATAGATTTTTAAGCCTGAAGGCTCTGGCCATTTGCTCACTGACCTTTGTGCTCAACTCGTTCCTCACCCCACTCCCAATTTAACGGTGGTTACCTCGAGGCCAGCTGAAACAACAGGCTTGGAAGGGAAGTCAACACCCTTAATCCATTCTTGGCTGCTGGGAACGGTTGAGAAAGGTTTAGCACCAGAGCCACATACTTATTTCCTGCTACAAGGGTGGCTCTTAACTTACAAATGCTTAGTTTAGTGACTAGAAGCAGTTAGCTTAGTTTTTTGACCCACAAAGCCCCATCTTTGACTCTTAGGCAACTTAGATTGTGGGGTGCAGACAGAGAAAGGAACGTCTCAGCAGAGTTGTTCCCTCTTCCACCCACCCTTGCAGACTGGCTGCTCTCCCCAGCATCTTCTCTCCCTGGGGTTATTCAAGAATAATGATGACAATTATTATCATCGTTTATTGAAATGGGGTCTCACTCTGTTCCCAGGCTGGTCTTGAACTCCTGGGCTCAAGCAATCCTCCTGCCTCGGCCTCCCAAGTAGCTGGGATTACAGGTACACACCACCACATTCAGCTCATTGGGTTATTCTAAAGGGAGCAAAGAGCACCCAAAATATACCAATGTTCTTATTTTTGTCTTAATCATTTCCTGCACAACCATAAGCTTGGTTCATACCTCCCAATGTATTATAGGTGACACTGTGACCAAATATTTTGCCGTGGGAAACCAACCAGCATCACCATTTCCTAGCCCACAATGATTGTTTCCTGCCACCTGCTAACTCAATGCCACACTTTTAGCTACCAACTTCTAGATAACATAGATTTTGCTGGGTGTAACGAAGACCTCAAACAACAATGACTTAGACAGAAGAGACCCAGCTTTCATGTAATGGTCTGAAGATAAACAGCCTAAGGCTGGTATGGCAGCTCCGCATTCCAAAATTGTCCCAGACTCTCTCTGGTTGCTCCACCATCCCTCAGGTGACCCCCCAACCAAAGACAACTTGCCCCCATGTTCCTTCCACACAGTAGGATGGAGGAAGGGAGTGAAGATGGTATCCTCCCCACCTCCTTTAAGGGCATGTCCTGGAGATGACCCATGCTGTGGTTTGAGTGATGGTGTCCCCTCCAACATTTACATATTGAAACTTAATCCTCATAGTGGCAGTATTAAGAGGTGGGGCCTTTTGGGAGATGCTTAGATCATGAGGGCTTCTCCCTTGTGAATAGGAATAAAGCCTTCATAAAAGAGCCTTCACAGAGAGTCTGGCCCTTTTTTGCCCTTCTGTCATGTGAGGACATAGCATTTTTCACCTCTGGAGGATGCTGCAACAAGGCACCATCTTGGAAGCAGAGAGCAGCCCTCACTGACAGCAAACCTACTGGTGCCTTGATCTTGAACTTCCCAGCCTCCAGAACTGTGATAAATAAATTCCTGTTCTTCACAAGTTACCCGGTCTCAGGTATTTTGTTATAGCAGCACAATGGATGAAGATAGCCCACCTTTCTTCTTTCACTTCATTGGCCAGAGCTGGTTATATAACCATATCAGCTGAAAGGAGGCTGGGTTAGAGAGAACAAGAGAGTGGATATTGATGGAGAACTTCAATTTCTACCCCAGACTTCATCAGTTAGCCCCCATCAAGTCAGGTTGGATCATTTTTATTACCATTCCAGCCCTCTTGTCTATTATAACTACCATGATTATCTTGTCTTTTGTAGTTAAGTGCCTGAAATCAGCTTCTGCTATTCTGGTATCTTTCCTTTTCCATTAAAATCAGGGATCCCATTTCAACTGCTTACAATTGCATCTTTAGTTTACGGAAATCAGTCACAAGACTGCTTCTCAGAGATAGAGGTGCTCCCTCACCAATCTGGGCCCTCTTCTGGGCCCTCTTGAGAGAGAATTAGCAGATGAATGGGTAGGTGACACATGATAAATCCTCTCCAGCACTTCTATATTCCGAAATTTTTGGATTATTTCTTCCATTGTTTCATGGAATTTCATTTCACATGAGCCACTGTTGAGCCCACATTTCAAAACAACTGACAGGCAGCAATTAGGGCCACTTGCAATGGCTGGAGATAGCACACTGTCTCCTGATTTCTGGTGAGCATACTCCTGATTAATTTCAGGCTGATTTAAAATAATGCACGGTGCTGGACACTGTGGTGCACCACTGTATCCCCTCTCAGAAATGAAGGACTTACTCTCCCAGCTGCTGGGAGTGGGCCCTCAGCCAGCAGCTCACTCTGGGGATGCCTTGAGTGAAGAAATGTCCCTAGCCCAAGGTCATGTCCCCATCATGAAGCAGCCACATCCAACGACTGGTCAAAGTTGGGTTAACAAAGGCTGGCTCCTTGGTTCCAACTCAGAAGAGCTCTAAATGACCATCTAGCTCCAGAGCTATGCTAATTGTGCGCACAGCACAACTGCTTCCTTGCCCAAGGCTGCTTCTGTCCCTTCTGCTCCACAGGGGTGGTCTCAAGCTCACTTCCTGATAAAGGTCTTGCTTGCTAATCTCCACCTTAGAATCTGCTTATCTGAGTCTTTTGGTGGGGATTTAACTTTTTAAGTAATCAAAAGCTCCACTTCCTGCTTCCAGGTCATGCGAGAGTCTGACTCTATTTACAGACTTATGAGCCATGAGTGACGGCGTGGAGGAAAGAGGCATGAGCAGAGCTGGCTTCTTTCTGTGAGGAAGTCTGTGCACAGAGTTAGAGCATCTTCAAACTACGCAGGAGCAGCCTCATCAGACAAGGGAGGGACATGCCTTTTAGCTGGCAAGAGAGACCCGGAGGGTTCCATGTTTGGTGTTCTATGAGTCTCCGAGATCTTCCCAAATGTCCTTATTACAATTTTGGGGGTCGCTGTCTTTTTTTGGGGCGGGGACATGGTTTTTCTCTGTCGTCCAGGATGGAGTGCAGTGGTGCAGTCTTGGCTCACTGCAGCCTCAACCTCCCAGGCTAAGTGATCTTCCCACTTCAGCTTTCTGAATAGCTGAGACTACAGGTATGCAACACCATGCTCAGTTAATTTTTTTTGTAGAGATGAGGTCTCAGTATATTGTCCAGGCTAGTCTTAAACTCCTGAGCTCAAGTGATCCTCCTGCCTTGACTTCCCAAAGTGTAGGATTATAGGCGTGAGCCATCGTGCCCCATGTAGGGGCCACAGTCCTTTCTGAACAATGCCCTATCCTTTATATAACATACCTAGGGAGTTTTGATATAGAAGTTAAGAAATTACTTAGGCAGATAGTGAGGGTAGGGAAGTCCTCAGTAAGATTTTCCTTTTAATGAAAAGCAGCCCCAAATCATTTTCCCTTCTAACAAAGAGCAGCCTGTAAAATTGAGCTGATAGATACCGGCAGTTGTGCCAATCATGTTCAAAATGGTGGCCCCATCTTCCCTTCTCTTTATCAGCCACGTGTACAGTAAAAAGGAGACAAGGTGGCACGGGTCAGCAGGAGAGTTCATTTACATAATAAGATTAGGGCAGGGTAGCCAGCCTTCCCCGGGGCTGTGTAAACATCATACCTGATCCAACCAATCTGTGAGCCCTACGTAAATCAGGCGACATCTCCTCAAGCTGGACTATAAAACCCAGTGCCTCCTCCACCAGCTGGTCATTTTCTGTTGGGAGACCCCTCTCTAGAGAGAGAGCTGTTTCTATTTCTCTTCTCTTCTCTCTATTAAATCTCTGCTCCTAAACTCCTCGTGTGTCTCCCTGTCCTAAATTTTCCCGGCGCGAGATGACGAACCCCAGGGTATATACCCTGGACCATGTAGCTGCTTCAGTATGTCACCTCAGCAGATGTTGAAATTTGGCAATGCACTTCTGTGCTTGGCTTTCAGCTATGCTAGCCTTAAAAGACTGTAAATAAGATATCATTTTAGCACATTACTGGAAAGTCTTTGAGTTGGACATTTAGAGATTTAAGCTTGTCTTCTTTTTTTTTTTTTTTTAACTCTCTTGTTCTCTTGGGAAAAGCTACATTTACAACAGTCTGTATGACTCAAGCTCTTCATTTCATTCTATGCAAGTAGCGATATGGTCTTCAAAGTTTTGCCTTAATGAATTCTTCATTCCAGGTGACTATAAGTGAGCATTTAATTTGAGCAATTTACCACTGTGAGCCACTGACTGCCAGATTCCCTGAATATCAACTGGATTTTAGTATTCTGACTAGACTTATAACCAATCTTCCGGCAAACTCTCCATTTCCTTGTGGCTCTGTCTTGTTGTAAATTTCTTTACTAGTTGGGGTTCTTCAGTGCAAACAACAGTAACCCACTTTGGATGACTTAATCAGAAAAGGAAATGATTTAGGGAGGATATTGGATAGCTCACAGAGACTGCAGTGGGGCTGGAGAACCAGGTTTAGAAAATGAGCAGGAGCCAGGGTAGGATGGGGTGGGGTATACTATGGCCACCCCCACAGGATGCAGATACTCCTGCTTGGACCAACACAGGACGCTGGATGTTACCACTGGCGTCATTTGAATGAAATTTCAGCTATCCCCTGCTTTTTTGTTTCACTAATGAACAAAGCATTGAGCAGAATTAGCTGATTGGCAATACTTGGGTCATGTGACTCATGACCTCAGATGTCATGGAGAGTAAGTATCTGGCCTTTTGGACTTTTGGAGAATTAGTGGGTGTGATGTCTCCGACCAAATCCATACAATGGGAGAGCCTCTGGCATATAAAGTAGGTTCATAAGATGCAGAGCAGAAACCGAACAAAACCAAACCAAGTTCATTACATCCCTCTCCCTCTTTTCTAATAGATTTCCAGTCATTTCCACTTGGATACCCGACAGGCTGCTCAAGCTCCCCATATCAAAACTAGAGTCGTCATCTAACCGAATATGCTTCTTCTTCATCCCTCTTACATCCCTCAACTCAGTTGGTGACATTTGTCTCCATTCATTCAGTTGTCTCAGCTAGGATCCCAAGAGGCTTCCTTGACTTACTTTCCATATCCAATCAGTTACCGTGTCTTTTATTATTTATTTATTTATTTTTCCCAAGATAGAGTCTCGCTGTGTCATGCAGGCTGGAATGCAGTGGCACAATCTCGGCTCACTGCAACCTCCGCCTCCCGGGTTCAAGCAATTCTGCTTCAGTCTCTCAAGAAGCTGGATGACAGGTGCGTGCCACCTTGCCTGGCTAATTTTTGTATTTTTAGTGGAGACAGGGTTTTACCATATTGGCCAGGCTGGTCTCGAACTCCTGACATTATGATCTGCCCTCCTCGGCCTCCCAAAGTGTTGGGATTATAGGCATGAGCCCCGTGCCCCACTTACCCTGTCTTTTAGATTCTACCTTTTAGGTGTTTCATCGATTTACTTCTTTCTTATCTTTATTGCCATTACCCTATTTTAAGTCCTTATCATCCTCTTATTTTTTTTTTCTTTTTTCTTTTTGTTCCTCTTTCAATACCTTCTTAACTGGTATGTAAATTAGTTACTGAAGCAATAATTCTTGAAACTAACCACCCCCAAACCCAGGGATTTACAATGACAAGCATTTCTTCCTCATCTGAGTGCCTACAAGTTGGCTGTGGTTCAATAACCTTGGATTGGGCTTGGCTGGACCTGCCTCAAGTCCCAACTGCATGTTGGGTTTAAGTTTGCCCCATTTGTCTGTCATCCTTCTGGGATTATTGACACCAGAGGCATGCAGCGACATGTTCTTCTCATCGTGGAAGGCAGGAGCACAAGTGCATTAACTCAAACATGCAGGCACATTTCAAATCTCTACTTGTGCCATGCCTGTTAATATCCTACTGGCCAAACTGAGTCCAAAGACAACATGTGGGAAATGAATGGCACCCACCATGAGGACATGGAAGAGGTGTGGATGTGTAATGTTACTATAGTGAAGTGAAGAATTAGGACTAATAATTCAATCTATCACACATGGTTTCCCTGCCTCCAGTCTTGTTCCCCTCTCTCTGCTTCACACTGCTTCCAGTGGTATCTATCCAAAATGCCAATATGAATTTATAATCTTATTGCTTAAAACTTTGGTTTTTATAAGAAAATTGCGAAGGTGTGTCAATAGGTCCTTCATAATTTGACCACTGGCTGCTTCCTCAGTCTCAATTCCTGCCACCTCCACATCCCCACGTCGTCCACTCTGCAACTTGATCTTTAAGATTCAGAAATGGCCTGGTGTGGTGGCTCAGGCCTGTAATCCCAGCACTTTGGGAGGCCGAGGTGGGTGGATCACGAGGTCAAGAGATCGAGACAATTCTGGCCAACATGGTGAAACCCCATCTCTACTAAAAATTCCAAAATTAGCTGGTCATAGTGGTGCATGCCTGTAGTCCCAGCTACTCAGGAGGCTGAGGCAGGAGAATGGCTTGAACCTGGGAGATGGAGGTTGCAGTGAGCCAAGATTGCACCACTGTACTCCAGCATGGTGACAGACAGAGACTGTCTAAAAAAAAAAAAAAAAAAAAGATTCAGAAATATGCTGCTATCATGATTTTACCTTCATGCCTTTGCTCATGCTATTCCTTTGTCTAAGGTGCCTTTATGCCTCCATTCAGCAGGCTAATTCCTATTCTGCCTTCAGCCCTTAATGGAAACATCACTTCCTTCAGGATGCTTTCTCTGTAATCCAGTTGCTGGGCCCCACAGTGGCACCCCAGATATTTTTGTGGATTTACTGGTCATTCTCTAAGGCCATAAGCCTTTTGGGTCTTCATACCTGATATGATGTCTGGCCCATAGAGGGCATTTCTCACACTTACTGACTTCTTGTCCACTCACCACCTGTCCCTCAGAACTCCTGCTTTCTTATTGTTGGGGGATACTAGACCTGGAAAGGAAGAAATGGAGCTTTGTGGCTTCCTCAATGAGAGAGGAGGAGGGGAGTCCTATTGTGGCTGAAAAAATGATAATTCACTGAATAAATTAGGGCTTATTAGTGTGGAAGTGATAATGAATTTTGTTTTGGAAAGTTAGTTAATCAGAGTTATCTAGATAAACACAACCAATGGGATAGATGGATGGATGGATAGAGCGAGAGATGATAGGTAGATAGATAGATAGATAGATAGATAGATAGATAGATAGATGATAGATAGATAGAGAGGAGATTTATTATGGTTTATGTGATTACGGCAGCCAAGAGGTTCCAAGATATGTAATCTGCAAGCTGCAGAACCAGGAAAGCCGGTAGTGTAATTCAGTCCAAAGCTGAAGACCTGAGAACCCAGGGGGACCATTAGTGTAAATCCCAAAATCTGAAGGCCTGAGAACCAGGAGCTCTGATATCTGGCAGTAGAAGGAGATGGATGTCCTAACTAAAGAGAGAGAGAGAGAGAGAGAATTCACCCTTCCTTCCTGTTTTTGTACCATTAAGGCCCTCCATGAATTGGGTGGTGTCCACCCACATTGGTGAGGGCCACCTTCTTTACTCAGTCTGCCAATTCAAATGCAAATATTCTCTAGAAACACCCCTAGAAACACACCCAGAAATAATGTTTCACCAGATATCTGGGCATCTTTTAGCCCAGTCAAGTTGACACAAAATTAGCCATTGCAGTTAGGTTTCAGCTAATTGTAGCCTAGTGAGAATGACCATTTGGAAGCCAGAGATGAGAATGCATTATTTAGAAAAAGAGGCCAGAGCTGGAGATGTATATTATGCATTTTCACATTTTCTGTTTTGTGGTGAGAGTGGAAACCACAGAGCTACCTAGAGAGAAGAGCAAAGCACTAAACAGAGGGGTTTACAGCAAAAATTCTTTGCAGTGTGATGGGGACCCATGCATAGTGAACCACTAACTGATCAGATAAACAAACATTCAATATGTTGGTACATTTTAATATTACTTGTGCAGAGGTGGCAGGTGAGCTCTAACAGGAGCCTTCTGAAGAAAATGTCTCATTCAAGAGAGTAACTGATGAGGGACAGTTTGATACTGTTAGGGCTTTTGTGACCCTCTCAAATCCCATCATCTAGGTAGCTGCCTGTCACAAACATTCATGAAGGTGCCTATGATAATAAGATATGATATTTAAAGTCCATCCCATGTGGAAATTGGTTTGGATTTATTTTTAATGACATTAGGCATCCAGTATTGGCATTGGAGATTTTCAAGAAGACTGAAAACAATCTAAGACTAGCAATAGGTTCCTTCAGCAATCAAACTACAGCAATTTAGTGAAAAAAATAAAAATCCCAAATTTTCATTAACTAGAATGTTTAGAGGAACTTCTGTGGGTCTTCTGTGTTATCGTCTAAAAATCTATATTGCCAGCTGTTTCCCGTAACAGGAATAGATGTTCTGAAAAGTTCAAACAGAAGAAAAATCATGGTTAACCTTGCACCTGATTTCCTCAGAGTGCTATGAAAGTCTCCCCTGAATCTATAGCAGACTGAAATGCTTGTTAAAGTTGCATCGATTGTGTTCACAGTTAGATGCTCTAGTCAAAGTTTGTCTTCCAACTGCTTTATTAGCCATGAAATGATTTCCTTTTCATGCATTATTGAAAGCCCCAAGTTTAATAAAGTCAAACACATAAAGATGTTAGAAATGGGTAGAGTTGCTTTTCATGATCGGGGGAAAAACTTTCAGAGGAAAGCCTGGGGAACAGGGAGGCTGTGCAGCTTATCTCTTTGGTGAGTGATGGCTGCATCAGAGATGAAAATGGGAGCTGGACCAGCCTCTTGGTTATACCTCTCCTTTCAGCATTAGAGAAAATAATCTTTTTGGTTCATATCACTTTTCTAATTTGTTTCAGCCCTGCACTGAGATTAGAGAACAAGACAGAGATAAAAATTGAGGGAGAATGTAGAAAAGTGGGAGTTTAAATGGTGCTATTTTACATCAGCTTAAGAGAGAGGAACATGCAGACAAAACAGACTTTAAGACAAAAGGTATTACCAGAGATATAAAAGAGACATTTCATAATGATCGGATGGATTCACCAGGAAGACACAGCAAATGTAAATGTGTATGTGCCTAATAACAGAGCTTCAAAATATAAGTATAAACCCCTCTCTCAGCAATTGATAGAACAATTAGACAGAAAAGCAATAAAGTTGTAAATGATCTGAACAACACAATCAACCACCTTGACCTAATTGATATAGAATATTACATCTTACAACTGCAGAATCTATATTCTTTTCAGGTGTGTAAGCTGTGTTCACCCATATAGCCCATATGCTGGGCCACAAAACATAAAACAAGTCTCAATAAATGTCAAATAATTGAAATTATATAGAGTATGTTCTCTGACCACCATGTAATTATATTAGAAATCAATAACAATGCTATACAATTTAGGAACTCAAGATATTGAAATTAAACCATATACTTCTAAATAATCTATGTATCACTGAAGAAATCAAGAGTGAAGTTAGAAAGTATTTAAGCTGAAATGATAATGCAAATACAATTTATGAACCTGTCAATGTTTATAGAATGCAGCTAAAGCAGGGCTTAGAGGGAAACTTGTGGCTTTAAATGCATACATTAGAAAAAAGAAAGGTCTAAAAAGAGTACTAGTTATAGCCCTATTCTCCTTAATTTTTAAAATAAATTAATATTGAGCACTTCCTTGTTGGGTATATAGTACTGAGCAGAACAGACAAGGTCCTGCCCTCCTGGTGGCCATGATCTACTGAGAGAGACAAATAATAAAGAAACACACACAGATAAATATAAAATTAAAATTGTGATGAATGCTATCTATGAAGGGAAAGGACAGGGTACTGTAGCAGAGGAGGTGACCTAATTTAGAGTGAAACCTGGAAGAAAACCTCTTTGAGAAAGTGGCTTTTAAGCTCAGTGGGATTTGAGTTGAAAGCAGGAGATAGCTGAGCAACAAGTGAGGGGGATGTTCCAGGTAGAAGGAGGTGGATCCAGGGTAGGCTGGATGTGGGTCAGGGGCTGAGAGGAGCATCCACAGACCATCTGAACAGTCAGGGTTCTGAATTGCAAGTGCAGCTAAGTGTTATGTGAAATATTCATGTACTTTCTGTGCATTTTCTGACCCCTCTGCTTTTGGGTCCCATGTAGTGGTTTCTCTTCCTCTAGGCCACCCCAAATAGAAACAATAACTCAAAGATGCAGCAAAACTCAAGGCCAGATAAGGATGTCTGTTGAGTGCCTGCAGAGTGAGGTTTTCTGCTTTCAAGAACTAGTTAGGACCAGTGTTAGGAAGGGTGAGCAAAAGGTGAAAGGCAACTTGGTTAGGAGAGGAAAGAGTGGAAGGACTTAGGGTCTTTGTAAGAGGGAAAAGGCTCTTCTCTTGGCTTGCAAGGACCAGGGACTGAAAACACAGAACTGTCTACGGTGTGGGCCCTCACTGAGCTAGGGCACTACCCACAGCCCATAGTAATGGGGACTCGTAAGCTCTATGAACAGATGGTGGGGGTCTTTTGGTCAGAATGTGAGGCAGCAGCACTTACACTTTTTGTGTATGAAGAGTCAAGATTTCATAAAATTAATATTCCTTACTGTTTCAAAAAGGATATTCCTAAACAAAACTGGCTTTTTTTTTTTTTTCTCCAAGGGCACAATGGTGAAGAACATGATGCCACGGTTACAGCTCCATGCCACAGCCTCACACTACTGTTTGTATCCTTGCTGGAAATGTCAACACTGTGACAAAGACAAACAATGTCTTAGTAATTTTATGAATTAATGAAAATCATTTTGACTTTGCAGACCTCCTGAAAGTGCCTCAGCAACCCCCAGGTGCCTAGGGACCTGCTATTTAAATGTTCCTTGCAAAACTTGTGTAGAAATTTAATTGCCAATGTAATAATATTAGAAGGTGGGGACTTTAAGAGGTGATTGGGTCATGAGGGCTCTGCCCTCACGCATAAATTAATGCCATTACCATGGGAGCGGGTTAGTTATTGCAGGAGTGGGCCCCTAATAAAAGGATGAGGTCTGCTCCTATTTCTCCCTCTCACAGAGTGTGTCATGCGTTTTTGCCGTCCCTTGCTTTTTCTCATCACGGGTTGTCTTCTTCCATGTTGTGATGAAACATGAAGGTCCTCACCAGATGTGGCCCCTTGATCTTGGACTTGCCAGCCTCCAGAACCTTGAGTCAAGAAAATCTCTCTTCTATATAAAAGAAATCTCTTTATACCCAGAGATTTTTTTCTTTTTCTTTATACCCAGTCTGTGGTACTCTGTTTAAGCAGTAAAAAATGGACTAAGACAGGACTACATCTTGAAAACAGCTGATGTAGGGTAACTGGGTGTGAAGATGGAACAGAACAGAGCCAGTTGGAAACTTTTCTCTGAGTTGGGCCACCATCACCAGAATGGATGCGGATTTTGGCTTATTTAAGCAGAATAGGGATTTACTGAACAGATACTGGGTAGCCCACTGAATCACCAGGGGTCCTAAAGAGCCACGCTTATAAAATGGGCAGGAAGAACCAAAAGGAGGCTATATGTCCAGAACCTGGGCCAATATCCCACCTTGGAAGCAGTCAGGTGACAGGAATGTACTGCTATTTTCCTCTGCAGCTGCTGTTGAACACAGGATGTGGCATCTTACATCACAGACACCCCAGCGCTGGTCTGTGGAGGCTGTTGTCCCAGCTGTCATCCTCACTTTGTCTCCTGGACAGATTTAGACTGAGTCTCTAAGTGAACCTTTGATTGGCTGAGCCTGGGTTTCTTACTTATGTCCTAGCTGTGCTGTATGCTGGGGAAGCTATTATTATACAACACCTCCAGCTCCTATCGTGGAATGAAACCCTGCTCCCTATGAAGACTTGCAAGAAGAGGAATTCTCCGTGAGAAGGAAAGAGGTTTGGATGCTAAGCAGCCAAAACATGACAACTGCCTGAGCCTTCTTCAGCTGGAGCTACACATTTGGTAGTAATCACCCATGAGCTGATCACTGGAAAAACGGGGTTTAAGAAAATTCCAAGGAAGAAAACATTGAGTGAGACAATAAGGTGATCTGGGAATGAGCCTTGAGACCTCCTAGCATTTAAAGGCTGAGTGGAAGAAGATGAACCTTCAAAGATGACTGAGAAGGAGCAGCAAGAGGAGGTGCAGAAGGGTGTTGTATTTCAGAAGCCAAGAGGGAAGGGTGCTTTGAGGAGGAAGGAGTATTTTCGGTGTTGAATCCTGCCCAGAGACCCAGAAAGCTGAGATCTGAGAAATGTCCATTAATGAATTATCAAATGCCCACCAATCAACTCCTTCCCATTTCTTCTCTATTGCACTGGAGTGTGAATTATTGTTACTTCCCAAAAAGTCAGGGGAGATGGGAATATCCTTTATTCAAGACAGAGTTATTCCAGAACAAAGGATGAGGCCACCATTTGGACATCATTCTCTAAGCACAAGGCAGTCCCTTCTGCAACCAGGGGCCCAGGCTGAGTCCTTTGCTTCCAGGCAGCCTGACAGACTGCACATGGTGAGCTATAGGAAGATCGTTCTGCCTCAACAAATTAGCAAATAGCTATAATCTATTCACCAACATGTCATGGAGCATCACCTGTGCTTACTAAGCTCTGTGTTAAGAATTGGCTCTTATAGGGAGGATAAAACAATATATGAGATAGAATGCAGACGTAAATTCAAAAGCACACACAAAACAATATGAAAAGAGACCCACACGAGTAGAGCCCCACCTCCTCTCTGGTGCTTATTCTAGTTTGCTAGGATACGGTCTCTGGAGCCCCTGGCCTCCCTGAGGGTCACTCCCTCCTCAAACCCATCCTCACCATGCTACTCTGGACCTGCCTAAGGCCCACTCACCTCTTAGGCTTCAGTTTAGACATTAGCTCTTCCATGAAGCCTCTCTGACTTACAAGTCTGCTAAAGAATTTTACTGTGCATCCCTGTAACATCTTCGTTTCTTTATCTTTCCCTTTATGTGCCTGTTTACTGATCTTCCTCATTAGATGGAAAGTTTTAAATGCAGGACCTTGTTTATCTTATTTACCATTGTAGGGCTTTCTCACAATTGCCTCCCCAGCACCTGGCATATAGTAGATGCTCAGTAAATATTTATGGAATGAATATGTGAATCAATGGCTGATTGAATAAATCAAAGAGTCTGTGAGTACTGACAAGCCACAATGTAGAAGAATATTATGAGCTGCGTGGAGAAGCCAGAAAGGCTAGCTAGAAGCTGAAGTTCTGTGCAGGATTAGGAAGGCAGAAAATCCAGATTTGCAGGAGTCAGAGGTGCCAGATTAGACAGTTGATACCTTTTGAGTGGGATGGGGAAGGATTTGCACTGCTGGAGGGAAATGTCTATTTTGGGTAGTAACTAAGAGTTTTCTAAGTATTCTAGATGCTGCTGGGAGAGCATGCTCCTTCCCAGCCCATGTCATAGCTTGTTGCAGTAAATGCTGGGGCACAAGAAGCCTGACCTTTTGTACCCTTCTCTGCCACCATGCCTGTGTCAACACCACAGCCTTGGGTGGCAGTGTCAGTGGCAGTGGTTGGAGTGGGATGCAGGTGCCCTACAGGAAGGACCCAGCCCCACTGGCTGAGGGGATCTGTGATGTGAAGGATCCAGCCAACCCTTGGCCACGTGACAGGAACACCATCTGCACCCTGGGCGCCTAGATTTTGCAGCTGCCACAGCCTACTCAGGCATATTTGACACAAGCTTAGCAAATAGCTTTTCCAGGAGGTTTGCAAATTTCCAATCTGCTGTCCCACGTTTTCCTCTACAACTGCCACCAACCAAATGTTAAATTGGATCCAAGACCTGCGGGGTAATCAGCAAACGTACGGGCTCATTGCAGAATTGGAAAGGAGACTGGGCTCAGGTGGCCCTCTGAACGGACTCTTCCTAGAAATTATACTGTTATTATGGCAAAAATTATGATGCCATATATAGGAGTAATTGTCAAATCTTTACTAGCGTATCTGTCTTTACAAGTCGATGTATCCTTAAGACATTACATATAAATTGAACTTTTGTTACTTTAATACAAAATCAGTGCAATTTTTAATGTTATTTTAAGGAATTCTCCAGAAAGCATTCCTTTTGCCAAAGCAAAAAAAAAAAAAAAAAAAAAAATGACCCTCAGTTTGTTTTTGCAAATTGTCTCTAAATGTGGATGTATTTATGTGTGTGTTTGTATCTTCTGTGTGCCTGTGTTGAGGATCATCAGTCTCTTTTGAGAAATGCAGAAAAAGTTGGCTTTAGCACTTCCATGATTAATTTAAAGAGAGAGGGAAAGATTGTTATATATACAAGGTAGTTGGCACTAAGATTTCATCTTCATTGTTACCCACACAACATCATCCACACAACAAAGACATAAATGCAAAATTGCACAGCATGCTGGGATGAATACATTACAGCTCAGATCTGCATTTCAAATTTAGCTTTTTGATATCTTAATATCCATGGGGGTTAAAAGTACTAACTAATTGAAGAACCGGGGACTTCATTGCTGTTACTGAACAAATCTAATTATAGAAAAGACAAATTTATAAACATACAATAGAAATTATCTGGGATGATTAGAGTGTCTCCAACTCCTGTTCTCTTCAGCTGAAATGACCATTTCTCCTCTCATTTCCACATTGGTTACCAAACAACTTTTGCAGGAATTTTCCAAATGATATTGAGTGTGACTTTGGGAGTCAGAGTCATAGTATCTTAGAGCATCGGTCCCCCAACCTTTTTGGCACCAGGGACTGGTTTCTTGGAAGACAATTTTTCCATGGACCTGGGTAGGGAGGATACTTTTGGGATGATTCAAGCACATTACATTTATTGTGAACTTTATTTCTATTATTATTACATTATAATACATAATGAAAGAATTAAACAACTCACAATAATATAGAATAAGTGAGAGCCCTGAATTTGTTTTCCTGCAACTAGACAGTCCCGTCTGGGGGTTACAGTGACAGATCATTAGGCATTAGATTTTCATAAGGAGCATGCAACTTAGATCCTGCACATGTGTAGTTACAATACTGTTCATTCTCCTATGAGAATCTAATGCCACCACTGATGTGACAGGAGGCAGAGCTCAGGCAGTAATGTGAGTGATGGGGAGCAGCTGTAAATACAGATGAAGCTTTGCTTGCTTGCCCACAGCTCACCTCCTGCTGTGTGGCCCAGTTCCTAACAGGCCATGGTGGCTCGAGGGTTGGGGACCCCTGCCTTAGAGTAAGTCACTTTAAATGTTCAAGTTCACTCAACTGTGTGAGGTAGAGAGATCAGCTAATTTAGGCCCCAAGGTATCTGGGGGTACTTGTATAATTGTGAGCCAAGAGAAAAGTGGGTATATTTTGAAGTTCTTAGAGGAATTTGCAGCCAGTGAATATTTTTTCTGTAGCGCATATCACTACTGATGCTCCCGGTGGTCCCCTGTTCCTAGGCCTCATGGAAGTTCCCCTAAGGTAGAAGTAGCTTTAAGTGTAGAGGGGCCCTCTCTGCTGCCAGGTATATAAAGAAATACCACTCACCAATGTACTCTTCTGCATGTTAGTTGCGTAGCATATGCCACATGACTTTCCTGCACTGCATGGTACTGGGTGCCCATTGCCCCTCTGCCTGGAGAGAGGGCTGCATTGCACACACACAGCCTAAACTAGTCTTCATATAGCTATTTGTTCTTTTATTCATTTACTCAGCAAGCAGCCTGCACTGTGCCTTGTTCTGCTCTAAGTGCTGAGAGTACAAGATTATATAAATCTCATATGGATATCCGTTAGTTCTAGCACCCTTTGTTGAAAACACTGTCCTTTCCCCATTAAATGACCTTACTAACTTCGTTGAAATTCTATTTCTAGATTCTATCATGTTTTATCATTCTATCCTGTGCCAATAGCACATTGTCTTGATTACTGTGAGTCTTGAAATCAAATAGTGCATGTCCTCCAACTTTGTTCCTTTTTTTCAGAATTTCTTTGGCTATTACAGATCTTTGCATTTCCATATAAATTTTAGAATCAACTTGTCCTTTTTTATAAAAAAATCCTGCTTTAAAAAATTCTGATTGCATTGAATCTATAGCTCAATTTGTGGAGATGTGACATCTTAATATTGAGTCTTCTCATCCATGGACATGGTATTTCTCTCCATTTATTTAGATCTTTTAAAATTTCTCCCAGTTGTGTTTTGTAGTTTTCAGTATACAGGTCTTACACATATTTTGTGAAATTTATCTCTTAATATTTTATACTTTTGATGCTACTGCAAATGGTAAATTTAAAATTCCAATTTCTAGTTGTTCATTGCTATTTATAGGAATACTGTACAGTTAATTTTTGAATATTTATCTCATATGCTGGGACATTGCTAAACTCACTTATTAGCTCTGGGAAACGTTTTGGTAGATTTCTTAGGATTTTCCATGTACATGAACATGTCATCTGTGAATAAAAATAATTTATTTCCTTTTTTCCAATCTATAAGCCTGTTAATTATTTTTCTTTCTTTATTGTTCTGATTTGGAATTCCAGTACAATGTTGGACAAGAGTGGATTTCTTTGTCTTATTTCAGGTATTTGAGAAAGCATTTAGTCCTTCACTACTGAGTATGATGTTAGCGTAAGTTTTTCATAGGTGTCCTTTATCAGGTAGAAATTTTCTTCTATTCCTAGTTTGCTGAGAACTTTTTTAAAAATTTTATGTGTGGGTATTGAATTTTGCCAAATGCTTTTTCTGCATCTATTAAGATGATCATATGGGTTTTCTCTAACTTTGTCAATGTGGTAAATTACGTAATTTGATTTTTGAATGTTAAACCAATTTTGGATTCCTGGGATAAGCTCCATTTGGTCATGGTGTATTATCCTTTTTTACTGTTGGATTAGATTGGATTTTATTAAGAATTTTTACCTTTATGTTCATGATGGATATTGGAGTATAGTTTTATTTATTGTCTTTTCTGTTTCTGATATATCAAGGTAATATTGGCTTCAAAAAATAAGAACTGCTGCTATCCCCTTTTCTTGTGTGTAGAGGCATTATTTCTTCCTCAAATATTTGAAATAATTCACCATCTGGACCTTTATTGCAGGAAGATTTTAAATTATGAATTACATTTAGTTGATATAGATATTTTCACATTTTCTAATTTTCCTTGTGCCATTTTGATAATTCTTATCTCTCAAGAATTTTTTCCATTTTATCTAAGTAATCAAATTTATTGGCAAAAGTTGTTCATAATATTTCCTTATTCTCTTTTAAGGCCTTTCAGATCTATAGTGATGTCACCTCTTTCATTCCTGATAATGGTCATCCTCCTTCTCCCTCTCTCTCCCTCTGCCTGCATTATTAGAGTGGATGATCTGGGAACACAGGAAGCATAAAGTGTACTGTTCGACATAAAGTGTTCAACATTGTACTGGAGTTCCAAATCAGGGCAATAAAGAAAGAAAAATAACTAGGAGACATACAGATTGGAAAGGAAGAAATAAATTATTTTTATTCACAGATGACATGTTTATGTTCATGGAAAATCCTAAGGCAAAGGATGAGAATGCTTGCAATCATGAGCACGGAGGGGTGCAATCATCGGTGACGACAAGGACTTCAGCCATGGGCATGGGCGGCTGAAGTTTGCAGAGGAGATGGTCAGTGCAGGAGAGGAGGCCAAGGAGCTGAGAGGCTGGGGTTTAGAAGGGAATCTCTAAGAATAATGATGGGAGGAGTGGGTGCAGAGAAAGGCAACAAGCCCAGTGCTGAGCTCTTCAAAGAACGGAGCCACTGGGAGGTCCGAGTGGGAGGAGTCACTGGATGATTTATCCCGCAGGAGAGTCACAGGAACTGGGAGTTTTAGGGAGGGGTTGGGGAACAATGATCTGGAAATTTTGGCGAGGAGTGAGACTCCTGTCCCTCCCCTATGCCCAGTGGGAGGACTGCTGGGGAGGCCAGGTCCTTAAGGGAAAGCCAGGTACCCACCACAGTGGGAAGGTGAGGAGGCTGTTCAGGGAAGAGGGTAAGGAGCTAGGGTCGTTTGCTGAAGGGAGACTGAGATGGCGAGTGAGGGAAGGGAATCAAAGAGTGTTTCATGCACCACGCGGGGATGAGAGCTGGGTGCTTAGGGTGACCTGGGGTTTTGACCTTGTGTGGTGGCTGAAGCGGGGTTGGGGCTTGGTGGGCTGTGTCCTGCTGGGCACCGTGACGATGAGGCTGTGGGTGTTGAGGAGTGCTCTTGGGCGCTCTCGGGCCCTCTCGTGGGTGTTGGAGTTGGTAAACATTTGAGTGCCAGAGCACATTGCTAGGGAAGATTTTCTCTTCATATCCACATTTGTTTCAGCCTTTAACCGATTGATCAACTGAAGCTATGGTTGATTTTCTTAAGTCAGTGTCCCAGGGCCCACTGAGGGCCCATGACCACGTAAGTCTGGCCCAGTGAGTCCACACCTGGACATCTCAGTGCTCTGGGCCACAAAGGGCCTCGGCTGCCTTGGCCACGAAAGTGCCTCGTCTTCAGCTCCATCTTTCCCCAGAGTTTGTGTGTTATAGCATTTCTTTCTGCTCCACATTTTTAAATAGAGGTGCAATCTGCTGTTGGTGTCTCATTTGCTTTCCTCTTCACCTACTCCTCTCAGGAAGGCTCAGTGAGTTTCTAACAGTTTAACCTTAAGCATCTATTTCCTTCTCTAACCATGTAGGGCTTACACTTACTGCTGCAGTTAAATGTTTTCTTCCTTTTTCCTTTTTCTTTGATTTCTGTCACAGACATTTAAAAGTACTTATTCCTCTTGATTTTGTCTCTTAGAGGAAATCAACGAGGTCTGAGTGTCCCCAAAGCACCCATTGTACACCAATCATCACCATCCCCAGTTTCCTGTGTCAGATCATCCCAACTGGAAGATGTCTCCCATCAGACCAGCATCCAATGCAGGGCTGGTCTCAATCTATTATTGACCTCTGTCACGCTCCTGTTGTTGGTCTCATCTTTGCAGCATCTTCCCATAGAGTCCCATAAATAGCAATTCCATAAATTGATATATGCTCTCTCTCAGGACACGGGCCCTATCGCATCTCACCCCATAATGACTGCATCATCCTGAAACTCAGTACTTTACACGAATTCATAGTCTTCCACTCTTATATCGATCCAGATTTGTCTGGCTCCTTGGTCCAGTGGTTCCAGTCTGCAAGGGTAGTTCCCCCTACTGTCTTTACTACAGACGTTTTATCTACAGGGTTAAGAAGGGACTTCTCAAGCACTTCCTGGATTGCAGCAATTTCTGGGAAGTCTTTCCAGCCATTTCTCTCCAATCTTGCCTTGCTTTTTCTGTTATATTTCACTAGGCCCAATTCATTCTTTGTGATGTAGTAATGTGCAAAATATTCCCTCCGTTCCATCATCATCTTTCTAAATCAGCCCATCTTGTCATCTGAGACCTCAATTTTCCTTGGAAGGAAATCTGTCTCCTTCTACAGATTAATTGATTTTCACTTTTCTTTATATTCTTTAACTGCTCACATCCTAAGTGTAAGAATGAGTCATATTTTTCAAACTACTCCAGTTTTTCTTGATTTCCTGAGTGAATACGATTCCTAAAGTCAGACTATTCCATGCGTAGGCCTTAAATTACCTTTCTATTTGGGGGGTTTGTAATAATTTCACTAATTTTTTTAACCTAACCGAAGAAGATGCTTTATTATCTTTAAAATATGGCTTCCCATTCCTCTTAGTTCCTTCCTTAATAAATTCTATCATGCTTCTAAGGGTGAAACCATAGTTTTGTTCTCTGAAATCCCAAGCCATAGTTGGAGTTTAATGTCATCAAGAAAGCAGACCAAACTTGAGATCACATTGAGCCTTTTGAGCCTGTGGTGAAGCCACAAGAAGTTAAGTTTGCTGCTTTCACAATTCAGTCTCGTGGCACTGAGGGCAACTTGAGACAATCTAAGAGGGGAACCCAATGCAGGATGGCCGATCTTGTGTTGCCTATGCCTGGTACAACGATTTAAAGCTAGAATCTCATGATAACATGAGATCAGCCATGTCAGGGCACATGGGGAAATGAGGACCCTTAGGGATGACTGGTTTGGGTATAAATTGGCTTGGCCATTCTGGAGAGCAAAGTTGCAGTATGTGTGCATATTAAGTGTGCATCTGCCCTTTGACACAGTAGTTACAATCCAGATAAGTTATCATGTAAGGGAACATTAAAGCATTGCTCCTGGTAAGGAGTTGGAAGCAACCAAGAGTCTTCTATTAAGGGATGGATAGATCAAATACAGCCTAAAAAAATTATACTGCACCTAGATGCTACATGCCAAAACTAGGTAGTTGTTATACTGCAAGGTGGCTGGATCTTCAAAAGTGTTGAATGAAAAAAGTAAGAAATAGAATGATATATATAGCATAATACTACTTATGCAAATTGAAATCACATACATTCATAAAACTCACTTCATATTTTGCAAATATGTTTCTATTTCCAAGGATATATATTTACATTTTCATATGTATATATATCTCCCTTGGATATATATCAAATACCTTAGAATGGGTTTGTATTGTGGTGAGGAGCATGAGAGTGGAAATTAGGGATTGTATTAAGCATATCTTTTGATTCTTGTAGATTTTGACATCTGAGGCCTTGCTGACCCCAGAGAGATTGCCTCTGCCAGGGCTGGCTAACTCCCAGACATAGCAAATAACTTGCCAGAGAGTGCACCTTTCATATGTAAGCCAAGTAATTCGAAGCCCATAGTCCAAACCACCTCCTTTCTTGGGCACTCATAGGGAACTTACTCCTTGGGCCACTATCCACCTGCCCTAATCACCCCAGGGCCATCTATAGCCTCTAAGCCCCGGAGCCAATTGAAATTACTCAAACTGGCCAATCTTAAGCCCACTTACCTTGTCTTGCCTTTCCTTCCTGCAAGAACCACAATAAAGCCTTTCGCCCACATTCCCCCACCCCTACTCTCTCTGCCTCCCCACTAGCCCTGTGCCTCCCCATGTGGCCCTGGATTTGTGAGAGTAAGACCTCCCTCCTTATAATGGTCATTTCTGTGTCTGTATGTCTTACCATATCTGATTAAGACAAATTTAGGTACATTTAGAACAGGGCTGAATTAAAAAAAAAAGCAGAGAGGAGTGTTGCTTTGACCATTGTGAAAATCGGTCATGAACTGAGAAGGACGAGAAACCCAATCTCTGCACCTAAGAACCAAACTAGAACAACTTCACTACAGAAACCATCCCTGCCTGCTCCTGAATGCAGGCTCTAATCTATTCTCTGCAATGTCTTGTCCTCATATCTTGAAGCAGATTGTCCAGAGTTCATTAGATAAACCAGTGGTCCAGCCACATTCTCAGAACACTAAGGCTAGGTTAGGTTAAATAAATCATGCAAGGTCATTTATTGCAGGGCTTCTCATAGCCTAACTGCATTGTGCATCTCCAAGAGGACCACATAATATGAAGCATTTCTGAAACATGTGTATCTTGGAATGCTTTATTTTCATGTAAATCTAGCATTCCATGAATCACACTTTGGGGAATGCTGTGGTAGATGAGGTTACACTGATGCATGGGATGAGTGATAAGATGTTAGATCATACTGTAGAGACTTCAGGGATTCTTCTGCCCTGCCCCAAATTTTCATTAAGGGAGGTGTTATTATCTCCATTTCTGTAGTTAAATGACACATCTTAAAAATATGTATTTAAAAGACACATGTATTTAAAAGACACGTTTTTAGATATGTATTAAAAAGACACATATAAGAACTGAAAGACCAAATTAAGATCTTGGTCTTCTATCATGTAGGGCAGTGTTGTATGACATGGTGATATTTTCTCTAAATGCTTTAATGAGCATTGTGAAAACAGTATTAACACCACTCTATTAACTCTAGTATATAATCTGTAGCATTGCCTTTCATGGTATATTTGTGGCAAAAGTTTCTGAAGTTTTGATAAAATAAATACCAGCTGGTTAGCTTATATGGTTGGGAGTTAGTCTGTTTTTATATAAATTTCTCAAACTACAAGCTCTATCAAAGTTAAATATTTCCTTTTTGGATGCTTTGGTCTGTTATTTCTCTACTGACATTGATCCCCAAATAATATTTTAGAGGTTTACTCTTCCTTTCTCCATTTCTATCTGCTTGGGATGATTCTAAAAGACAAAAAAGCTTAAAATGAATCGCAGTCCTATCCACAGCAAAAAATACTGCTACCTTGAATTTTAAGGAAAAGAAGAAATTATCAAGAAAATCTTATCTGAGTATTCTAAGGATTAATGGAGTTCATAAGTGTAAAATGCTTGGTGCAGACAGTATATATAAATGTCTGCTAAATAAAAATTTAAAAACTAGCTAGACATTGGTGTAGGGATACAAATTTCTTCCTACGTGAATACAAATTCCACAGAGGACTCAGAAAGAATAAGCAGTTTTCTCCTTTTTATAGTAAAGAAAGAAGTAAGAGTCTTTCAATGCTGACTCTTTTTAAGCCAAGAAAACAAGAAAAACAATCTCAAAGCTTTAAATAAAACTAGTTTCCTTGAACAAGACTTGTTATTACTTGGACAGAAAAACCAAATGGCTTTCATTACTCACCAGCAGAGAAACCACACGATTCGAGGGTATAAAATATGTCTATGAATAGTGAGTTGCTGGCTGTCTCTCTTACTTTGAAGATGTTGGCTCAGCTAGCTTTACAAATCACATCTTTTTCTTCCAAAGAACCTATATTTTCTTCATTTGTCAGGAATGACATTGGGTGGAGAGCTTCTGGGATTTACTCTATGAAATCTTGCAAGCTATATCCTAAACTACTCTCTGCAGTGAATTCTAGTCCAAGACTCATCAGTTCTCGAATAATTGTGTGCTTATGGCATAAATAGTAATTGAGAAGGAAGAAAACTCCAGAGGTCATTTTCTATACAAACATAAAGATTTGTGGAATGTCTAAAAGCTGGACTGGGAATATAAAATCATAATATAAATCAGTTATTTTTGCTGTCACCTGGGAACATTTTTGGTCACCATAAGATGTTTAGTGGCAGGTTTTCATAAATAGATGCTGGGAAATCAGGAGGCGGGGTTTGATGAATATTTTATTCTGTGCCCAAAAAAGGTATTTTTAAACCACCAACTCTTTCCGTGAGAAAAAAATTCCACTCTGCCAAAGAGAACATATTTCAGAAAGAATAATTTAGGGAGTCCAGGGACCTCAGAAACCATCAAAAGAGGCAAAACAGAGTTGTATAGTGGCCACAAAATTCCTCATTGCTTTAGAGAGAAAACAGTAAATGCATTTTATAAGGAAAATTAATTTTAAGATGTCAAGTTTTCCCTCAGCACATCTTGCTTATTTTTTCATGTTTAATGTTTTTTGGAGCTCATTCTGCAAAAAAAAAAAAAAAAAAGCTTTTCTTAAGTGCATAATATTTCTAAAACCTTCAAGGAGAGAGGTAAGTCGTTTCTAACTCACGAATCTAGGTCCAACATTCCATTTCTCAAATGATACTACATGTGCTCATAATTTTAAAAAGTTTATTGAACGTGGAAAGTTTGACAGCAGATAAGAAGGTAAGAATATGATAGCTCTTCTTAAACATGAATGAAATATGGCATTAAAAATAGGCATTCTCAATCTTTTTGGAGATGGTACACCCAGTTGGTTGATTTCTCATCTCTGTCTCATGCCTAGCACTTAACTGCTTCTTAGAACAGCTTTCTGATATTTTTCAAGTTAATTTTGTTTTGATAGTACTCTTGATATAATAATATTTTTCAGTATTTATTATAATTGTTGAATATATTCTAAATAGTTTACAAGATTAAACCTGGATGCAATCAGCCCATGTCTGTACCAATGCTTTCCTTATTTACCAATGCTTATTTAGTTTAAGGATCTCAGAGACTTCTTTAGCCTCAGCACTTTGAATTGTGAGTATTCTGCTCCTTTATTAGCAAAATTATTTCGGCTTGTATTTCAAGTGAAGCGCTGTTCTGTCTTTAGAACATTTATGCCATACTGCAGAGCTTTCCTTTTCCTTTAAAATCTGGTGGTACTATTTTGATTTTTAACAGCAATGATAAATTCATATTATTTTTTAAGGCCCTAAAAATAATATTTGTGGTATTTTCTTGATTCTAAGCTACCTCAATCATTTAATGGAAACTTTTTGGCAACCATACTTCTCAAATATATCTCCTAATTTCAGAAAAGTTAAATTGTGGGGGAAAACTATATCTTATGAGAAATACAGGATAGCTACTGACATAGAAAAAGTTCCATACATATATATATATATATATATATATATATATACACACACACACACACACATATATACACACATACATGCTTTGTCACCCAGGCTGGAGTGCGATGGCACGATCTTGGCTCATTGCAACCTCTGCCTCCCGGGTTCAAGCGATTCTCCTGCTTCGGTCTCCTGAGTAGCTGGGATTACAGGCGCGCATCACCACGCCAGGCTAATTTTTATATTTTTAGTAGAGACGGGGTTTCACCATGTTGGTCAGTCTGGTCTCGAACTCTTGACCTTATGATCCACCTGCCTCAGCCTCCCAAAGTGCTGGGATTACAGGCGTGAGCCACCACACCCGGTCCATTCCAGATATATTTTTAAGTGAAAGAAACAAGTTGCAGAGCAATATTGCTAGCTTGTACACAAATGTACACAGTAGAAGTACATTTGTTGTTCATATAACAATCTAGAGACAGTAAACAGGTTCTTGGGGCTACTTTCCTCCAAGTGATCCTGCAGAGCTCAAGCTGAAGGAAGCTCTGTCATCTTTGACATGTGGCTGTCTTCATCCCGATGAGCTAGAAAGAGAAAAGAGCTTAGAGTAGCATGTATAGGAAGTTTTCATAGCCAGGTCTAGAAGAAATGTATATCACTTCTATTCATGCTCCATGGGCTAGACTTAGCCACATGACCACAACTAAACAGCAAGGCAGGCTGGGAAATATATTCTGGATGTGTTCTCAGGAGGAAGAGGACACAAATTTTACTCTAGCAGTCTCTAATATATATACACACACATATTGGTGTGTATATATGTCAATTAGAAATTGAAATGCTAGCATATGCATAGAAACAAATGTGGAAGAATATAAACAAAATTACTTATCATGACTTTCTCAGGAAGATGGAATATAGAAAACACTTTCTTTCCTTTTCTTTTTTTTTTTTTAAACTAAGTCTCGCTCTGTCACCCAGGCTGGAGTATAATGGCGTGATCTCGGCTCACTGCAACCACCACCTCCTGGGCTCAAGCGATTCTCGTGCCTCAGCCTCCCGAGTAGCTGGAACTAGAGGCGCATGCCACTATGCCTGGCTAATTTTTGTATTTTTAGTGGAGACAGGGTTTCACCATGTTGGCTGGGCTGGTCTTGAATGCCTGACCTCAAGTGATCCGCTTGTCTCGGCCTCCCAAAGTGTTGGGATTACAGGCGTAAGCCACCGCACCCAGCCTATTTTCTATTTTTTATTAATGTCTTAAAAAATAACAAATATATTACTTTTGGAAGCAGAAAATATTGCTAGCTTTTTGTTTTGCTCATGTAAAAGGCTACAAGGACCTTAGCAGTGAGATGAAAATACTTTCTCCCTAAATGAGGTTTCTAAGGCCTGACGTCTTGTTGGAACTGCAAACATGTTTACTGATTTTCAAACAATATTCTTGTCTCTGTCTGTCAAATAGGTAGGAAAAATCAGGGTCAGTTTTCACATTGCTGTAAATAACTAGCTCAAGACTGGATAATTTATAAAGAAAAGAGGTTTAATTGACTCTCAGTTCCACACGGCTGGGGAGGCCTCAGGAAACTTACAATCATGGTGGAAGGTAGAGGGGAAGCAAGGCGCATTCTTCATGTGGTGGCAGGAGAGAGAAGTGCAAGCAGGGAAAATGTCAGAAGCTTATAAAACCATTAGATCTTGTGACAACTCTCTCATGATCACAAGAACAGCATTGGGGAAGCCAACCCATGATCCAGTTACCTCCACTTGGTCTCTCCTTTGACACATGGGGATTATGGGAATTACGGGGATTACAATTGAAGATGAGATTTGGATGGGGGCACAAAGCCTAACCATATCAGTCATTCTTCTCTGAAACTTATTATAATTAGTACATATGTGCATTTATTATTTCTCAGCTTGATTCTTTTGGCCCCAGAAGGGGGCTTCCCCCACCGGAAGTGACATGGGGGTATGAGCACTATCACATGGCAGCTTATTCACAAGTTTCCAGATAAAGAGAACCTGATAGAAAGAAAGGACTAAAGTTATGAGCCACTTACCAGTTCTAGTTCAGTGGCTTTAGACAAATCTCTTAACCCTCAACCCCACTGTGTTTCTCAACTTCAGTAATGTTAATGTTTTAGGTTGGAAAATTCTTTGTTGTAGGATCTGGTCCTGTACACTGGAGGATTTAGCAGCATTTCTGGCCTCTACATACCAGATGCCAGCAGCAATCCTTCCCCTCTGGTTGTGAAAACTAAAAATGTCTCCAAACATTGCCAAATGTCCCCTGGGGAGTAAAATTTATCCTGGTGAGAATCACTGACTAAACCCCTGTGAACTTTAATTTCCACATTTGTAATTTGGGGATAATAATGCTTTTCTAGGGATTAATGATATAATAGGGAAGAGTAGCAACACTAACTTTTATAATAAACAATTCCACAATCTGAGTGAAATTTGTTTGCTTTCATTCCACCAATGTGGGTATTTTTGGTCTGGTCATTTTCCACGTAGAAAATTCAGGTGCTAGGCCGGGTGTGGTGGCTCATGCCTATAATCCCAGCACTAAGGGAGGCAGAGGTGGGAGGATAGGGTTTAATAATAATAATAATAATAATAGAAAATTCAGGTGCTAGGCTACTTCCAGAGTCTTTTGGCTCTGACCTCCTTAAGTTCCTTGGAGTCCTCTCTATTCAGCTGAGGGATGAAAACAGGGATAGGTGGTAACAAGTGGGAGATTATTATGAACCTGCCTTGAAAGAGGCATATATTCTTCCTGCTTTTACATTCCATTTGCCAGGGCTCGGTCACACAGACACACCTGGCTGCAAGGGAGGCTGGGGCATGTAATCCCAGGGACATGTAGTGTTCCCAGGAGCCAGCGAGCCTATCTCAGCATAGAGGTGTTTGTGTGTGTGTGTGTGTGTGCATAGTGATAATTTACATACTGATTATGGAGTGTGTGTATCTGAATGTCTCCATTTCACTAGTCTGATGGAACAAAAGAGATACCATTGACACTGACATTGAACCCTCTCATGGAGAAGGTAGGATTTCAACCACCAGCTATTCAAAGTCTCCTTGCAGTATTTCTGTGAGTCTCCAGGGACCCCTAGGTACTCAGGAATGAGCCTCCTCAAGTTCTTTTGCTTGATATTCTTGTGGAAATCCACGGCACACAAGCCCTTGAGGGAGGCCACTGACCTCTGCTGCTGCTGCTGGTGACCTTCATGAGACAAGGTCCTCTGTCACTATTCCACGAAAATCATACCAGTCATACTTCAGCTGCTCTTTGTGGTTTTTCAGACCCTGTCGGACCCTGCTGCTATGTTGTGGCACCAAAATAAGAGCAATGACCCCTCTCCTCCAACTTGGCTTTGCTTGGTTGCCTCAGTCACAGTGGTACCCAGAATCTCCCTTGGACTTTCATGAAAGCTGCTCCTTTGGCTTTCTTTCCAATCCCCTATCCATAGGAGGTCAAATGTAATCAATTAGCCTGCACAGTGGGCAGAGCCAGCCAAGGAGAGGTGACTGTGGCAGGGACAGAAACTGCCCCTTACCTTCCTTTTCTCTGCTCTATTAGTACCTCTGGCCCCCAGGAACCCCCACCCCACCATGCATATCAGCTTGTGCGAAAGACACCCACAGGGCCATCAGCCCACAAGTCTGCAATAGCAACCCAACTGGGCTCAGCCAGGATTGCTACATATCTACTAGCTTAAGCAGCATCCCTCCTGAAATTCCAAGAGCATGTGGTCACACAGCACAGGCACCACTCTAAAAAGCAACTAAATGAAGTGGAAGACATTATGGAGTGATATGGTTTGGCTGTGTCCCCACCCAAATCTCATCTTGAATTACAATTCCCATGTATTGTGTGAGGGATGCAGTGGGAGGTAATTGAATCATGGGGGTGGGTCTTTCCCTTGCTGTTCTTGTGAAGTGAATAAGTCTCATGAGATCTAATGTTTTTATAAACGGGAGTGTCCTTGCACAGGCTTTCATTCTCTCTTGCCAGCTGCCATGTAAGACGTGCCTTTTGCCTTCCACCATGATTGTAAGGCCTCCCCAGCCACATGGAACTGTGAGGCCATTAAACCTCTTTTTCTTTATAAATGACCCAGTCTCAGGTATGTCTTTATCAGCAGCATGAAAATGGACTAATACATGGAGTAAGAAGGCGACACATACTGTGTCTGCCAAGTGACATGGACTCATTGTTCATGTAGTTCACAGAATTTAAGGGCTCTTTGAACATGGTGATACTTGGTTACAACATGTTATGCACACATAATAAATCATATGCTACTCATACTTAATTAAAGATGCAGCTTTCTAAAATAAATCACCACCAGCGGCAGATCTCAGGGAAATAAGCCACCTACCCCACCTGTGTGCTCACTCACAGTACTCCAACTTAGAATGTGTACTTAGCTCAGTCACCTAATTAGGTTAACAAGCATTTTTAGTGAACTTAGCTTCCACTAGCTGAGAAAAAGATAATTTTTGAGATTTGCAAAGCTGAAATAAAAAATTTGGGATTTGGCTTTGTACTTATTCAAATATTTTCAGTAGACTGTAGTTTTAGTTACTTTGGTAAGAAAGGATGAATGCGGTTACTCTCGTCTTCTCACCCAGACTGGTTTCTTTTGACCTCTGGAGTTGGCTGTCCCTGCATTTAAATTTGATTGGCTACTTTGCAGGCCACTGTTATAACAAATAAGATGACATTGCAGAGTATTTTTATGGCTCTGGACATACCATTCCTTTCTTTCTTTCTTTCTTTCTTTCTTTCTTTCTTTCTTTCTTTCTTTTTTTTTTTTTTAGACAGTGTCTCACTCTGTCTCCCAGGCTGGAGTGCAGTGGCATGATCTTGGCTCACTGCAACCTCTGCCTCCTGGGTTCAAGCGATTCTCCTGTCTCAGCCTCCTGAGTATCTGAGATTACAGGCGCCCACCACCTGTAAAATTAGCCATGCCAGGCTAATTTTTGTATTTTTAAGTAGAGACAGGGTTTCACCATGTTGGCCAGGCTGGTCTTGAACTCCTGACCTCAAGTGATTTGCCCTCCTTGGCCTCCCAAAGTGCTGGGATTACAGGTGTAAGCCACCATGCCCAGCCTTGGAGATATCATTTCTTGATGCCAAAGAATGGGAATAATTTTTTTCTTTTAATAAAGAGAAGAGTTTAACAGGATTGTGTGTATGAGTTAGTGAGAGTATGCATGTGTGTGGGTGCATGCATGTATGTTACATGAAAGGGCTGTATATGCAAAACAACCCCCAAACACAGAAGGAGCCAAGAAACCAAAGAGCAAGGCAGATAAATCCAGTTTGTGAGAATAGGATGGAAGTGTGGTCCTGGGGAGCAGTAAGACAGGTAGATCTCTGCACTGTTACTCCCCAGACCCAAGACTTACGTACCACAGGGAAAGGTGTTGCTGCTCCAGCAAGACAATCAAAGGCAACCCTCCAGAACAGGCAAGAAGGCCCCATGCGTCATAGCCTATGATTTGTGTAATAACAACAAGGTTGACTTGTTCTTACACTAGGGACAGTAAATAAAGCAGGAATCAGGAGGCATCCATGGGACTGTGGTAATCAGAAGGTAACATGCTGGATTGGCATCCAAGATGGAGTCATTTTTATCTCCACAATGTACAGGTAGAAGGATGTGCCTCTGATGAGTATGTATGTGAATATATGTGTACATGTGCAAATGTGTGTATGTTTGGGAGAATGTGTGTAGATATGCTTGTGTGTCTGCACACTTGTGAAAGTGAGTGTGAACGTTTATGTGTATGTTTGAGTGTATGTGTGTGAGGGCTTATATGTGTAAGAATATGTGTGTGTTTTTCTTAGAGAACTTAAAAATAAAGAGCTTTTTTTTTTTTTCTTATTTGGTCTTGAGGTCTGTCTCAGGAGATTTCCTATAAACTCTACCCCTGTCCTGATAGGGCTCCACAGGACTTGGTCATGGATGCTTACAACTGACCTTTCACAGGACACTCCTTTATCTTGGTGCACGGTCCAATTTTTGACCAGGTGTCCCCCACACAGGAAACTTGTCTATACTGGCAGATACCCTTGTGGTTCTTGTCTGACTTGTGTCTACTTTGCTCGTAACCAAGATAGCCACTCTCTAGGCAAGCCCTGACCAGGAAAGAAATTAGGTTCAGGTGTGTCAATCTGGTGAGAAACAGAAGAGGTGACACAACAAAACACATAAAATATCACAAGCAGTTTATTACTTACAGGTCCCAGAGAGAAGAGGGGAGCACCCTTCACAGGGCCAACAGGAAGGGAGCTGACCAGGACACACACACTCAACCAGTGGGCAGGAAGCAAGAGAAAGGACACAAAGGACCCGAAGGCCAAAGACTTTATTGGAGTCCACAACACTACCCAAGCAGGTTTCCCGTGAGAAGTTCTAATTGATGGGTTTAGAGCAAGGAGGCATGAGTTCCCTGCACCATGCTCTGACTGAGAGTGGCCACTGTGGCACATCTGTGCAATCCTTGTGGGGTGTGGGGATCAGTGGGGTGCATCAAGCAGGTTGTAACTAACTGTGCCAAAAGGGGTTGATCACCAGGAGGAGGTTCTATAAAGCAGATAAATCGTCAACTACATTGAGGAACTGGGAATAGGTGGAGAACTGGAAACTGTCAAGGATAACTAAGCCCTGTTTCTGGTGTGAGAAAGTCCAACTCACATTCAAAATGGATTCCTTGGCAACATAAAATCATAGGAATTCACTGAAGCTGACTAGCTGCAGCAGGATCAGTCACTCCTGACTTGGAATGGCACCAAATCAAAGGCTTTAGATATCTCTCACATGTTTTGACTCAGTTTTCTCATTAGACAATTCCCTCTGGACAAAAGTCGACTTAGGGAGTGAAGAACAGAACTCAGTGGAGGCAGAGCGACTGCCAAGTTTAGCCATGTGATCTTTGCAGCCTGAGAGAAAAATGGAGAGAGAAGTCAGGACAATCATAACCACGGACAGCTAGTTCTCCCCAGCAAGGAACAGGAACTTAACATTACTCAGGGCAAAAGATAAAATAAATAAGACAAGATGCCCAGGGGATCAGGAAGCCAGACAGAAGAGGCACTGGGAAACTAAGGCCAAATTCCTCTCCCTAATGTGTCAACTATTAACAACAGGGTGACCACACAGACACCCTTACCTCCTTCCCCTCTTGTCTTCTCACTTGGCAGGGGGTGGAAAGAGATGTTTGGGAAGATAAGAGAGTGAACTGGGGAAGTGAGTAATTTGGGGTTGACATGGAAGTATAGGCTCTAGGATTCCCCCAACCAGTGATAAGATCCACCAGCTGGGTGGACTGCAGGTGTGGTAGAGATTTTAAACAAAATCTCAAAAAAGGAGGCCAGAGTCCAGATGCTTTAACAAGATAAAGAACAGTTTTTCCTAAAGGCCATGGATTCATGTATCACAAACTTAATTTTTGACATATTTAAATGTTACTTGTTCTATGATATATGTAACATTTTCTTTTTTTAAATTATACTTTAAGTTTTAGGGTACATGTGCACAACATGCAGGCTTGTTACATATGAATACATGTGCCATGTTGGTGTGCTGCACCCATTAACTCGTCATTTAGCATTAGGTATATCTCCTAATGCTATCCCTCTCCCCTCCCCGCACCCCACAACAGGCCCCGGTGTGTGATGTTCCCCTACCTGTGTCCATGTGTCCTCATTGTTCAATTCTCACCTATGAGTGAGAACATGTGGTGTTTGGTTTTTTGTCCTTGCAATAGTTTGCTGAGAATGATGGTTTCCAGCTTCATCCATGTCTCTACAAACGACATGAAGTCATCATTTTTTATGGCTGCATAGTATTCCATGGTGTATATGTGCCACATTTTCTTTTTTTTTTTTCTTTTTTTTTCTTTTATTATTATTATACTTTAAGTTTTAGGGTACATGTGCACAATGTGCAGGTTAGTTACATATGTATACATGTGCCATGCTGGTGTGCTGCACCCATTAACTCATCATTTAGCATTAGGTATATCTCCTAATGCTATCCCTCTCCCCTCCCCGCACCCCACAACAGTCCCCAGAGTGTGATGTTCCCCTTCCTGTGTCCATGTGTTCTCATTGTTCAATTCCCACCTATGAGTGAGAACATGCGGTGTTTGGTTTTTTGTCCTTGCTATAGTTTACTGAGAATGATGATTTCCAATTTCATCCATGTCCCTACAAAGGACATGAACTCATCATTTTTTATGGCTGCATAGTATTCCATGGTTGTATACATGCCACATTTTCTTAATCCAGTCATCATTGTTGGACATTTGGGTTGGTTCCAATTCTTTGCTACTGTGAATAGTGCCGCAATAAACATACCTGTGCATGTGTCTTTATAGCAGCATGATTTATAATCCTTTGGTTATATACCCAGTAATGGGATGGCTGGGTCAAATGGTATTTCTAGTTCTAGATCCCCAAGGAATCACCACACTGACTTCCACAATGGTTGAACTAGTTTACAGTCCCACCAACAGTGTAAAAGTGTTCCTATTTCTCCACATCCTCTCCAGCACCTGTAGTTTCCCGACTTTTTAATGATTGCCATTCTAACTGGTGTGAGATGGTATCTCATTGTGGTTTTGATTTGCATTTCTCTGATGGCCAGTGATGATGAGCATTTTTTCATGTGTTTTTGGCTGCATAAATGTCTTCTTTTGAGAAGGGTCTGTTCATACCCTTTGGCCACTTTTTGATGGGGTTGTTTGTTTTTTTCTCATAAATTTGTTTGAGTTCATTGTAGATTCTGGATATTAGCCCTGTGTCAGATGAGTAGGTTGCGAAAATTTTCTCCCATTCTGTAGGTTGCCTGTTCACTCTGATGGTAGTTTCTTTTGCTGTGCAGAAGCTCTTTAGTTTAATTAGATCCCATTTGTCAATTTTGGCTTTTGTTGTCATTGCTTTTGGTGTTTTAGACATGAAGTCCTTGCCCATGCCTATGCCCTGAATGGTATTGCCTAGGTTTTCTTCTAGGGTTTTTATGGTTTTAGGTCTAACATTTAAGTCTTTAATCCATCTTGGATTAATTTTTGTATAAGGTGTAAGGAAGGGATCCAGTTTCAGCTTTTTACATATGGCTAGCCAGTTTTCCCAGCACCGTTTATTAAACAGGGAATCCTTTCCCCATTTCTTGTTTTTGTCAGGTTTGTCAAATATCAGTTAGTTGTAGATATGCAGTATTATTTCTGAGGGCTCTGTTCTGTTCCATTGGTCTATATCTCTGTTTTGGTACCAGTACCATACTGTTTTGGTTACTGTAGCCTTGTAGTATAGTTTGAAGTCAGGTAGCGTGACGTCTCCGGCTTTGTTCTTTTGGCTTAGGATTGACTTGGCAATGCGGGCTCTTTTTTGGTTCCGTATGAACTTCAAAGTAGTTTTTTCCAATTCTGTGAAGAAAGTCATTGGTAGCTTGATGGGGATGGCATTGAATATACAAATTACCTTGGGCAGTATGGCGATTTTCACGATATTGATTCTTCCTACCCATGAGCATGGAATGTTCTTCCATTTGTTTGTATCCTCTTTTATTTCATTGAGCAGTGGTTTGTAGTTCTCCTTGAAGAGCTCCTTCACATCCCTGGTAAGTTGGATTCCTAGGTATTTTATTCTCTTTGAAGCAGTTGTGAATGGGAGTTCACTCATGATTTGGCTCTCTGTTTCTCTGTTATTGGTGTACAGGAATGCTTGTGATTTTTGTACATTGATTTTGTATCCTGAGACTTTGCTGAAGTTGCCTATCAGCTTAAGGAGATTTTGGGCTGAGATGATGGGGTTTTCTAAATATACAATCATGTCATCTGCAAACAGGGACAATTTGACTTCCTCTTTTCCTAATTGAATACCCTTTACTTCTTTTTTCCTGCCTGATCGCCCTGGCCAGAACTTCCAACACTATGTTGAATAGGAGTGGTGAGAGAGGGCATCCCTGTCTTGTGCCAGTTTTCAAAGGGAATGCTTCCAGTTTTTGCCCATTCAGTATGATATTGGCTGTGGGCTTGTCATAGATAGCTCTTATTATTTTGAGATACGTCCCATCAATACCTAATTTATTGAGAGTTTTTAGCATGAAGCGTTGTTAAATTTTGTCAAAGGCCATTTCTGCATCTATTGAGATAATCATGTGGTTTTTGCTGTTGGTTCTGTTTATATGCTGGATTACATTTATTGATTTGCTTATGTTGAACCAGCCTTGCATCCCAGGGATGAAGCCCGCTTGATCATGGTGGATAAGCTTTTTGATGTCCTGCTGGATTTGGTTTGCCAATATTTTATTGAGGAGTTTTGCATTGATGTTCATCAGGGATATTGGTCTAAAATTCTCTTTTTTTTGTTGTGTCTCTGCCAGGCTTTGTTATCAGGATGATGCTGGCCTCATAAAATGAGTTAGGGAGGATTCCCTCTTTTTCTGTTGATTAGAATAGTTTCAGAAGGAATGGTACCAGCTCCTCCTTGTACCTCTGGTAGAATTCGGCTGTGAATCCATCTGGTCCTGGACTTTTTTTGGTTGGTAAGCTATTAATTATTGCCTCAATTTCAGATCCTGTTATTGGTCTATTCAGAGATTCAACTTCTTCCTGGTTTAGTCTTGGGCGGGTGTATGTGTCGAGGAATTTATCCATTTCTTCTAGATTTTCTAGTTTATTTGCATAGAGGTGTTTATAGTATTCTCTGATGGTAGTTTGTATTTCTGTGGAATCGGTGGTGACATCCCCTTTATCATTTTTTATTGCATCTATTTGATTCTTCTCTCTTTTCTTCTTTATTAGTCTTGCTAGCAGTCTATCAATTTTGTTGATCTTTTCCAAAAACCAGCTCCTGGGTTCATTGATTTTTTGAAGGATTTTTTGTGTCTCTATCTCCTTCAGTTCTGCTCTGATCTTAGTTATTTCTTGCCTTCTGCTAGCTTTTGAATGTGTTTGCTCTTGCTTCTCTAGTTCTTTTGATTGTGATGTTAGGATGTCAATTTTAGAACTTTCCTGCTTTCTCTTGCAGGCATTTAGTGCTATAAATTTCCCTCTACACACTGCTTTGAATGTGTCCCAGAGATTCTGGTGTGTTGTGTCTTTGTTCTCGTTGGTTTCAAAGAACATCTTTATTTCTGCCTTCATTTTGTTATGCACCCAGTAGTCATTCAGGAGCAGGTTGTTCAGTTTCCATGTAGTTGTGTGGTTTTGAGTGAGTTTCTTAATCCTGAGTTCTAGTTTGATTGCACTGTGGTCTGAGAGACAGTTTGTTATAATTTCTCTTCTTTTACATTTGCTGAGGAGTGCTTTACTTCCAACTATGTCGTCATTTCTGGAATAGGTGCAGTGTGGTGCTGAGAAGAATGTATATTCTGTTGATTTGGGGTGGAGAGTTCTGTAGATGTCTATTAGGTCTGCTTGGTGCAGAGCTGAGTTCAATTCCTGGATATCCTTGTTAACTTTCTGTCTCGTTGATCTGTCAAAGTCTCCCATTATTATTGTGTGGGAGTCTAAGTCTCTTCGTAGGTCACTCAGGACTTGCTTTATGAATCTGGGTACTCCTATATTGGGTGCATATATATTTAGGATAGTTAACTCTTCTTGTTGAATTGATCCCTTTACCATTATGTAATGGCCTTCTTTGTCTCTTTTGATCTTTGTTGGTTTAAAGTCTGTTTTATCAGAGACTAGGATTGCAACCCCTGCCTTTTTTTGTTTTCCATTTGCTTGGTAGATCTTCCTCCATCCTTTTATTTTGAGCCTATGTGTGTCTCTACAAGTGAGATGGGTTTCCTGAATACAGCACACTGATGGGTCTTGACTCTTTATCCAATTTCCAGTCTGTGTCTTTTAATTGGAGCATTTAGCCCATTTACGTTTAAGGTTAATATTGTTATGTGTGAATTTGATCCTGTCATTATGATGTTCGCTGGTTATTTTGCTCGTTAGTTGATGCAGTTTCTTCCTAGCTTCGATGGTCTTTACAATTTGGCATGTTTTTGCAGTGGCTGGTACCGGTTGTTCCTTTCCATGTTTAGTGCTTCCTTCAGGAGCTCTTTTAGGGCAGGCCTGGTGGTGACAAAATCTCTCAGCATTTGCTTGTCTGCGAAGGATTTTATTTCTCCTTCACTTATGAAGCTTAGTTTGGCTGGATATGAAATTCTGGGTTGAAAATTCTTTTCTTAAAGAATGTTGAATATTGGCCCCCACTCTCTTCTGGCTTGTAGAGTTTCTGCCGAGAGATCAGCTTTTAGTCTGATGGGCTTCCCTTTGTGGGTAACCCGACCTTTCTCTCTGGCTGCCCTTAACATTTTTTCCTTCATTTCAACTTTGGTGAATCTGACAATTATGTGTCTTGGATTTGCTCTTCTTGAGGAGTATCTTTGTGGCGTTCTCTGTATTTCCTGAATTTGAAGGTTAGCCTGCCTTGCTAGATTGGGGAAGTTCTGCTGGATAATATCCTGCAGAGTGTTTTCCAACTTGGTTCCATTCTCCCCATCACTTTCAGGTACACCAATCAGACGTAGATTTGGTCTTTTCACGTAGCCCCGTATTTCTTGGAGGTTTTATTTGTTTCTTTTTATTCTTTTTTCTCTAAACTTCTCTTCTTGCTTCATTTCATTCATTTGATCTTCCATCACTGATATGCTTTCTTCCAGTTGATTGAATTGGCTACTGAGGCTTGTGCATTCATCACATAGTTCTCGTGCCTTGGTTTTCAGCTCCATCAGGTCTTTTAAGGACTTCTCTGCATTGGTTATTCTAGTTAGCCATTCGTCTAATTTTTTTTCAAGGTTTTTAACTTCTTTGCTATGGGTTTGAACTTCCTCCTTTAGCTCGGAGTAGTTTGATCATCTGAAGCCTTCTCTCAACTCGTCAAAGTCATTCTCCATCCAGCTTTGTTCCATTGCTGGTGAGGAGCTGCGTTCCTTTGGAAGAGGAGAGGCACTCTGATTTTTAGAGTTTTCAGTTTTTCTGCTCTGTTTTTTCCCCATCTTTGTGGTTTTATCTACCTTTGGTCTTTGATGATGGTGACGTACAGATGGGGTTTTGGTGTGGATGTCCTTTCTGTTTGTTGGTTTTCTTTCTAACAGTCAGGACCTTCAGCTGCAGGTCTGTTGGGGTTTGCTGGAGGTCCACCCCAGACCCTGTTTGCCTGGGTATCAGCAGTGGAGGTTGCAGAACAGCAGATATTGGTGAGCAGCAAATGTTGCTGCCTGATCGTTTCTCTGGAAGTTTTATCTCAGAGGAGTACCCGGCCGTGTGAGGTGTCAGTCTGCCCCTACTGAGGGATGCCTCCCAGTTAGGCTACTCGGGGGTCAGGAACCCACTTGAGGAGGCAGTCTGTCTGTTCTCAGATCTCAGGCTGCTTGCTGGGAGAACCACTACTCTTTCAAAGCTGTCAGACAGGGACATTTAAGTCTGCAGAGGTTTCTGCTGCCTTTTGTTTGGCTATGCCCTGCCCCCAGAGGTGGAGTCTACAGAGGCAGGCAGGCCGCCTTGAGCTGAGGTGGGCTCCACCCAGTTCGAGCTTTCAGGCTGCTTTGTTTACCTACTCAAGCCTCGGCAATGGTGGGCACCCCTCCCCCAGCCTCGCTGCCACCTTGCAGTTTGATCTCAGACTGCTGTGCTAGCAGTGAGCAAGGCTCTATGGACATGGGACCCTCCGAGCCAGGCGCAGGATATAATCTCCTGGTGTGTCATTTGCTAAGACCACTGGAAAAGTGCAGTATTAGGGTGGGAGTGAACCGACTTTCCAGGTGCCGTCTGTCACCCCTTTCTTTGACTAGCAAAGGGAATTCCCTGACCCCTTGCGCTTCCTGGGTGAGGCGATGCCTTGCCCTGCTTCGGCTCACGCTCAGTGCACTGCACACACTGTCCTGCACCCACTGCCTGACAATCCCCAGTGAGATGAACCTGGTACCTCAGTTGGAAATGCAGAAATCACCCGTCTTCTGTGTCGCTCATGCTGGGAGCTATAGACTGGAGCTGTTCCTATTTGGCCATCTTGGCTCCACCTCCATAACATTTTCTTTAAATCAGCTTGCTTTTTTAGTCTAAGAAATTTATTTCAAAAGGAAACTTTATATCAGCAGTTTGTGGAAAACCAATATGACTTGTCAAAAATAGAATAAAATTAAATATAATAAAAATAAATTATTTTTTCTCCTCTTCATTCTAGAGAAAATAAATTAATGCTATTAAATTTTAGCTATACATTATTGCCTGTGAAAGGCACTAAACCTTAAGGCCTACTCTCTTTTTGTTAAAAAGGAGAATTAGATAAGTTTGGGAAGATGTTGAAGACATTCTAGCACCAAATTGAGACTTTTTCCTTTATTTAAACAGAACTGAGAGAGAGTGAAAAGACAGTGACTTTCTTACATTGTGATTCAATATTATTTAATTCTATCTCCATGTACCACCTGGGAAAAGTTGACAGAAAGGGAAGACTTGAGATAACAGTAAATGAAAAAAAAAAAAGACAAGGAGATCAAAACAATTAGAGAAACAATATTTGATTTGGAGAATAAAGTAAAGTGAACCAGTAAATGCGTAAATTTGCTTCTCTAAAGTAGAAAACCCAAGAAATGGATCAAAATCATATTAGAATAGGAACTGAAGAAAAAGTTTCTGAAATAAAGGAATAAATAAAGCTGAAAAGGCTGCCATGTTTCAGGGAAGGTAATGTAAATATAACATTTACCTTAGATCTATCCTGACTGCATTGCTGAATTCAAAAGATAAAGGAAACCAAACAAATGTCAGGCAACCAGGTAGAAAACGCAAATCAATTCAAAAGAAAGAAAATCAGGCTGGCCTCAGACTTCTTTAAACAACATAAGAATACTAATGACAAAGAAGCAACAATTACTGAAGAAAATTGTGACTCAAGAATATTACAGTCAACCTGGGCAACATGGTGGGAAATTAAACAAAATTAGCCAAGTGCAGTGCTGTGCATCTGTGGTCCCAGCTGCTTGGGAGGCGGAGGTGGGAGAATTGCTTGAGCCCAGGAGGTTGAGTCTGTGGTGTGAGTCTGTTGTCACTGCTTTCCAGCCTGGGCAACAGAGCAAAACCATGTCTTTAAAAAAAAAAAAAAACACCAAAACACTCACCTAAGTTATTAACCAAGGAAAAAGGTAACAGACATATTTTTTTTTTTTTTTTTTTTTTTTTGGTGAGACGGAGTCACTCTGTTGCCCAGGCTGGAGTGCAGTGGCGCGATCTCGGCTCACTGCAAGCTCCGCCTTGCGGGTTCACACCATTCTCCTGCCTCCGCCTCCTGAGTAGCTGGGACTACAGGGGACCTCCACCACGCCCGGCTAATTTTTTTTTGTATTTTTTGTAGAGACGGGGTTTCACCGTGTTAGCCAGGATGGTCTCGATCTCCTGACCTCGTGATCCGCCTGCCTCGGCCTCCCAAAGTGCTGGGATTACAGGCGTGAGCCACTGCACCCGGCCGGTAACAGATAGATATTCTTAAACATCAGTTAATGTAGGAAAAATAGCACCCATAAACTCTTTTTGGCTGGGAGAATATCTAAGATTAAAAGCTATTAACCAAGTGTTGAAACCAAGTAATAGAAATTAGGAATTAACAAGACGTGGTGAAAAATCTCCTGGTAAATATTTTACCATTTAAATATGAAACGAAGACTAAATAACCCTGGGATTTTGTTTCAGAACATAACATAAAGATTACAAAACATGTAAACTTGTCAATGTAACAACATACAGGAAAAGCAATAATAGGAAAAATAAAAGTGTGCTTTTTTTTTTCAGCTAGGGTCGATTGAAACTTTTGAAGAGGGAAATCTGTAATTGAGAAATTTCATCTCTTAAATTTTTCATCTTTTTTCTTAATTGTACAGAGATTTTGTTTAAATGATCTATTGTTGCATAACAAACCATTCTAACACTTAGTGGCTTAAAATAATGATAATCACGTATTTGATTACAATTTGGCAATTTGCGCAGAGCTCGGGGTAAGGATAGTTTGTCTCTAGTATACCTGGTGTCAACTAGAGTAGTTCATCTGGGGCCAGAGGGGTCACTCCCAAGATGGCTTACTCATATGGCTGGCAAAGTTGATGATGGCTGTTGTTTGGGAATTCAGTTGTGACTGTTGACCAGGGCCTCAATTCTCCCCCATTGTTGGCATTTCTGTGTAGCTGCTTTGTATTAGGTTTTTTTTTGCACTGCTATGAAGAAATACCTGAGGCTGGGTAATTTATAAAGAAAAGAGGCTTCATTGGCTCATGGTTCTGCAGGAAGTACAAGAAGTGCGGTGCCAGCATCTGCTTCTGGGGAGGGCCTCAGGAAGCTTACAATCATGGCAGAAGGCAAAGGGGGAGCATGTGTCTCACATGGTGAGGGTGAGAGCAAGAGTCGGGGGAGGTGCAACATACTTTTAAACAAGCAGATCTCTTGAGAACTCACTATCTGAAGGACAGCACCAACCCATTTATGAGGGATCTGCCTCCACAACCCAAACACCTCCCACCTAGCCCCACCTCCAACATTGGGGATTACATATCAACATGAGATTTGAGGAGGACAAACATCCAAACCATATCAGGCTTCCTTGCAGCATGGTGGCTGGGTTTCACGAGGAAGGAAGGAAGTGGAAGCTGCAAGTTCTCTTGAAGCCTAGGTGCAGAATTGAAACCATGTCACTTCTACTATATTCTATTGGGTAAAGCAGTGACAGGCACAGCCTAGATTCAAGGGTCTGGAGAAATAGAGCCCACCTCTCAGTTGAAGGAGTGGTAATGAATTTGTGAACAAATTTTGCCACTACGTCTGTCACTACCTCTTTCTTGTGATAGAATATTTTCAGTTTTACTTCAATTTCTTTTTCATATTAAGCTCAAAATAATATTAAATTTGATATATTTGCCAAAAATAACATATAGACTATTATCCAGTTTTTTAAAAATTAGCTCTATCCATCTATCCACCTTTGCATCTGGATATATGCATAAGGAGACATATAGAATGATGTTTCATATTAATTGTGGTTACTTCTAGATAATGATATTTAAAATTTTTTTTTTAAAACTTGCTTTGGTTACTCTTCTATTTATATGAATTTATTTGTATCATTTTAATAAAACCAATAAAGTCATTATTTTATTAAAACCTAGAAGGAAGAAAGTTGTTGGAAACCTAAATTTTCTCCTAGTCAGATAGGCAATACTCACAATGTCAGTGGGTTGAAAGTGCCCTTGGGAACCACAAGTGCCACTTACTGTGTGGAGGAGGAAAATGACGTCCAGAGAGGGACTTGCTCCAGCTCACACATCTAGTCTCATTCAGTCCCACAGGAAGAAGAGGCATCAATTACCTGGTCAATTACTTGCTGCTGGGGAAACACTCAGGGAGCTGTGTGATAGGCTGGCCAAGAGACAGTGAGTTGTGTGTCACAACTTCTTCCTAAATATGAAGGAGGGAATTGGCTTGGATTTATCTAATATGAATCTATGCATTTGGATGTACCATGTGGAGCCATATATGTGGCGGGAAAATTCGGTTACCAGCTTGATTTCTGGGCACCTTAGCAGGAACTTAGATTTCTCCTGGTCCTTTAAATTTAAATTCCTTTTCTGGATGTCTACCTTAGGGATGAACTGTCCAGAGGGGTAGTCTAGTCTATCTGTGGCCTAAGACCTCTGTGACACATGGATATTCCCGGCGTAAGGATTTAAAAGTCCCTTTGAAAATGGAAGGTTCTGAGGTGGAAGGTCTGGCTTTCCAGACAAAGGGAAAGTATATTTCAGAGGAATTGCTTATGCAGAGCTGAGTCTATTTCAGATTAGGCTCCACGTTGCAAATTGCCATTGCTCCTGTTCCATCACTGAATAAATCACAGTTGGGTTTTGTGAGTAATTTCTGGGGTGCAAACAGAAATGGCTGGGGCTCCTGCTGTTGCTGGGGAGCTGGTTATAGGGATGGTCACAAGATGGACTGTCACTGCCGCAGGCCTCTCTCACTTGGTGAGGCTCCCAGGAGCCTATTTCTTGACCAGAGGACTTGATCTTCCAGGACTGGTGCAGCCTGCCCTTGCCTTTGCGATCCAGCACCCGACACCACGTGTGGTCTTGGCCAGCTCTGCTCCTTACGGAGGGGCACGATGTGGAGTTCATTTTCACTAAATCTTCCCCGACATTTTGCTGAAGTTACTATTTCCCAGTGTTCAACTGCTCTCTGGTGACCTTAATGGGAAAGCAGCCAGCCTCCAGCAAATCTCTTTTTTGAGGAGAGAGAAACATGCCCAGGAAGCCAGCAATAAATAAAGACCCAGTGCAGTGAGTGAAGCAAGGATAGAAACCTGCTGTTTTGTCCAATTGCATCAGGAAAAAACAAAACATCCAGGAATCTATCTGGTCTGATTTGCTTTGCTGTTTCTTTTAAAGGACATTTCCCCGAGAGGCTAATTCTCCTGTTTTCATTCTTGCTTTCTCTGCTGCCGCAAGAGGGCTGGAGAGGTTTGTCTCTATAATCCTTCTACCTCTTCCTGTCTCCCATCATGAACAACAGAGAGTACTTCAGGAATTAATGTACTGTCTTTTGAAAAGTCATGTCTCATTCAGAACACTTTTGAGAAGGACGACAAGGAAATGAGATTAGGAGGGTTTTGTACAGTTCAGGAAACAAACCATCCTTTTAACAACCAACATTCCAAACACTTTAATTGAGCACATTCTATGTACCAGGTATAGTGTTCAGCTCAGGGCAAACAGCACAGAAAGGGGCAAGGAGGCATGGAGAGCTTATTGCATTTGGCGAATCATAAGTAGTTCTGAGTAGCTAGAGTGAGAGATGCATAGGATTTCTCACTGTTTTCAGAGATGAAAAAGACAAAAAGATCTCCCCTTACAGACTTCTTATTTTAATGAAAAGGACAGAAAAGAAAACAACCAATATGCTTGATGCTTTAATGAAAGGATGTGTGCCATGGTGCCCTGGGAACTGAAAAGAAACAAGGATGGAGTTAAAACAGCCAGGGATTATTGGCGGAGATGGAGGTTGGAGTGGAGGTCAAGGAGGGTTCACAGCACAGGAGAAGCTTGGGCTGAGTGTTGAAGGGTAAGTAGATTTTTCTCAAGTCCACAATGGATGAGAGGGAACACCAGACAGTGGAAACAGGATATACAAATGCTTAAAGGCCTGAGGACATGTTTTGCAGTATGGAAATTACAAATATAATGCAATGGTTCTGAACAGCCAGCGTACAGAGTATGGAGTGGTTGGAGTCCAGAGAAACCAAAAGGAGGCTGGCTGACACCTTCTGCCTTGGGCTTCTAGGAGATTGGATTGACCAGAACTCATGGCCATTCCAAGCACTGACATCTCAGCTCCAGATACTTATATACTAGGATAACCCAGACAAGAAGCTGTCAGCCCTTTCCATATTTTAAAGGGTAGAAGTTCTTCTGAAAATCTAATGAAGACGCAGACTGCTTCCCAGATAACTGCACACTCAAGTCAGACAATTTCAGAGAGTTTGCAGACCTTTCTGAAGTACATGCCCCAGATTAAGACCACTCTTAAGGTAGAATCCGATAACTTCACAAGCAAACCAAACATCATCTCCAGGGAATGCAGACAGGTTTTCCTGACAGCAGCACAACACCATCCCTTGGTTGCAATTGCCCTTCTAACCTCATATTTTCTTCGACTCAGTCACCCAAGAAATGCAGCCACGACGAGCACCAGTTCTCTCAGCACCTCTCATGATGCTGCTTCTTTGCCTCTTCATTCAGTTTTCTGAGTGGCAGAGGTGCACATTAGGTCATTTGAAATGATTTCATTTGTGCACAGCAAGTGATGGGCAGGAAATCACTGAGCCCACGGCAGCAGCCCAGCGCAAGCGGCCGGCACAGCAGATCGATGCAGAAGGACGGGGTGGAATTGACCTCCCTTCGTGGACTAAGGCGGCTTCACTGGAAGGAGTTTTAATTACAACGCTGAACTGTATTTGTCATATAAAGCACATCAGGGATAAAATATTAAAAGGGCACATACTCCTTTCCAGGAGAATGAGTTTTTCTGCCAGTGTATTTTATTGGAACAATAATCCTGACGAAATCAAAGTAACACTGAGCCCCCTGCCAGGGAGAGCTGATGAAAGCAAAGGCATCTTCTCATGAAAACACTTACCCGTTATTCAGCACCGACTCTGCACCAGCCTTATTCTACATTCATCGGTTTATTCAGCTCTCCTGCTGACCCACCAGGACCCATCTGACACATGGGGAGACTGAGGCTCAGAGAGATGTGAGGGTCACAGCCAGTAAAGGCAGGGATGGAATTTAAACCAAGGCCACTTGGTTATAAAGCATATCATCTTTTTCTTTTTTGTTGTCTTTTAAATTCAATCTTTTTCCTGCAAGGTAACAAATACACATAGTCTAGAAGATCGAAAACTATAACCAGGTTCATAACAAAACCCTGAAATCTTCTACCTGGTGCCTTGGAGAAACAACCAAGTGGGTGTGTGTGTGTGTATACAGAAGGCAAGGGAGAGAGAGGTATCTATTTTAAGGAATTGGCTAATGTGATTATGGAGGCTGGCAAGTCCACAATCTGTATGGTAGGTGGGCAGGCTGGAGACCCAGGAAAGAGCCCGTGTTGCCCCTCGAAACCAGAGGCTGCCTGTTGGCAGAATTCCTTCTTGCTTAGGGGAAGTCAGTCTTTGTTCTCTGAGACTTTCAAGAGATTGGATGAGGCCCACCCACATTATGGAAGGCAGTCTGCTTTACTCAAAGTTCACCAATTTAAATGTTAATCTCATTTTAAAAGCACCCTCACAAAATCATCCAGAATAATGTTTGACCAGGTAGCTGGGCACCGTGGCCCAGCCAAGTTGCTTCATAAAACTAACCATCACATCCACTTTCAACTCTATTAAGTGTTTAATCTAGTACTTACATCCACATTTTTTTTAAACACGCTTTTATTGTTCTTTCTTTTTTTTCTGTTTTAAGTGTTAACTATTGAGTTTTTGTGATGACACTTGCAGATTTAGCTTTCTCACACACCTCGCCGTCAGTCCTGTCTCTGCACCATCCTCTCAACACTGTTAAATTACCCTTTAAACCAATTTCAGAGTTCACATTATCATGATTGCTGAACCACATGGTGTACTTCACTTATGTTTCCTTTCTCATTCATATTTTTGTTCCTTTTGGGAGTTGAAAATCATCCCATGTTTTGTTTGCTTAGTTTACTGCTCAGTGGCTATTACTGATTAATCCCCAGACTCCGACAGCACTGAAAAATCTCTCAATACACTGACCTGTCTTGAGTATTCTGTCTATTCCTCCCGCCTGCTCTTTTCTTTCTCCTTCCTTCCTGTGTGTTGTTCCTGAGCCCTGTGTGTTGCTCAGATCTGTATTGGCCTTTCCCTAGGCCTGCAAAGCTACAGTCCCCAACATCCCTATGACCATGCCGTGGGAATTCAGTTGCCTCCTTTCTGTGTGTTCATCCCCGACTACCTGGATCCCATGTTTTCTTCTTTCTTGATTTCTTCTTTTTTAAAACATTTTTATTTTGGTGGAGCACATTTTCTAGTAGCTTCCTGAAAAAGACTGCCTGCAAGTGAGTATTTGAGGCCTTGCATGTCTGAAAATGTCTTTCTTCTATCCTCACACTTCACTGACAGCTTGAATAGGCATAGACTTCTATGTTGAAAATGATTTTCCTCCAGAATTTTGAGGCCTTTGTTCTATTATTTTCTGGCTTTCACTTTGTTGTTGAGATGATTGTTGCCATTCTGATTCCCGATCAGCTTCAGAAGTTTGTATTTGATCTTTTTAAATTTCCCCTCTGGAAACTTTTAGGATCTTTTCTTTAACCTTAGTTTACTGAAATTTTATGATTATGAGCCTTGGTGTGGGTTTTTCTTTCTTCATTCATTAGACACTTTTCAGAGGCCCTTATCTTTCTGTTTTGTAAAATTTTTCTTGTATTGTTTCTTCAGTAATTTCTTCTCCTCTATTTTCTTTTCTTTCTCTTTCTGGAATGTCTATTATTTAAAGGCTGATTCTCTTTATTGGATTCTCTAGTTGTCTTATCTTTCCTTTTTCTACTTATTTTTTATTCAACTTTCTAGGAAATTTCCTCAATTTTATCTTCCAAACTTCCTATTGAGTTTAAAATTTTTTGATTTTATTTTTAACTTCTGAGAACTCTTCATTATTTTCTGAATGTTTATTTTTTAGAGTCTCTTATTCTCAAATTCATGGATGCAATTATCTAACCCTATTATAAGGATAACATTTACAGATTTCTAAATGTTTTCTTGTTTTCATTACTGTCTCCCTCTAAGTTTCTTTTATCTACTGGTCTGTTTTGATTTCTTTCACATTCTAGGTACTCTCCAAATGTCTGTTAATCTTTGTCCATTTTTAAGACACGAAGGCATTATCAGCATGGTAAGGCGCTAAAATGCTGATGCAAAGCTCTGTGTGCATATAAAGGGCTTATTGTCTGGTGACAGTAAACAGTGGTGATCAGATGGGAACCAGGCTGTTTTGTTAAAGATCTCCCAAAGCAGCATCCGTAGACATTTCTCTTGAGCTGGCCAATTTCCCTATTGAAGAATCTTTGAGGAATATAAGGTTGGCTTCTGATATTCTGGAGCAGAGTGTGGCGGTGCGGGGTGGTGGGAGTGGGCGGGACTTGGGTTCTAAGTATTCACACGATCCCCGTTTTCGGTAGGGAGGCTAATAGCCATCCTCAGTTGGACCCAGTCTCCCCATGTTCCCCAAAGAGCCTGAATGGTTCATTTCTCCAGGGAGTAAATCCCTGGTCCCGCTAAATATGAAAAAAAGAAGCTAGACCAAAAAAAAAAAAAAAGAAAGAAAAAAAGACTGAGTGGGTAAAAAGTCAGCCTGGGCAAGGCAAGAGGAGGGATAGGTGGCTCTCATTGCTTCTTTCAGTCTTTTGATCGCCTTTTTTCCAGCCCCAATATGTACTTCTATCTTTTGAGGCACATAGTGTCTTCAATTCCTGAACCTTTCTAGAGATCTGAAGTATAGAGAGTCTCGCTTCATCTTGATTTCCTCCATCTTGCTGGCTTTGATCCAAATTATCTCTGCTCATCTGCTTCACAGCTTCCAAATTTTTATAGACATTTATTATCTGCTGAATTTCCTCCCTGGTCTCGTCTTTGTAGTCCGTTTGTTTTTTAAATACTATACTATCATCTTAGTGGACTTTTGGTAGGAAACAGATAAAAGCATGTGTTCTAGTCTCCATGTTTAGCCAGAAGCTCCCCAGAGCAGCCACTCTTAACTCCTGGGCTTAGAAGAGACTGATGGGGAAAAAGCCTCCTGATTGTGGAACTTGAGCCATTGAATTCCAGGCTAGCCACTGCTGCTTTGGTTCATAGTACACACAAGGTACGCTATATGAACTAACCTTTTAGCAATGCTCTTTATGGCTGTCTCCTTGGAGAGCTTCAAGAAGTGAGGCATTATGCACCAGGTAAGCATCTTTAGTGGGATAGGAGTCATTTGGCCAAGTCGGTTGTAAAGTAAATCCCTTTCCCCATTATTCTGTTGCCAGTTGGCTTCACTTAGCAAACATACGGTTAAGTAGTTAAAGTAGCCGGTACACTATGAACAGCCAGCAGTCAGCCTCCTAGGGCTTCTTGGTGGGTTCACAACCACCACATTGGTTTGGTTGCAAGGGAAATTCAGCTTTTGGCTTAGCTAAGTACAGATTTATCTCTGATAATGTAAAATCATATTGAAATGGCTGTGTAAACACTGCTCTCTCCTTTCCTGCTTGTCATCTGAAACACTTTCCACTTTTAAGGCCCAGATGAAATGCGAGTTCTTCTGTAACTCTTCTAGTGCTCATCTCCATGTTCTCAGGGTGCTTTTGATGGGACTCTGGGATTACTTTTTCTAAGAATTGCATTCACTTGCTTAATAGTTGCCCTCTGTGGTTGGACAGGGAGCTCATCAAGGCCAGCAACTCTCTCTCCCTTCTACTCTAGTACCCAGCAGGGTGCCTGACAATACGTGGGAGCAGCCCTTGTGTATTTATTGACTGACTGAGAAAAGAGTCTTCTATTAGTAGAGCCTGTGTATCCTTTTACCAGGGATGGTAAAAGGACATCCCAGTGATGAGTTTCTAGTGAGCTACCTTTTGGCTTCACATTATGGCCTCTAGAGACAACTCAAGGCTTTCCTTGGCAATATCCCTTCCCCTAAGCCCCCTGCCAGGAGAAGGGGCTCAAGTGTGAGTCAAGAACAAAGTAGAATGACAAGACAGAGTTAGTCTCTGCCTTGGGGGTGCACTTCTGGAGGAAGGCTGGGAAACTGGGGTCCACACTCTTGGCTCTCCCCTTGGATCCTGCTGCTCCTTTGGGCTGTGGCTTGCTCCTGGCTGCTGGAGTGACGTGAAGGGCCCATGTCATCTGGTTTTCCTTGTCCTGGTCCCTCCTGTGGTCATCAGGGTTACACTGTGCCCTGCAAACATCCTGTGCAGGTTCTAACCCAACGGAAGTCATCAGCCCTATGTATCTACTCCAGTTGGAAAATTCCTTTATTTCAAGGCATCAAGTACTGGAAAGCGAATGATTTTCCTAGTTCAACATTTGCGCTAAACACAGGCTGTGTTCTCACAGGGGCACTGCAGAATGCGTTTCCCAGTTCTTATAATAAAAGAATACTGCTGGTAAGGATTAACAAAGAATGTCTTCAAATAATAATCAAATATAAGAAATAGACAAATTCCAAATAAAATTCCATAATAATGGAATACTATGTAGCAATGGAAAGGAACTGCCACTGGTATGTGCAAAATTATCCTGCAGAGTGAAAGGAGCCAGATGTAAAAGACTACATGGTGTATGATTCCACTTATATGAAATTTATGGAAAAGACAAGTCTATGGAGATGGAAGGCAGATCGGTGTTTGCCTGGGGCTAGAGGGGGAGTGGAAATTGACATGGGCACAGCATATCTGTCTGGAGTAATGGAACTCTTCTAAACTGGGTTGTGGTGATGGTTGCACTGTTGTATAAATTAACTAAAAGTCATCAAAATGTGCATTTATACTGGGGAATTTTATGATATGTAAATTATATGTATATAAAGCTGCTATAAGTATGGAAAAAAAGGAAGCCAGACCCCACCCTCCCACACACAAAAAAGACCGAAATGCTCTTCCTTCAACTTAGGAAATGGATGGAAAAGATTTGCTAGTGTTCTACACCTCTCTATTGATGTAGATTTTAGGCATGCATCAACGTTAAAGTCTTTTTCCTTTTAATTTAACAACTCTGTCTTCCTGTCCTTGGAGGGATGGAAATGGCACAGAATCCTCCTACTGCTAAAGACAGTGAAACCAGAAAGCGAGGCGCGAAGAAGATACTTGGCTCCCCTGAGCTGTCTCCCCCACATATAACCTCTTCAGCTCACCTGGCCCAGCAGCTTCTTCATCTCCTCTTTTAGCTATTACTTTAGTCATCCAAGCATAGAGCACAAAGACCCAAATTGTCAGTGTCAGCAAGTTCAACCTACATAGTGCAGCTCCAGTTCCGTCAAGGCCCATGCGCTTCCTCGCAAGACAGTCCCGAAGAGGCAGCTCTGAGCAAAGATGTGAGGAGCCAGGAGGGGCGCTGGCTGGCCTGAGGTAAGCAGCTTTGCTGACCAGCTGGCAGGTCAAGGGCCCAGGTCTATGAAACCCAAACCACCCAGAAAGAATCAGATCCACCAGGATGGAGAGGTGAAAAATAAGAAAAAAATAGTAGGATAGAAAACATCCTCACAATAATAGGCCACACTTGTCTAGACTTTTAAATACTTTGCAGAACTCTTTCACATTATCTTATTTAATCCTCACAGGCTCCAGACAAGATTGCCATTAACATCCCCAGGAAACTGAGGGAGACAGGCAAGATAATCAGTGACAGAGTTGGGGACCGAAAGTCAGTTATTTTGACTTAAATTAATTATACGAACCATACTATGTACATGTGGGTCCCTATATTCACTAATATATATATGTGCTATGTATACATAGTATAGATACCATATTTATGTATGCATCTATATACATAAATGTTTATGTGTGTGTGTGTGCACATTGAATACCCACTGTGTATTAGGCCCTTTTTGAAGTCCTTCACATTATATCCTCACCACAACCCCATGAAGTAGATACTTTTTAACAGATGAGGAAGCTAAGGCACAGAGCAATTTCCCTTGCCAAAGGTCACACAGTGTCCAAGTGGCAGAGCTGCGATTTGAACCCACATCATCCAGTGTGCTTTCATGACACCACATTGCCTGTCTCTGGGTCCACCGCATGGGTGAGTTTTGGCTTTGATTTCAGGGTAAGATTGCAATAAAATTCTGGCTTTCCAAGCTCAAGCCGGTCTGGCCCATGCTGCCTTCACCTGCAAGGACTTCATTTCCTGCCATCATGGCAGCTCTGTCTCATCAGTGTCCCAACTGCTTAGTGTTTCTTTCACTCTCAGGCTTGGCTTCTGTTTCTGCTGCCACCAGCCTCATGGTACAGGCCCTGGAGGAGCTGAAAAAGCATGTGGATTTTGTGGGCCTATGGATTTTTGAAATGTTATGAATGTTGATTTATTATCTTCTCTGCATGTACAAAATGGCCTTCTAAAAACTTTATGGATATATTTACATGGGAATTTCCAACTAAAGAGTGTACTGTAATACCAAGAAATTTGTTGCCAATATTGGTTCATTTCCAAGTGATATTGAATCAGGTCTAAGTAAATATTTATGATTTATCTTGAAATGTGACAGACTCATGACACAGTAATTAATTTTACTGTAGGCTGCATTCAGAATGGCTTTGGTAATATATGAGTAGGTGTGTAAAATGTTTATAGGGTTTTCAAAAATAAGCCCAAGGCTTAAATGAAACCTTAATCAGACAACCGAGGAGGAATACAATTGCAATTCTAATTTTGCTGATAGAATTTCTGTGGGAAACAAGGAGTTTCAGAGATTGATATTCATGGCAGAGAACCAGCACACATCATATATTTTATGTAGTGCTAAACTATTTGGAAACTTCAAATACATTTACTTTTCAAGAAATGCATGCTTTGAGCAATGGTTACAAAGGAAAGGATAAATTTAGAAAACTGGCTTTGGTTTAGGGCAAATGCAGAGAGGAATACATATTTCAGAACTCTGCAAGAGGCTAAAGGGTAGTGTCTCATCTGAGGCCTCCGTTTTGGGGTGCTTCTTTTTCTCATCCCCACATCTAATCAGTCAACAAATCTTGCATTTTCTACCTTAAAAACATATCCAGAATCTGGCTGCGTCTCGCCACCTCCACTATAACCACATGGGCCACCCCCATCATCTCTCACCTGGGTTATTGTGGAAGCTACTGGCCTGGCCTCCCTGTGTCCAAGCATCCTCCCTTCCCCACGGAGTCTGGCATGATGCCTGTGAGAACATAAGTGAGTTCACACCACTCCTCTATTTCCACTGGCTTCCAGTCCCACTCAGACTCCAAGCCAAATACATAGGGAGCCTACAGGCCGACAGGACTATATAGTCAGGGTTCCCTAGAGGGACAGAACTAATAGGGTATATATATATAAAGGGGAGTTTTTTAAGTATTAACTTACACAATCACAAGGTCCCACAATAGGCTGTCTGCAAGCTTGAGGAGCAAGGAGAGCCGGTCCAAGTCTCAAAACTGAAGCACCTGGAGTCCAATATTTGAGGGCAGGAAGCATCCAGCGCAGGAGAAAGATGTAGGCTTGGAGGCTAGGCCAGTCTCACCTTTTCACGTTTTTCTGCCTGCTTTATATTCACAGGCAGCTGATTAGATTGTGTTCCCAGATTAAGGGTGGGTCTGCCTTCCCTAGCCCAGTGACTCAAATGTTAATCTCCTTTGGCAACACCCTCACAGACGCACCCAGGATTGATACTTTGCATCCTTCAATCCAATCAAGTTGGCACTTAGTATTAACCGTTACAGGGAGCCGGCTCTGCCCTACTCCCAGCTCAGTCCTCCGTGTCATAGGCACCCTCCTGTCTCAGGCCTTCACATATTCTCTTCCCTCTGTCTGGAGAGCTCTTCCTCGAGTACCTGCCCCTCTGCATCCCTCTCCTCCTTCAGGTTTTATGCACATGTCACCTTCAGCGTGAAATCTCAGCTGACCACCGTTTTAACATGTGCAGCCCATTCCCCACCCCGCCAAATTCCCCACCCCCTTTTTCTGCTCTACTTTTTTTTTAGTGCCTATCACTGCCAACACTACATATTTTACTTATTTTATTTAAAATGCAAGCTCCATGAGGAATTTGTGTCTGTTTTGTTTATTTCCATATTCCCAGCACCTACAATAATGTCAAGTACATAGTAGGCATAAGAGAAAATACATATTTATTGGATGGACAGACAGGGATTGACATCACTGATGTGTGAGGAACAGGAGTTCTGAGAGAGCAGCTGAACACTTAGCGGAGGCTCCAGCGGGGACTGCCAAGGCAGTGTGGAGACCTCTGGAATCTCAATGTGGAAGCAGCTGAACGATGAGCCGCAGCCAGATGAACTAGGAAGGATGCTGTAAAGTTGATCCCAGAATCGCGGGTGCAAGGGGAGAGGGAATAATACTATGTGTCTTACATCCTACCCGGGTAATATTCTAATTCCACGCAGCTTCCTATGTGCGGAACTGAGCCCCCACCCAGTGCCTTTCTCACCCCCAGAGTGGAAAGGGGCCCGTGCAGGCTCAGGACTCTTGGTATTTCTCAGAAGATTAGTTTCTACTATGGAAACCGGGTAGTTCAAAAGCATAAATCAACGTGCTGTTTTGCAGTTTACAAAGTACTGTTGTACGATATAATAGCAAAATTGCTCAGAGAGCAATTATATTATCTCATGCAGTAATATGTATATTTATTGAGCAATTATCCTGTGCTATGTGATTTACCTACAGTATCTCCTTGGACTCTGACAGGTTATTATTGTTATCCCCAAGAGTGTATTCATCCAATAACATTTATTGAACACCTACTATTTGTCAGGCACTGTGCTATGTATTGATGCTGTAAAACTGTATTGGTCTTGCTTCAAGGAATCTACGTTTAATGAAGGACAAAAACACACAAAAAATCAATTATTGCAGCCCTATCAGCCCAAGGTGATATGTGTTATGGAGGGCAGTGGAACAGGAAGAGGTACAGCTACATCACAAGATCCACAGGAAAAATGAACTCACAGCCTTTTTTTTTTTTTCAATTACTTTCTGGGCCGGACAAGCTGGCTCATGATTGTAATCCCAGACCTTTGAAAGGCCAAGGTGGGAGGAATGCTTAGGCCCATGAATTTGAGACCAGCCTAGGCAACATGGTGAGATCCTGTCTGTTGAAAAAGGAAAGAAATAACCAGGCTTGGTGGTGCACGCTTGTAGTTCTAGCTACTGAGGGGGCTGAGGCAGGAGGATCACTTGAGTCCAGGAGTTCGAGACTGCAGTTAGCTATGATCATGCCACTATACTGCACTCCAGCCTGGGTGACTGCAAGATCCTGTCTTGGAAAAAAAAAAATCCTACTTTCTTCTTCCTTAATCATGTAAGGCTCTTTGTTAATTTCCTCCTTTGACTGATGAATGGACTTTTCCAGGGAAGTCAATTAGTCTACAGACACTATTTTTATTTACAATGACCAGAAATCAGGTTAGGTTAGAGGCTGTCCCTGGGGCTGGTTCAAGGGAGGGTGATGGAAAATCTTGTGTGTCACTCCTTTCCCTTTCAGAGTCTCTCCAAAGAAGTCTTTGTTGCCATCATGCAAGATTTGAAGTCTCTTTTCAGGGGGATCAAAACCCCATAAATCTACCCACACACATAGACCCTAAGAGTCTTATAAAGATACTGCCTCTAATATCTCAAAGTGGGGAGTGGGCAGCCCAGAGAATGCAGAATGATATGCTGGGGAAATGGGAAGCAAATATTGAGGTGTCTGCTACTAATGTTTTATCTAAAAATGCGAAAAGAATTAAGCTTCACTTAATATACAGGTTGATGCATGCATGCTTGCTTGGTCTGTCTGTTGCTCCCATGTCACATACAGACCTCAAGGGGTATCCTGAGGAACACTGAGTGTTACAGTTTGACGAGTCGCTCATTGGCTTTCAGAGTATTGTAGCTTATTCGTGCCACTTGAGAGGATGGGCAAATTGGATTATTTAGTCTTAACTAAACAAATCCTCACAAAACAGAGTGGCTTAAGAAGAGCTCTACAAAGAAAGGAGTGTGATGATAACACCCACAATGCAAATGCAAATAAACAACAAGAAAATGGCACTGTCCCTAATTCAAAAGAAGCTCATTGTCAGACATATCATGAGGTTAGAAACCATAACAATCTAATCAGATCAGACAAGATGTTGACAAAAACAAGTTTAGAAGTTATCAAGGGGACAGTGCCTTTACTTCCATTGGCATTTGTGATAAACCTCATCCTAAGTGTATATGAAGCCTTGAGACATTGGCTAATAATAGAAATGCATCAATATAATAAGATAATAATATAGATAAGTAAATACACTATATTGGAGTGTATGTTCAACATTTTTGCTGCTACGGTTATATGATTTTTTAAAAAATTGAAGGCCTCTGTTTTAGGGACCTAGCACTGCTTTAACAAGTCTCGGACCTTTAAGTTAATATTCACTGTCATTTGGGCAGAACTGAGGTAGCAGGTGGGACTAGACTCTGGAGGTGGGGCTCAGACACAGGACCAAATTGAGGACTACCTAAAACAGGTGCAGTGTGGAAGCACTTCTCCATAAGACATGAAAACCAGTATGCCATGTCAGCTTACCATTGCCATGGCAACACCTGAAAGTTATCACCCCTTGCTGTGGTGACAACTCCACAGAGGCTACTACCCTCATCCTAGAAATTTCTGCATAAACTGCCTCTTACTTTGCATATAATTGAAAGTGGGTACGAAAATGATGGCAGAACTGCCTCTGAGCTGCTACTCTGGACACACTGCCTGTGGGGTAGTCCTGCTTCGCTGCTGCTGCTATACACTGCTGCTTCAATAAAAGCTGCTGTTTAACACCACCAGCTCACCTTTGAATTCTTTCCTGGATGGGGCCAAAAACCTTGGGCTAAGCCCCAATTTTGGGGCTTGCCTGTCCTGCATCAGAACCAGGTGGCTAGTGTGTATAGACCTAAGATCAAGGGCTTGTTGCTTATTCACTTACAAGCTGCATTTCTTAAACAACACTATCAGAATGCTGATGTTCTCTGAAAAGCTGTCCTGTGTGCTGTGAGCCTTTGCAAAAATAAATCATATTTTATAACAAATAACCATTTTATACTGTACAATAGTGGAAAATACTGAAATGTAGTTTTATAAAATCTTTTCTTCATGTTGTGAAATTTAACTTATAAAGTTTCCTGTCGCCCATATGTATTATTTTTGTTTGTGTCTTTTCTTAATCTGACAATGATTTTTCTTTTGGTGGAAGAAAATCTGCATAGCTACTCCACATGTAACAGTGTTGCTTGGTGAGTCATGGTCGCAGAAAGTTTAAGAAATGTTCCTTTAGAGCATGTGAATAAATCTTGCCTCAATCAAATTCTTTTTCCTGCAGCCTCCCCTGCTGGGCTCCCTTCCTTGGCCTCTGAGCCTGCTGCTTGCCTTGACCCCAAGTTCAGAGGCTCCCAATGACCTGGCCCTTTGCTGTCTTTGTAAGGCCAAACCTAGGGATGAGCCTCTTCCTCACAGGTTAGGGGCTTTCACCACCACCTCTGGGTCTCAGAAGGTGAGGAGTGAGAACAGACCTCTGAGAATGGGCACCCCTGGGACCTTGTGAACAGGTGCTGCTTAGTTCCTAGAGGAATTCAGAGGGAGAACTGCATGGCTGGCTACCAGCTCCTTGCCTCAAGATGCATCTTTCCAGGGTGGTGGGTAGTTCAGTGGCGAGTCGCTCAAACCGGGCTCTGCTGTTTGGACACGTTACTTAGCTTCATTGTATGTCCGTTTTCTCATTTGTAAAATGAGGATAATAATAATGCCCACTTCTTGGACTTCTTGAAAATGAAATGAGAATCCTATAGTCTAATGCACTTGGCCTGATACATAGTAAGTTGTCAAAAAATGTGAGCTACTGTTATTATCAAGCATTATTTACTTATATTCAGTCCCCAGCTGAATAATGGGAGAGAACTTCATGGCTAATGTAAAATTGGACTTTGACCACACCTACTTAGAGGGTTGGCACTTCTCCCTCCAGAAAATAACGGGACCTCATACAATTTATTCTAAGTAGAACAACTTAAATATAGTTTATAGAAATGGGATTTGGGAGCAGACAGATTTGGACTCGAACACCAGCTCTGTCACATGTTGCCGTGATCTTGGGCAAGTCACTTAGCTGTTGTGGGCCTCATCTGTGCAGTGGGTATTTGCACAGTAATACCGAGTTGTGAGAACATGATGTAAGCACAGGATTCAGGAGAGTGCCTGGCACTTAGTGGGATCTCAATATCTTGTCCCTCTCCCCTTTTCTTAATAGCCATAATAGACATTGATAGAAGAATTAACATTTGCTTAATGCCTACTGTGTGCCATGCACTAGTTAGGATTTTATAATCTTACATAATCTCCTGTATTCATTAAAATGATGTAAAGTATATATCAATAACACAATTTTGTGGATGAAAGAACTAAGTTCAGAAAATTTAAGACCTTTTTCAAAGTCAATAACTTGACTGCAAAAGTCCATGCTATTCCTCCTTCCCACTGGCTGCACCATCTCAGATCTCTGGACCAGCAAACACTATACACTATTCTCCTCTAAAGGAGAATACCTAGTTTCACCTCTAGTTCCAAATGTTGGTAATTAAACCAGAACCAGCATGAAGGAGTTGTTGTTTGGAACTTTTACCATAAGCCTGCAAGACACTTAATGTTACCAGCACAGCCCCTGGTAAGGGGAATATGGTTTGTTTCCCTCCAACCCCTAATTACTGTGACTTCCAAGACATACTCATCCTTGCCAAAGCTTCTCTCTAACTCTCCTCTTATCAACACAGTGATGGGCCTCTCTAGTTGATCCCTTAGGGGTGGAAGATAGGGGCACAGAACCTTGCTGTCAGGACTTTAGACAATGGTTCACAGGCTATCACTGATGAAAGTTTAGTTGGCAATCCAGGGCAGTCTTCATCAAGAAGAAAGATGGAAAGGTAGCCCTCTGTAATAACCACTAGCTGTTAAATTTGACCACCATCTGAAATTGATAATCCCAGACTAGCTGGATCAGTTATGGTCAACTAAAATTTATGTCACAGAGGAGCCCCTGGGAATGGTGCAGGGCAGCAGGTGTGGGAAGGTGATGAGCACAGGACCACATCGGAACCCAGGCAGGTCGTTCCACACTCCCAGCATGGTTGCAAGACAGAAGCCCCAGACAATGTCTTTTCAAAAATAAAGATACCTTTATTTTCTTCTGATTTTAAAATAATGCATGCATATCATTATTATTTTAAAAAATCAGACAATATGAAAAGGCTTAAAGAAGGAAATGAAAATTCCACTCTTAATTCTGCCACCTGGTGATAACATTCTGTGTAAATCCCTCCAGACTTTTTTCTGTTCTAGCCCCCCACAATTGTTCTGAAAAAAAGCAACCTTTCCAAAAGCATATAGATTGATGTTGCTATATTTAATGGAATTATGATATTCCATTATACAGATGTGCCATTCCATTATAGAGATTCCATTATAGAGGTGTAATATTAAATATAGCCATTCTTTTCTTTTAAATTGTTTCCAATTTGTCATTATTATAAACAAAGCTGTAACAAACACCCGGTACATTTTTGGTATTTCATCCTGTGGTTAATCCTGACACTGAAATTCCACAAGATTTCAGGAATCTCAATATCACTTATGTATAAATACTTAAGAAATTATGGCTGAAATATTCATTTATTCACTCATTCACTCAATATATGTACACGTGTATATATATATGTGTGTGTATGTATATATACGTGTATATATATACGCGTGTGTGTGTGTGTGTGTATATATATACGTGTGTGTGTATATATATATATACACACACACACATATTGGGTGACCATGATGTTCCAGACACAAACCTATGTTCTGTGGATATGCAGTGAATAAAACAGGCAAACTCTCTGCTCAGAACACTCACATTTAAAGAGGGGAGACAAATGATGAAATAAATGACAGTGTGTTAGAAGGTTGCAAATGTTAAGGAGAAAAATGAGGCAGAAAAGTGTGGTTTTCTCTTATAGTCATTCAGTATTTGTTCCCTGTTCTCTGTCATCATCATGCTATTTAGTTTTTCACTAAATGCCTGTTAAGTCCCTATGCTGTGCCATAAACTGTGCTAAGTATTGGGAATGGGGTGGAGAGTTGTGTGGAATATGCGCCCTAGCATGGACAAGCCCACATGTCATCATTTTCTTGCTCGTGACTTCACCATTTCATATGTGTATATTTTGTCTTCACAACTACATTAAAAGGTCTTAGCGGGTAGGAATCCGTCCATATTCTTTGTGTTCTCCTGAGCTTTTAGTGTAATGTTTTTGTACAGAGTTAGTGTTCAATAAATGCTTGTTCCATACTTGTGACATAGAAATAATGCAAGTGGTTTTGAGAGATGGAAAACTGGGTTCTGATAAGCCAAGAAATGGGTAAAAAAAAAAAAAAAAAGCACTGATTAATACCCAAGGTTAATGAGAAAGCTAGCTATTTAGCTCATAGAATTGGCATTTAAAAAAACTCGTTCTAAATCATGTGCCATCTAATCAAATATAGTGATATAAGTATAGTAAATATAGTAATTTTAGCAAATGTTGTGCAAATCTGGCTGAATAAGTAATACTATTTTTTTAATAGAAAAACACAAACCAAGCAGAGAAGCATGCTGGGTTTTAAGCCGGCTCTGTGTGGCTCATTTACGCTGTACCCACATCCTACTAACACACACCCAACTCTGCCTGCAGGGGGAGCTCCAGCACTCATTTGAGTCCCAAGGCCTTAGTTGCAAGGGACTGTCAACCCTCCCAGCAGTACTCGGTTTTGAACTCTCTCCCATCGTCCTGGCTAGCAACCAGCTGTTTGATCTGCCATTAAAAACAACAATAACAACAACAACAACAACAACAACAAATTTTTGCTATCCAAATGTAGGTAACTCTAAAAGTATGAAGTAGTTCAGAGTTACGACTTCGGCTTTAGAGCTATCATGATTGAATACCTAATATTTGTCAGGGATTGTGTCCTGCATGTTACATATATTATTTCTAACTCTCAAAACAAACTTGCAAGAGGGGTCCTATTATCCTCACTATTACCCTATGCAGACAAGGACTCTGCAGCTGAGAGAAGTTAAGGAACTTGCCTGAGGTCACAGTGTCAGTGGTGGAGGCAGGTCTGCCTAAATTAGGGCCTAAGCACTTCTACCTTGCACTCTGCTCTCTGTAGCTGCCCTTATTTACCTGTTTATTACTTGTTACTATCATCATTATCATCAGATTATTGTTACAGTTGATGTCTTTCTGGCAGAGGCAGTGCAGTTTTTTTTGTGTGTGTGACCTGGGCACACTTTGTTTTTTGACATGGTGCCTTGCTCTGTTGTCAAGGCTGGAGTGCAGTGGTGGGATCACAGCTCACTGCAGCCTTCACCTCCCCAGGCTCAGGTGATCCTCCAACTCCCTGGGCTCATGTGATCCTCCCACTTCAGCCTCCTGAGTAGCTGGGACTACAGGCGCATGCCACCACACCTGGCTAATTTTTTGTAGAGATGGGGTTTTGCCATGTTGCCCAGGCTGGTCTCAAACTCCTGGGCTCAGGCTATTCTTGCAACCCCCGAGATGTGGTTTGGCTGTGTCCCCACCCAAATCTCACCTTGAATTGTAGCTTCCATAATCCCCACGTGTTGTGGGAGATAATTGAATCATGGGGGCGGTTTCCCCCATACTGTTCTCGTGGTAGTGAATAAGTCTCACAAGAGCTGATGGTTTTATAAGGGGTTTCCCCTTTTGCTTGGCTCTCATTTTCTCTTTCCTGCTGCCATATAAGATGTGCCTTTCACCTTCTGCCATGACTGTGAGGCCTCCCTAGCCACGTGGATCTGTGAGTCCATTAAACCTCTTTTTCTTTATAAATTACCCAGTCTCGGGTATGTCTTTATCAGCAGCGCGAGAACAGACTAAAACACCCTCCTTGGCCTCCCAAAATGCTGGGATTATAGGTGTGAACCACCGCACCTGGCCTGTTTTTTAATTTTAAGACTAGTTTTTTAAAGAGTAGTTTTAGGTTCACAGCAAGACTGAGAGGAAGGCTCAGAAATATCCCATACCTTCTTCCCCGAAACATGCACAGCCTCCCCCATTATCAACATCCCCCACCAGAGTACACCCTATACAGAGTACACCAGAGTACACTGTCATATCGTTATCACCTAGTGTTCATAGTTTACATTAGAGTTTACTCTTGGTGTTGTACATTCTATGGGTTTGGACAAATGCATAATGACATGTATCCACCATTATAATATCGTAGAGAATAGTTTCGCAGCCCTAAAAATTATCTGTGCTCCACCTATTCATCCCTCCCTCCCTGTAACCCCTAGCAACCACTTTTTTTTAACTGTTTCCATAGTTTTGTCTTTTCCAGACTGTTATATAGTTGGAAATGTACAGTATGTGTAGTCTTTTCAGATTGACTTCTTTCACTTAGTCATATACATTTAAATTTACCCATGTCTTTTCATGACTTGATAGCTCATTTATTTTTAGCCTTGAATAATATTTCATTTTCTCGATGTACCACAGTCTATTTATCCACTCACCTACTGAAGGACAGCTTTTGACAACTGCAAATAAAGCTGCTATCTACATCTGTGTGCGGGATTTTGTGTGGACATAAGTTTTCAACTCCTTCAAGTAAATACCAAGAAGCATGATTGCTGGATTGTATGGGAGGATTATGTTTAGTTTGTACGAAACTGTCTTCTAAAGTGGCTGTACCATTTCCCATTCCCACCAGCAATGAATGAGAGGTCCTTTTGCTCCACATCCTCACCAGCGCTCAGTGTTGTCAGTGTTCTGGGTTTTGGCCATTGTAATAGGTATGTAGTGGTATTTCATTGTTTTAATTTACATTTCCCAATAACATATAATGTGGAGCATTGTTTTATATGCTTATTTGCTATCTGTATGTGTTCTTTGGTGAGGCATCTGTTAAGGTCTGTGGCCCACTTTTTTCTTTTCTTTTTCTTTTTGGTAGAGACAGGTTCTTGCTCTATCACCCCAGAGGGAATGCAGTGGCACCATCGTAGCTCACTGAAGCCTTGAAGCCTCAATATCCAGGGCTCAAATGAGCCTCTCGCCTCAGCCTCCCAAGTAACTGGGACTAGAAGTGCGTGCCACCACTTGTGAATCAATTCCTTGCCCTAGCTAGGACTTCAAATACAATGTTGAAAATGAATAGTGAGAGGAAACATCCTTGCCTTGTTCTTTATCTTATTTGGAAAGCTTCTAGTTGTCACCGTTAAGTATGATGTTAGCTATAGGGCTTTTTGTAGATTTTTTTTTTTATCAAGTTGAGGCAATTCCCCTTTATTCTTAGTTTGCTGAGAGGTTTATCATGAATTGGTTTGGGTTTTTTCAAATGCTTTTTTTACATCTACTGATAAGATCGTGTAATTTTTCTTCTTTAACCTGTTGATACAATGGATTACATTAATTGATTTTTGAATGTTGAACCAGCCTGTATACCTGGGATAAATCCCACTTGGTTGTGGTGTATAATTATTTTTATACATTGTTGGAATTAATTTGTTGATATTTTGTTGAAGATTTTTGCATTTATATTCATAGAGATATTGATATGTAGTTTTCTGGTTTTGCAATGTCTTTATCTAGTTTTGGTGTTAGGGTGATGCTGGCCTCATAGATTGAGTTAGGAAGTATTCCCTCTGCTTCTATCTTCTGAAAGAGATTGTTCAGAATTGGTATCATTTCTCCTTTAAAATGTCTGGTAGAATTCATGAGTAAAACCATCTGCACCAGATGCTTTCTGTTTTGGAAGGCTAATAATTATTGACTCAATTTCTTTAATAGATATAGGCCTATTCAGACTGTCTATTTTTCCTTGTATTAATTTTAGCAGATTGTGCCTTTCAAGGAATTCATCTATTTTATCTAGGTTATCAAATTTATGGGCACAGAGTTGTTCATAGTATTCCTTTATTATTCTTTTAATGGCCATAGGATCTGTAGTGATGTTGCCTCTTTCATTTCTGGTATGTGCCCTTTCTCTTTTTTTCTTAGTCTGGCCAGAGCCTTATTGATTTTATTGATCTTGATCCTTTCAAAGAACAAGGTTTTGATTTCATTAACTTTCTCTACTGATTTTCTATTTTCTATTTTATTGATTTCTGCTCTACTATTTATTTCTTTCCTTCTGCTTACTTTGAATTTAATTTGCTCCTCTTTTTCTGGTTTCCTAAGGTGGAAGCTCAGATGATCTATTTTAAATCTTTCTTCTTTTCTAATGCATGCATCTGATGCTCTAAATTTTCCTCTAAACACTGCTTTCATGTGTTTTCCTCTTAACTTAGCTAAAAATATTTTTAAATTTCTTTTGAGATTTCTTCATTGACCCATGTGTTATTTAGAAGCGTGTTGTTTAGGGACTCTTCCTGTGGATGCAGGCACCATGTCCTTGACTGCCCTCCTCTGCTGCAATCACATTTCTGGTAGGCAGTGGATCAGGGAAGCACCAGCAGCTGTGAACCATGTGGAGAAACACTACTGGCCGAGCATGCCCTACCTGACTGTGGGACAAGAGTACAGCAGTGCTGAGGTGCACTTGGCAGAGCCCTTTGAGGCTGTGAAAGCGGCCAATATTTCCAAGTTGCCTCTGTATAGATAGATTTGTTATAAACCAGCTCAGTCATCTCAGTGTCAACAAGAAGTTGTCATCTTCTTGTTGAATCATCAACACCTTGATGGTCACCTTGAATCATCGTCATTCCTTGATTTTGTGGATCATGGGGTTGCCATGTCTTTACCTGGTCTGGTGCTGAAAAACTGTAACTGCTATAAAAATGTGAGGCTTTGGACCAGAGTCTTATTAAAACAAATGTGAGCATAGTGGTCTGCATATGGAATATCTAGGGCTCTAAACAGATGAATACTTAAAAGTATAATTAATGTCCTATTGTTTTTCATTTCTTTACCCTGACAGGAAGATATCAGGGATTTCCTGGGTCACAGATGATATAAAACACATTTTGGATGAAAGCTGCAATAAAGCTACTAAGTATAATTTGGGATTTTTTTTTAAGTATGAGATAACTTCATGGGGGCTTTATCATGCATTAGTTTGCTTATCTTCTGTCAAGAATAACTGGCTAAACTTAAATAGAAATGTGAGGTTCTTCAGTTACACATTCTCCTAAAAATAGCATTTTCTTCTGGGATTTGACTACTAAATGAAGACATTTAAATGAAGTAAAAGTTATTTATCATAACTTTAAAAAAGTGTGCTGCTTAATCTCCATATATTTGGGGATTTTCCAGAGATCTTTCTATTACTGATTTCTAGTTTAATTCCACTGTGATCTGAGAGCAGGCATTGCATGATTTCTATTCTTTTACATTTGTTAAGTTGTGTTTTATGACCCAGATTGTGGTCTGTCTTGGTGAGTGTTCCAGGTGAGTTTGAGAAGAATCTGTATTCTGCTGTTGTTGGATGTAGTCGTCTGAGTAGTCTGTAGACGGTCATTATATCCAGTTGATTGGTGGTATTTTTGTTGTTGTTGTCGTTGTTGTTTCTAGAGAGAGGGTCTCACTCTGTCACCCAGGCTGGAGTGCAGTGTTGTGATCATAGCTCACTGTAGCCTTGAACTCCTGAGCTCAAGGGATCCTCCTGCCTTAGCCTCCCAAATTGCTGGGATTACAGGTGATGGTATTGTTGAATTCAACTATGTCTTTATTGATTTTCTGCCTACTAGTTATGTTCATTCCTGATAGAGGGGTGTTGAAATCTCCAATTATAATATTAGATTCATCCATTTCTCCTTGCAATTCTGTGAGTTTTTGCCTCAGGTAGTTTGATACTGTTGTTAGGCACACACACATTAACAATTGTATGCCTTCTAGGAAAATCTACCTCTTTATCATTATATAATGCCCTTCTTTAACACTGATAACTCTTCTTGCTTTGAAGTCTGCTATAACTGAACTTAATATAGTTACTCCTGATTTCTTTTGATTTATGTTATCATGATATAGGATGGATTCTCCATCCATTTACTTTTAATCTACAATCGTCTTTATATTTAAAATGGGTTTCTTGTAAAAAAAATATAGTTGGATGGGGTTTTTTGATCCATTCTGATAATCTCTGTCTTTTAATTGGTGCATTTAGACCATCGATGTTTAACGTGATGATTGATATAGTTGCATTAATACCTAAGATATTTATTCCTGTTTTCTTTTTGTTGCTCTTGTTCTTTGTTCCTCTTTTTGTTGTCCACTCTTTTTCTGCCTTTTGGGGTTGTAACTGAGCTTCTTATGTGATTGTATCTTCTTTCTTAGTGTATTAGTATGCAGTCATGTGCCACATAATGATGTTTTGGTCAATGACAGACTGCATATATGACAGTGGTCCCATAAGATTATAATACTGCATTTTTACTGTACCTTTGCTTTGTTTAGATGTGTTTAGATATACAAAACTTACCACCATGTTACAACTGCCTACAGTATTCAGTCACATGCTGTGCAGGTTTGTAGCCTAGATAACAAAATAACTCTAACTCCTTCCCCCAATCCCTTGAATCATTGTTGTCATTCATTTCATTTCATCATACAAGCATAATAAGCATATATGCATAAGCATACATAATCAAATACATTGTTGCTATTAATATTTTGAACAAACTGTTATGTGTTAGGTCAATTAAGAATAAGAGAAATAGGTTGGGCACAATGGCCAGCACTGTGGAAGACCGAGGCAGGTGGACTGCTTGAGCCCATGAGTTCAAGACCAGCATGGGCAAAATGGCAAAATGCCATCTTTACAAAAAGTACAAAAATTAGCCTGGTGTGGTGGTGTATGCCTGTAGTCCCAGCTACTCGGGAACCTGAGGTGGGAGGATCACCTGAGCCCAAAAGGTTGGGGCTGCAGTGAGCTGAGATTGTGCCACTGCAAAAAAAAAGAATAAAAATAAAAGTTTTTATTTTATCTTCATTCATTCCTTCTTCAGTGCTCTTTCTTTCTTTATGTAAACCCAAGTTTCTGACTTACATTATTTTCTTTCTCTCCAAGGAACTTCTTTCAACATTTATTGCAAGGCAAATCTATGGCAACAAATTCCCTCAATTTTCGTTTGTCTGAGAAAGCCTTTATTTCTCCTTCACTTTTGAAGGATAATTTCACAGAGTACAGAATTCTAGGTTGGTGGGTGTTTTTCTCTCAACACTTTAAATATTTCACTCCTCTCGTCTTGCTTGCATGGCTTCTGAGAAGTTGCATGCAATCCTTATCCTTGCTTCTCTATAAGGAAGGTGTGTTTTTCTCTGGTTTCTTTCAGGAGTTTTTCTTTATGTTTGGTTTTCTGTAGTGTGAAAATAATATACCTAGAAGTTGTGGTGTTTTTTTTTTTTTGGCTCTGTTTTATGGCATTTATCCTGCTTGATGTTCTCTGAGCTTCCTGGATCTGCGGTTTGGTATCTGACATTAATTTGGGGGAAAATTCTCAGTCATTATTGTTTTAAATAATAATGTCCTTTCTGTCCCTTTCTCTCTTTCTTTCCCATTATGTGTATTTATACCTTTTGTATTTGTCCCATAGTTCTTAGATATTCTGTTCTGATTTTTGTCGGTATTTGTTCTCTTTGCATTTCAGTTTAGGAGTTTTCTATTGTGGTATCCTCAAGCTCAGAGATTCTTTCCTCAGCCTTGTCCAGTCTACTAATAAGCCCATCAAGGACGTTCTTCATGTCTGTTACAGGGTTTTGTTTGTCATCTCTGGCATTTCTTTTTGGTTCTTTCTCAGCATTTCCATCCCTCTGCTTTCATTGCCCATCTGTTCCCACATGCTGTCTATTTTATCCATTAGCTCCCTTAGCATCTTACTTATGGTTGTGTTAAATTCCTTGTCTGCTAATTCCAACCTCCCTGCCGTATCTGGTTCTGAGGTTTGGTCTGTCTTTCCACACTGTGTTTTTTGCCTTGTAACTTTTTCCTGATAGCTGGACATGATATGCTGGGTAAAGGGTACTACTGTAAATAGACCTTTAGTATTGTGGTGGCAAGGTTCAGGCGAGAGGAGAAGCATTCTAGCACTGTGAGTAGGTCTCAGTCTTCTAGTGAGCCTGTGCCTTGATTGTGTGAACTGCTCCTGTGCCTCTTAGTCCCCACACCCCCCTTTAGTGTGACAGGAAGATTGAAGTGGGCTGGAATTGAGTATTTCCCTTCCCCCAGGTTAGCTAGCCTTTGATGAAACTGCCAACAGGTTAGGCTCTGGCTAACTAGTTTCTCCTGAGGGCAAACCTTGTTAAGAAGAGCAGAATGCTCTAGAGTGTTCCCAGTGGGTTCCATTTCTCCTCTCAGAAACACAAGGGCATTTTTCTCTGATATGTACTGTATGGGTCTGGTAGAGCTCCTGGGGGTCAAACTCACAAATGCATGGGGCCCCTCCCCATGCCTAGGCTCCCCTGGAGTTTATAACTCTCAGACTTTTCCACACTGAGCTTCCAGCAGTTTGTCAATTACAGTTCTGCTTTTGCTGCCCAGCGCTGGTTCCTGCAGAGGTTTGTGCTTGTGAGTTTCTATTCTGGTGTGTTGTGACTCTTCGTATCTGCCGGTCTCTAATTTTAGGGGCAATGGTTTGCCCAGTGACTTCACTTCTCTTATGGATCTAAGAAGCGTTGCTGATGTTTCAGTTTGTTCAGCATTTTACTTGTTGCTAGGGTGGAGTAGTGACTTCTGAGCTCCTTATGTGCTATACCAGAAACTGGAGCAGTAGTACAGTTTGACAGTACCATTTCCTTCAGATTTAACCCTTAGCCCTTTCTCTCCTTTTCCATGGCTCCTCTCTACAGTCTGCCCATCCAGGCTTGCAAGGCTGTAGTAAGGACCTGTGGGCTCTTTTCAGTACTTTCTGGCCCAGGGCCCTCTGAGCTGAGCAGGCCCTGGCACAGGCAGAATTCCCATCAGGCAGGCCCCAGCTGTTCACTGGACCACGCACAGCTTTTGATTCAATTAATTGCCATCTGACCTGAGCCTTTTGTTTTGGCTGAGATTCTACTAGCATACCCCCAGAAGTGGGAGCACCTGGAAAGAAATGCATTACTAGCTTTTCAAGCTCCCATCTACAGACTGATGTAAAGACCTCAGGATGAAATGGGCCTTCCCCCAGTGCCCACCACAGTACCTGGGCCCCAGGAGGTGCACAATAATTTTTGAGTGAATAAATGACATTATTTACAGAAGCGTTTTGTTAACTATTGGAACCTTTCCCACAGGATGCAAAGATAAGTTTCAGAGCAGCTACAGCCTGGGCTAACATGGAAAACTATGAAGACAAAATTATTGAGTCAAATAAGCAAAGTGGCTGACTTGGTTGGTCATGAGCCTAATTAGTGGGGGAATCCTAAAAAATTATTTAGCAAAGAAGGTTATTCTCTGGTATAAAAACTTCTTGTGGCTGCATGCAGTGGCTCACACCTGTAATTCCAGCACTTTGGGAGGCCAAAGCGGGTGGATCACTTGAGGTCAGGAGTTTGAGACCAGCCTGGCCAACATGATGAAACCCCATCTCTACCAAAAAATACAAAAATTAGTCAGGCCTGGTGGCATGCGCCTATAGTCCCAGCTACTCGGGAGGCTGAGGCAGGAGAATTGCTTGAACTCCGTAGGCAAAGGTTACAGTGAGTTGAGATCATGTCACTGCACTTCATCCTGGGCAAGAGAGACCCTGTTTCAACAAAACAAAACAAAACAACTTCTTCTGCCATGTCTCTAGAGCAGATTGTGCCACCAGGGAGAAGTCAACTCCATATTTTGCATCTTCATTGTTCTATTATCAAAATCTTCTTTCTTTAAAAAAAACTTTAAAAATTATGCAAATAATGCATGCATATTATAAAAATAACAGAAAATGCTGATAAAAATTAAGAAAAAGTAAACATCACTAATAATATTTCACCACCAAGAAATAATCACAGCTATCACTTTGGTATATTTCCTTTTAACATTTCTGCATGCATGTATAATGTACATGAATTTCAACAGTGGGAATGCACACACAGTTTTGTATCATGCTTTTTAAACTGGAGAAATTAGATAACATTTCTCCATGTCATTAAATATCCTTGAAAATCTTTAGTGAATGTAGAACATTTTATTGTTGGATGTTGCATAATTTATTATGGACATCCTCTCTCACAGTTTTTACTTTTTGACTATGTAAATAATCCCACAATGCATATCTCTGTAAAAGTTCTTGTATACACCTATGATTATTTCCTTATGATCTTTCTCTTGTTTTTAAACTTCAGACATGGCTACTTCTAAGGCAGTAATTTTCAAGCAGTTGAGGACTGGCCCGTAGAAGGGATGGCAAAGAGTGGTACATGTGCAATTTGAGAAACCTTATTCAAACTTCCATTTTTAAAACTTGTTTTTAAAAAGATATTTAAGAAACATCAAGGCTTCTTGTTTTTGTTAAGATATTTAACTGTTTTAAAATTATATAATAAAACATAGGATTTTGTCTTACTGAAGGAGGAATGGGTTAAAAACATGCATTCATTAAAAAAAAAATTATTGAATATCTACTACGTGTGAAGCCCTGTGCAGGGCCCTGGGGATCCAGCTGTAAGCAAAACAGACAGATTGAGAATCACATACTAAAATTTGCATATAATACTTTAAAACTTCTAATGGCCAGTATAAATTATTATTTTCTTTTTTGTTCCTTTTGTTTGGAGCAAATTACATTTGCTCTGAGATTAAAAGGGATTACACATATAAAGTGTCTGGTACAGCAGGTCTTTAATAATAGCAATTGCCCTCTACCTTCCAGTCCTCTCAAAACAGAGTATTCATTTATCTGCTGGCAGTGCTGGGCCACACAGCCCACGCTGAGAGCCAGCACACACTTAATAGCTGTTGGCTGGAGCTCTTCTCTATGGATCCAGGATCCAGGCACTGTTTGTCACCAGACTCTCTCTCCATGAAAACCAGTATCACTCGACTTGAAGAATCCACAATTGGCAGACTTTGAGTTTCAATACCACCTGTGAACCTGAGTGGTAGGCTGGTGTAAAATGTTCTCTTTAAAACTTTAATGGAAAAGTTTTGCGCCATCCAATGTTCCCTTTGCATTTTATGTCACTATTAACTGTCCTACTAAACCTCAGAGTCACTGATGCCCAGTTCTCAAGAATCACTTCTTGCTTTGGGAACTTCTCACAATCTGGAAAGAGCTTTGGCCATTTGGGAGAAATGCTCAGGTGGCTAATGTGCTTAGGAGGTGGAAGGATGAAACCGTCTTCATGCGATGCGCCTGCTCTCCTCCCGCCCCACATAACTCCTGGGGAACAAGTACAAGATTATTTGAGGAATTAAAGTTCTTAGGGTCCATTTTTTTTCTTTTCTGTGAGCACTGAACCCATCCATTTTCTCAGAGGGAAGCTCATCTCTTCTGTGCATTGACTGTCAGTGTGAGTCTGCTGTTAGTCCAGTTGCACAGCCAGGTGGCTTTGCAGAAATCCCTAGAGCAGGTCAGTGGCTTATTTTGTGGAAGCTCTAGGTGGTCCTGGTGTCCTGGTGACCTATAAGTTCTTGGCGACATTGTCCTCAAAAACTCAAACTTTAAGAAGTCAGTGTCTGGCCTTAATGAAGTAAAACAAAGACATAGGCTTGGAGCCTCTGGTGGAACTCAAAGCTGGGTTATTGGTAAGGACTAATGTTATACTACCTCTTTTCATCTTCTGTGCCACTCTCAGTGCCTTTTCTTGAATATATTTTTTTCTCTCTTGGGGGAATTTAAAATTTTTAAAAATCTTTTTGAGAGCCCATTGTAATACCAAGCTTCCTAAAGTAAATCTAACCTAATGTGGAAAAATTATTAGCTAAGTTTCTTTTATTCACATTAGAGGGTATTTGAAACATTGATCTTCTGACCACCTTTGATAGATCATGGCCACTGATAAGTCTCCAGAGATGGATTTACTGCTAGTGAAACACATGATGTATTCTGCACTTCAGCAGAGCAAAGTTGGCCCCACACATAGCTGTAATGGAAAATGAGGTAGGGGATTTATATACTTAATTAAAAATAGCAAACTCTCAAATCCAGACCCACAAATTGACTTTTAGAGTTCTTGTTGCTGAAAGAGTTGCAAATCAAAGCAATTTCGGGTGAAAGTTCATTTTTCCTTGAGACCAGTTCTTTAAAAATTGAAAGCTTTAACTTGACATTAATTTCACTGATAATAAGAACATAAATGTAGCCTGAATTATATGACTATATATAAATCTGATTTATGAAAATCTGTCGAAGAAGCTATAAGGATCAGTAACAGACACAACTTGAGAAGGAAAATCACAGAATTGTCTAGCTTAATAACCCCTAGAGTGTATAAGACATATAATTTAAAATTTGTTGTGTTTGGATACAATGATCAAAAATAAACAAATCTGGAAAAATTGCAGAATTCCGAACAAGGGTAGGAAGCTGAAGTTACTGGTGTTATCCACACAAGGTCGCAATAAATTTGTTTTCCCTCTTATTCTGTTGTTCTGAAAATATTGTTTTGAACTGATAGCTGGTTCGCATGTCCTTGTGTTGCTCCATTTTATTATCATTCTGGGCCTTTTGAAGGACATAACTGCTTTTTAATCACACCAGCAACATAAACCATAATGACCTATTTTTTTCCTCATAAATGCCTTAAGACTGTCAGTACCTTAATATCCTGTGAGCAGTCTGAGGACAGGGACCATGCCGTTCAGCCTGTGTATCCAGCTCCGGGCACAGTGCAGGGCACAGAGGAGCTTGGTGACCATAATGAGTTCAACTGGATTATAGAAGCCAACACATGCAGCCTTTGGTGGCCCCTGAGCCTCAGGAAAGCAAGTGATTGGATTATTCCATTGTCTGGGAAGTATCAGAAACTGGGCTGGGGACAGATGTGTAACTTGCATGTCTTGGATCTTCAGTAACACAGGGCCTCATTTTTTGTGACTTGAAGAGAGGTAGATTCAGAGGCAGAGAAACTAAATAGGCAAAAATGTAGAACACAAGAAAGGTTGCTAGAGAGCCTCTGAATGTCTTTGTCACAAAAAAGAAATGTGAACCTTATCATACAGCCTAAAGTCTTCAGCTGGTCTCCTTCAAGGTTGAGCGATTCTCTGCCAGAGGGAAGAGGGATGACTAGGGGGAGCTAATGGTTTCCCTGTTATCAGCTGTAAACTGAATGCTGTATTAGTTTCCATAAATACTTGGCACATGAGTAGTAAGCAGGGAATAATGATCAGTCCAAATTACTCATTTGTTACTCTATTAGTGGAAAATATAGTGTCAGCTGATGCAGTCAGCTTGACTCAAGTCTGTGATACAAGCCGCAGGCAGACAGACCATCAGGGGCTGCAACACAGGGTCCAAGGTAGCCTGTTTGGGTGAGAAGAACCCTCCTGAGCATGCTGCCTTCCCTTTTGTACTATACCCCTGCGGTTAATCTTCAAACCAACTCCAAGCCCTGCCACTCACAGTTCTTTAAACCACCTCAGTCTCTTCTGTAGGACTTTAAGCTACTCCTCATGGCACTGCAACAGTGCCCAGGGGCCACTTGCTGGGGCACACCGGAGCCTTTGACCAGGGTGCCCTGGACAACCTCACTTCCTTTTTCTCCTATACTCTAATCTGTCCTATTAATAAACTAGTTCCATACTCCAGGCAAGCTTGGATTTGGATCTGTAAGACAAGTTGGAGAAGGTAACTCATCTCTTTGAGACTCAGTGGCCTCATCTCTAAAGTGTAGGGTGATCAACCGTCCAAGGTTTGTCTGGGACACAGGACTTGTAGTGTTAAAACTGGGATGGTCCCCAACAAAGAGGGATATGTGGGTCATCCTATACAAGCAGGAATACTAACACCTTATTGTGTGGATGAGCTCAAATATTGTTTGCAGAGTAGCAGACAGGAAGTAAGTGGTCAACAATGGTAGTTCCCACCCTCCTCCCTCAGTTTGGTGAATTTTGAAACAAGGGTTTGTGAAACACCTCCAGGTACCGCTTTAGGTGTTGGGGGCTGTGAGCAAGTGAAGTCTAAGACACAAATCTTGGCTTCAAGGTGTCCCCAGTCCATCTGGGAATGTAACAGCAATACACATGAAACTGCTATTTTATTTACTTATACTTTTATGCTTCATTTTCTTCCAAAAAAGGATTGAATTGGAGGAAGCTCAGAATAAACGTACATGAAAATAAGAGTTGAAGGACAACAACCACGTAATTAAGGGAGACAGTGGTGGAATAATTATACTAGAAACCCAAGGCTAAGGAAATCTACTCCAATTGAACACAAAACAGCCAGAGAACAAAACAACACAGGGAAGACTAAAATGAAACAGTAAATTATACGGTGTCAGCACCACACGTTCCAGATAGTGCTCTAGAAGTTCAAGGTGGTGTTTGGTGATGATTTTCCTCAAACCAGTTGCATGACCATGGACAGGTTACCCACTCCAGGCCTCAATTTCTTCATCTAGGAAACAAGAACAATAATTTTCGTGACAGGACATCATCTATTAATGCATGTGTGTTTCCAAACTCTCCTCTTCCCCTGCCCATTAGGTGGCTGTGTCATCCAAGTTTCTCCCAGGGTGCAGGAAGAAGAACGAGGGCAAACTGCGAAAAATAATTGTTTCTTTTTAAAAAATGTCCTACTTTTATTTTAAGTTCAAAGGTACATGTGTAGGATGTGTAGGTTTGTTACATAGATAAGTGTGTGCCATGGTGGTTTGCTGCACAGATCACCCTGTCACCCAGGTACTAAGCCCAGCAACCATTAGCTATTCCTGATGTTCTCCCTTCTCCCACCCCCACCCTCCGACAGGCCCCTGTGTTGTTCCCCCACATTTGTCCATGTGTTCTCATCATTCAGCTCCCATTTATAAGTGAGAACACATGATATTTGGTTTTCTGTTCCTGTGTTAGTTTGCTGAGTATAATGGCCTCCAGCTCCATCCATGTCCCCGTAAAGGACATGGTCAGTTTCTTAAAAAGTTAAACTTACAAGAGAATCCAGAAATTGCCCTCCTGGGATTCTACCCAAGAGAAACAAAAATGTATATTCACACAAAGAAATGTATGTAATTGTTCATAGCAGCATTATTCACAATAGCCAAAAACTTGAAACAATTCAGTTGTTTATCAGCTGGTGAACAGATAAAATGTGATTTATCCACATAATGGAATACTATTCAGCAATTAAAAAAAAGCTACAAATCCACACTACAACATGGATGAACCTTGAAAACATAACGTAGCCAGATGCAAAAGAATACACATTGCATAATTTCATTATGTAAAATGTCCAGAAAAGGCAAATTTATAGAGACAGAAAGTAGATTAGTGGTTGCCTAGGGCTTGGGGTGGGAACAGGGATTAACTGCAAAGAGGAAATATTTTGCGGTGATGGAAATGTTTTCAAACTGAATTTTTGTGATGGTTGCAGAGCTCTATAAATTTACTAAACATCATTGAATTATATACTTATAATGGGTGAATTTTATAATATATAAACTGTACCTCAATGCAGCTGTTTTTAAAAAAATTTGAGAAGCACTCTTCAAGAACACTCCTGCTCACTTGATACTTAAATGACAGTTTCCATGGAATTTGGTCCTTAACCCTCGTGCTTCTTATTTTTGTCAATTATTCTCAACTTGGGAGTTTGTATGTTCCCTGTGGAACCGTTTCAAAATATAAACACTGAAGAGTACCGCCTCCTTCCTGTAGCTCCCTACACCCCAATTATGATAGGCCCCAGGACAGAAAAGTGGTTAACACACACATTTTGCAAATGTTCCCCCAGACCACTCTGATACAAACCATACTCCCTGGGTGAGTTAATCAAAACCAAGGGGTGCTTAATTGATGGCATCCTAGGTAACTTCCTAGATAACTATTGATCCAATTATATTGGTGCATAACAAGTTTATATCCAAACTTAGTGGCTTGAAATAACAACATTTATTTTTCTCATGCATCTGTAAATTTGGCACAGCTCCATGGGAATAGCTTGTCTCTGTTTCATTGAGCATCAACTAGGTGGCTTGAAGGCTGGGAACTGGAATTATCTGACAGCCATTCATTCTCATGTTGAGTACCTGGGCTGGAAGACTGAAAAAGCCAGATGCAGCAACATCTGGGGCTCCTTATATGTTTCTACCTGTGGTCTCTAAGATGTGGTCTTTCCATGTAGTCTCTCCAACATGGCAGCTTCAGGGTGGCCAGACTTCTCGCATGGTGACTCAGGGTTCCAAAGACACATGTCCGAGAGAGAGAGAAAGCCCAGGTAGAAGCTGCATTGCCTTTTATGAGCTAGCCTTGGAAGTCATGTGGTGTCATTTCTGCTGCATTCTATTGTTTGAAATGGTTGGTTACAAAGCACCTCCCAGGTTCAAGGAGGTGGGAACACAGACACTCACCTCTTGATGGAGAGATCTCAACATCACGTTGTAAGAAGAGCAAGTGGAATGGGATCTATACTGTTTTGAGTATCTTTGAAAAATACAATATTCCATAGCTGTTTCAAACTCTCTTTTCTTTCCTCAGACTTCCAACGATTCCAACTCTATCCTTGCTTTGAGTTCATGATCTTGCTTCCAATCTTACTGGAGAAGCAATCATCCTGTCTCTGCACATTTTTTCTTTCTTCCCTGCAGAAATAGTTGATGGATGACCTTCTCCATGCTCTCAGTTAAGGCCGCTGCCTGTGATATGGTTTGGCTGTGTCCCCACCCAAATCTTATCTTGAATTGTAGCTCCCATAATTCCCATGTGGTGTGGGAGGGAGCTGGTGGGAGATAATTAAATCAAAGGAACAGTTTCCCTCATTTTGTTTTCATGGTGGTGAAAAAGTCTCACAAGATCTGATGGTTTTATAAGAGGAAAGCCCTTTCACTTGGTTCTCATTCTATCTTGCCTGCTGCCATGTAAGACATGCCTTTCACCTTCTGCCATGATTGTGAGGCCTCCCCAGCCATGTGGAACTGAGTCCATTAAACCTCTTTTTCTTTATAAAGTACCCAGTCTTGGGTAAGTATCAGCAGCATGAAAATGGACGAATACAGCCTGCATTTATACACTAGAGTTCACCCCACCCTGCCTCCTATCCCCTCAAGCATATTGCTTCAGCATTCCTCCAGCGCAATCAGATTTTCCTTCTACTGGATCATTCCCTTCCCCATGCTCCCTTCTTCCTTTATTCTCAAAACTCACTTAATCCCATTTTCCCTCTAGTCACTAGCTTCTTTCTCACCTTCCTTTTTTAGTAAAACTCCTTGGTTAAATGTGCTATCTTCAGTGTGCTCCCATTTTCTCTTGAACCCATTCCAGTAAAGTTTGCTCTCTCATTCCACTAAAATCATTCTCTTGAAGGCCATCTGTGATTCCAACTATTATGTTGGAATATTCAGTGATTGCTTCTCAGTCATTGTTTTTGACCCATCAACAGCATTTTGGATTCTAAATTGTTCTCACTTGTTTGAGACATTTTTCTTCACCTGGGTGCTGGACAACAAACTCTCCTAGCTTTTCCTTTGATTTTTCTGGCAGCCCCTTTTTTCCAGTCATTTTCCTTTTTCCTTCTCTTCTTCCTGACCTCTGAAAGTTGGGATGCCCCAGGTCAGTCTGTGGATGCTGAGGTGGTTTTTACTGTGTCATTTAATTAATCTGGGAACTGAGTTTCTCAGAGTCCTCTTTTCTGTATGATTCCAGGCTAGAGTTGGCCAAAAGAGGAACTTGTGTGATATTTGGAAGTTAGAAATAAAGCAGTAGCCATTACTGTACAGGTCATCATAGTCAGATGTAGTTGGTCAGGATAGGCACACAGGTGCCAAGCAGTTTCTAGCATATCCTTGCTCTCCTCTTCTCCAAGTCCAGCTCTTCTCCTCAACTGCTAGCCCTACTGCCAAGAGTGGCCCAGGCCCACCACCAGACACTTGACTGTGGACCACAGAAGCATTAGCTATACCGAGGCTAAAGTTTCCTGTAGACCTATCCATGAGTCCCCCCTTCATAGGTGTTGGACATGTCTGGCTTAGATTGACTGACTCCTTTCCTGATCATCCAACACCACTTCTATACCTTTCCATCCCTAACTCCTTCCACAATTGTGAGGTCTTATTACTATAATAAATCCTTTATCCCATAACATCCGTAGCAATTCTGCTTCCCTAACTAAAGCCTTACTGACACAGTTATTGGTATCAAATGTGGTTCTAGGGGAATAGAATCTTAATACTGGGAATCTGGAATTGGTTCACTGATCTGACTAGATTTACAGGCATGAAAGACCCCATTACCGATGATAAATTGGACACTGGCAACCCATGGCATATAATGCCAAATCTTTATTTAAATGACCATCTGTAGCCATTGCAATCAAGCTCAAAGCAAGGCATTGAGTACCAAATGGCTGCTGCCATATAAGATTTTAGAGCAAATAAAAATGATGAAGAACTTGGTTGCTTCCTAGTATACTGGAGAGCTTGGGTAAAGAAAATAATGAGCTCAGTGCTCAATAGTCCCAGATCAAGGTCCACGTGATGAGCTAGAAAGCTCCTCTAACTCCCCTGAAAGAAACCCTTATCTTCTGTAGGTGCAGGGCTAAGATCCTGAAATCCAAACCCATGGTCTAATTTTGAAGATTGCTGAATTACAGGGCAAAAAGAATTTACACCTGTGAATGTACGAAAAAAATAATTAAATTATACATTTAAAATGGATGAATTGCACAGTGTGTAACTTGTATCTTTAAAAAGGTGTTATCAAAAAATTCACAACCTTGAAGGGTCTTATGTGAAAGTCAGAGCATTGATTGGGACAGAGGGATCCTGAAAATTGGGATAGGGACATATGGGCAGTTTCTGATGAAATAGAGGACCTCGATTTCCAAATTCTGCCAAGGCTTTTTTGTCAATAAAAGCAGTCCTTCCTCTTCTGTCTGCGGAAGTTAGTCTCGCCTGTCTTCAGGACCCATAATAATCTGTTCTGAATGGAGTGACTTGCATGGGACTGCTGATGTCCATTAGGATGTACCTTCATCATAGACCCTGTTCCTTTCCCATTCCAATCACTGATGTAGATGGGACATCCAGTGATGTCTTATCCAATCACATGGTTTTAAGTGCCATCTCTATGCTGAAGATGAAAATTTATAGCTTCAGCTTAGACCTCTCTTTTGAACTTCAGATATATATATTCAATTTCTTTCCTTAAATCTCCATATATTGAATTTCTTTCCTTAAATCTCCACTCAATACCTAATAGGCATCTCAAAACCGATATGTCAAAAATGAGCCCTTTCTATTTTTGCTCCTCTTGCAGTCTTCCCTATCTCAATCAAAGGCAACTCCATGGCTGGCATTCTTGATGTCTTCTCCTTCTCTCACATCCACATTTAAAATTTTATCCCATCTAGCTGTACCTTCACAATATATCCAGAACTTAGCATTTCTCACAGTCACCACTGCCATCATCCTAGTCTCTATCATCTGTCACCTGTGTTGCTGTAATGGCCTCTGAATTGTCCCCTTTTCAGTCTATGTCCAACAGAGTAGCCAGAGTGATTCTGTTAAAATGCAAATGATTCTGTTAATATCACATTATTACTTCACTCAAAACCTTGCAGTGGCTTCCAATTTCCCTTAGAGTGAAAGCTGGAGTCTTTACGATGGTTTGTGGGACCCTGGGTGACCTGTCCCCCCATGCCCCTCCCCATACCTCTGACCTCATCTGTTTCTACTTTTCCCCCTCATTGTTCCAGCCAGCCTCACTGGCTGTTCCAGGGGTTCACTTCACCACAGGGCCTCTACTCAGAATGCCTGTCCCTCACAAGAGCCACATACCTCACTTCTCAGCCACTTTCTCAGTAAGGCCTTCCCTGGGCACCCACTTTACAGTTTAAACTCTTTCCACTCCTGATGTTCCTATTGCCTTTTTTGCCTTATGTTTCTTCCTCATTACTTATCATTTTCCTGCATACTCTATATAGGCAAGAGTTTTTACCTTTTTTCTTTTTCTCTCTACTGTTGTAACCCCAGTACCTGAAACTGTGCCTGGCACATAGTAGTCTCTCAAAGAAATGGCTGAATGAAAGAATGAAAGCATGCAAAGCATTTAACATGGTGTATCATAAGTACTCAGTACAGTGAGCTGTTACTATTTAGCTAATTGTTTTAACCACAAAGTTGGGAGATGTTCTCGGCTTTCTCGCTTTCTCTTTCTTTCTCTCTTCCATTTTCGTATCTAACTACTCATGAAATTCTATAGAATCTACCTGGGGTTAACCTCTCATCATTTCTCACCAGGATTATTGGAACTGGTTCCACACTGACTCCTGTCCTTTTCTCTCCCCTTCTTTTTTTTTTTTTTAAACATTCCTGCTAGAGTTTCAGAATCACAAAGCTGATCATGTCAATCCTCTGCTTAAAATTCCTCAATGGCTCAGCAGACCTGTCAGGATAAAGTTTCTAGTCTTCACTTGGTACACAAATCCTCTCCTGATGCAGCCCTCTGACCCCTTCCTGGCGTCTTTTCCTGAGATTCTTCCTCACACCCTTTGCTCAAACCAAACAGAGCCAACTGAAGTTCCCCAATGACCAATGCCAAGTTATACCTTGGTGTAACTTGGTGAGCCCATAAACACATGGCTTTTGCATATGCAGTCCCTGCTGCCTGCAATGACTTTCCTCTTCCTTTCTCTCTTTTTAAAATCTCACTAATCATACTCATCTTTCACATCTCATTTCAAGCATGACAGACTCCAGAAATTCTTCCTTGACCTCTCAGTTTGATTTAGAGAGCAGTTTTCTCTGTATGTCCCCATAATAACACTTACAATCCTTTAGTGGAATTGATAGTTTACTGTCTGCCTCCCCCATTAGTGAAAACAAACCTGGAGGGTTGCGGGTGGAAGCTTCACACTGTACTTTGCACCTCTGTGCCGAACACAGAAAGGCAGGGGTCAGAAATTTTTGCTGAATTAGTGATGGTTGTATGGTTAAGACTGCCAGCTTCTTACGGCTGCCTTGTTGAGAGGAAGAGAGGCAGGCTGGAAGCTGGGAGGCAAGACATTCATGCGAGGGACATTTAGAGTTGGACTTCTCTGGGGGTGAGTGAGTAACCATTTTAGATAGCATAGGGAAGGGTCAGACACTGAAACAGCAGTAATAGGATAAGCATGCTGCACTTTGTACTCTTGATTTGAAAAAATTTCTGGTGTTTTCTTTGTGCATTGCCTTTTTATTGTCTTTTAATATTTAACATAGTCTAATGGAAAAAGCCCAGCCTGCCTTAGCTGCTCTAAAATAATCCAGCAGAAACAGTTTGGGTCCATGATTGAGTCGGCGTATTAAAGGGGTAGCCACGTCCCTCCTGATGATGGCAGCAAGAGTCTTTCCTGAACAGAAAAGGATGTCTAGTGCTCATCACTTTGCAGGGGGTAAGACTTCCCTGTATGCCTTCACCAAAGGAAAGGTAAGACTTACAGTGCGCATTTCTCCCCTCCTACAGATTATCTTTCCTGAGCGGACACCTCAAATCTTCTGTGCTTTCTTTTGTCAGAGAAGCTTTGCCCATTCACAGATGCTTAATACATGTTTGGAAGAAGAGGCTTTCTGATTGGTTCCAGACATGAAGAGGCATTCTGATTGGTGGGTGCAGAGGTAGAGGTAGGTAGGTAGAGTGGGTGAGGGCAGGAGAGTGCAGATAGAAAGGTGATGGAAAGGCCCAGAAAATTCCTGCTGAGGGCAGAGCACAAAGGCACCACAGATGGTGAGCACATAAACACATGACTTGACTGTGAGGATTTCATTCTTTTGAAAGAACTTGTCATGGGAAAGGGGCAAATATTTAAGCAACAGTTGGAGTGTTGGCAATTACATCTCCCACAGATGAATTTAAGATGGCAAACGGGTGACAGAGGACAATTTGGTTTAGAACAGAGTGTTAAGACTACGGTAATAGAAAGCAATCTGTTCAAGGAGAGGTCTTGGAGGGCATGAAAAATAAAAATAACACCAAGCAAGTGAAATGGATAAATAATGGAGAGAGGCAATAATGGCCACCTTACAGTCGCTGAGAAAACACCAACATTAATAAATCTTGAAAGACACATACAGGATGCTGCAGACAAAGGAGGGGACTCTCACGACAGCGGGTGAAGAGGTTGGGAAAGTGGTACAACTAACAAAAACTAACATTTGACAGAAAAAACCGACAGGTACTAGTCTGCCATTTGTTTTATGTGGCTATAGAGGCTGTCTATGTAGTTTCCTTCCTTTAAAAATGTCAGCCATTATAAATATTCATCATCACGTAGCTAGGAGAGAGTGATTTTAAACTCATAAAATTTTAGTGCTGGGGTTTAGAGGTCAGCTCTTCCAACTGCCGTCCTTTACAGATGAGGGCACTGAGGTCCAGGGAGAGGATGTGATTTGTGCAGGATCACACTCCCAGGCAATGCACTTGACTTCCTTCTAGTGTTCTTTCCATGACATGAGGAGTTTCCAGCTTTTGAAAGTAAGAAGATGCCCTTTTTAATGTCAAATGTTGAACACCCTCACCTGCGTCTTAAGTATCCTGCATTGTATTCATCACAATAGCCCCACAGACATTTGAAAATGCATAGTACACCTATGAGTGACATGTGATAGTTTCTGTCTCTGGGCAGCCTGGTGCTAAAATAGACTATGACCCTGGCACCTTCCAGGTTGGCAACAGGGTCCTGCAGCAGGAGGCGTTGGCTTTTTTTAAACTAAGAATGGAAATAAATAATTCCATTCTCTTAAGAACAAAGAAGGTATCAAATGAAATCAAGTACCTTCGTTTGGAAAGGTTTCATAGGACTTTGGGTAATTTCAGACTACAGAAGAGGGTCCTATTCTTTGGTCTTGTCAGGACCCTTGGGAGGGGTTCTGTCAGCCAGCAGATTGAAAATAAAGCCGAGTGGAGGGTCAAGGCTGCTTTTCTATCTACATAGTTGGAAGGAAATTCACTTGGAAATGGGGTGGGGGAGACTCAAAGTGTGTCACAACTCAATCCAGAGAATTGGAGAAGGGTTGGAGACAGGGGTTGGAGGGGGTGTGGGTGAGGCTGTAGCAGCCCCCAACCAGGAAACCACTGAGCCCAGGGACCCTGCAGGTCACCCAGGTGGGGACACTCAGAGTAAGCTACCACTTATTGAGCACCTAGTATGTGCTGGTCACTCTGCCAGATGCGTCATATGCACCTTTTCATTTAATCTTGATAATAGCACTTCAAGGTAGAGGCTCTTACTATCCCCATGTACAGTTGAGGAAAGAAAAGCTTAGAGGGACTTTGAAACCTGTCTAAAGATCTCAGGGCTGGAACTGGAACCCAGGCAGATTCTAAAGCACCTGTTCCTAGCCACAACCGTGGCAAACAAGAGTATAGCAGGTCGTTGTTTGGCTCAATTGAGAAAAATCCATGTAAAGTGCTTAACATTGTGTCTAGGTATGTAAAAGAGGCTCATTACATGGTGATGCTGATTATCTGTATTTTCAACATCATTACTTTGGAAGCATAAATCATGTAAGAGATTAAAAATACTAAAGAGTTGTAAGAAAATTAAAGTGTGAAATCTCCTAGGATGAGGTTTAATTTAAAAAAAAAAAGGATTTGTGTCACTGGTTTAGGGATGGAAACCTCCTCCCACCTCAGTGTGGTGACTGTGAGCCCAGAGGTGTGGCCAGGGTACAGAGTTTCAATGTGGACATTGGTACCTGCCAGGGTGATTAGGTTGCTTCCACCAGGGCTATAATAATTGTCAGCAATGCAAGGGGCAATGTAGGGTGGGAGACAGGCAGAATGTGGTGTGGGCCATATGGAGAAGGGTACAAACTAGGGGAGGGGAGCCCCTGGGATTTGGAGGGTGAGGTTCTGAGACAAGATTATTTCATCACCATTTACTCTTATATATTATTAGCCATCTCCTTGTATGCAGGGTGTGAAGGGGACATCTGCCAGCAAGCGACATCATAATGGAAAAGAGAGATGTGGCCAGAGTCCAGAAAAGTTGAGCTTCAGTGATAGGGTTTGAATACAAGCTAAATTTAGGTAATCCGCTTACTAAATCAGGACTGGCTCTTTGAAATGTTACTCAAAATCTCTGTTTTAAAAAACATGGGGCACTTCAAAAGTAGTTCTGCCACGGTATGTAAAAAAGAGGTCATGGTTTGTAGCTTAAAATTTCAAATATTGTAAGTTTCACTTCAGAGAATTAAGATAGTATATATGCAGCAAAAATGACTTTTCTTAACATTTCAAGCAGAGCCTTAGAAACCTCCCACCCAAATGAATTCATTCATTCTCTAGGGGAAAAATTTCTTTTGCAAAGGACAGTTTAATCCATGAAACTGGCTGTTACGGTCCCTGTTAGGGGACAAGATTTTCTACTTAATTTGACTATATGATTGAATATGTTTTGCAGCATTTTGCAAATTTCTCTGTAGAAGTTTTCATTTTTTTCCTTTTGTTAACTGAAAATGAGGAGGTATACATGAGAACATCATGAAAGAAAATGCATTGTTTTCAGTAATTGGTTAATTTGAGGAGGCTCAGATGGTATGTTTTCCTGAAAACTGCTAAAAAATGAGACTGATCCATCCTGAAAAGCCTGTCGAGGTGGAAAACCTCATCAGTTTGAAGGCCTCTTTGGTGCACTGTGTTTAGAGTTTATGGTGAGAAGGAGGAAATACATTAACACGTCGGTGTTTTCAGGTGATATCAACACCAGCTGTCTAGAGAATGACGAGACTCAGTGTGCCGTATGAAGAGACCAGTCCTCTGATGACAGGACTCCCAAGCAGAAATGTATCATAATAAGGACAAATGGGTGTGAGTCACATAAATGGTCTGGGACAGGTGCTCCATGATAAAAAGGGCCATTGCAAATCCTGACCAGGAAGGGAGACTCATAAGGACAGAAAATGTGTCTAATCCTAACATATGATACCAGTGAGGGGAAACTGGCCTGAGGAGTTTGCTGTGGAAAAGACTGTGTGTATTTCTCTCATAACCCAAGATTCTCAAACTTTGGCAGTCTGGGGTCTACTTTGCAGAACAATGGATTCTCCCATGACCTCAGCCTGAGGGCTACTGTAGACATCAAGGCAGCCTCTGTGTTGCCTAGGAGATAGTGCCCCATACAACAAGCCCCATCCCTGCAAGCAGCTCCAGCAAGAAACTCCAGGCCTCTTGAAGAATCCTGAAAGACACTGGGGATCACTTGTATGATTAATTTTATATGTCAACTTGATTGGGCCACGGCGTGCCTAGATATTTGGTCAAATATACTTCTGGGTATTTCTATGAAATTGCTTTTGGATGAGATTAACATTTAAATAGGTAGTTAAGTAAAGCAGTTTGCCCTCCCTAATGTGGGTGGGCCTCATCCAATCAGTTGAAGGCCCGAATAGAAGAACAAAAAGGCTGACCCTCTTCCCAAAAAAATGAGAGAATGGTTCTTGCCTGACTGCCTTTTAATGGAGACATTGGCTTTCCTCTGCCTTTGGACTAAAATGGAAGCACTGGCTCTTCCTGGGTCTTGAGCCTCTTGTCTTTAGACTGGAACAACAACCAACAGTTTTCCTGGGTCTCCAGCTTGCTGACTCACCCTGCAGATCAGGAGTTGCTAGCCTCCATAACTATGTGAGCCAATTTTTTATAATCCACATCTTTCTGTATAGTATGTACAGGTGCATCATACTGGTTCTGTTTCTCTGGAGAACCCTAACTAATATACTCTCCAGCATCCAGTTCCTTTCTCTGGTTTTGGGAGTTTCTCAGTGTGTATCATCCTGGTGGGAGACAATGTCTCATTTCCTCCTATAGAAACCCAAGGGTCAGGTGGTCTTTCTCCCCACACCCTGGCTGCAGGGTGCAGGCACATGACCTGCACTGGGCCAGTCAGATGTCCCTGTCTGGGACTTTGAACCTGGAGGGGGCGAACCAAGAGAAAGAGGCAATTAGAGTTCACTTCAGGAGCAGCAGAGAGTGACTGCCAAAGGATGGCTGCCTTGGCTTTCTGGACATGAGTAAACTCTTGTCATTTTCTGTGCCTGGTTCTCCCAATACCAGTGGATTCTGAAAGTTGCTTTTATCCTTCCAGTAAATGCCCTTTTCTACTGATGATTGCAGGTTAGTCTCATGCTTGCAGCCAATAATCTTGACTTGTACAGATGTGAGACCTGTCTTTAAGGTTGGACCCTGGAGCCAGGAGAGCTCTTATTTCTGTCTGTGTCAAGTGTTAGAATTATACACAGACGCCACAGACCGTAATTGAACCAGTGAGTCATGGGAGGGGTGCTCATCACCAAAGCCAAAGGTAATAAGAACATCAACAACAGCAACCAAGAGCCTTTCTTATGTGAGTGCTTTGCTGTTTCTCTTGCATTATTCCATCTGATTATGATGACCTTCTGTGGTTGGTAGCCCCATTTTGTAAATGATGGAACAGAAAGATTAAGGAATCTGCCTCAGTTCATATTGTCCTAAGTGGCAGTTGCAATTCAAACTCAGAACTATCTGAGTCTATAGTCTGTGGTACAAAAGTGTAACTAGGTGGCAGGTGCAGAGAAACTGCTGAGTCCAGTTTGGAAAGATTGGAGGAGCATACAGAGGCAGGAGGTAGAGAATCAGGCAAGAAGCACAAGGGCCAGGCATGCTCATAAGGGCCATCTAAGAGTCTGCTCTGGTGTTTCTCGACCACTGCATTCAGGTAACAGAATCCACCCTCACTAGTTTAAACAGAAAGGGATTTGTTACAGGGTATTATTTAGTTTAGAGTTTCCAGAAGAGGCTCCAATCATGCTTGGATGCTACCCATTCAGGATTTATGCATCCAGGGAAAAAGACCAAGGAGAATTCCAGAATGGTCTAGAGGAAGCCCACTGGTGCCATGACTGGCCATCCAGCACTGATGATGCTAGGAACAGAACCATCATCCCCACTGCTCCAGAAAAGTCAAATGCTTCTGCTACTGCACTTGCTGAAAGATCCAACCTCCCTGCACATGAACACTGACAACATTGCTCACCTTTGCCTTTCAAGCCTCATGTTGGTGTCTTTGCGTGGTGGACCTGTGTCACATATGGAACAGTAGCTGCAAAGAATCTGGAAATGTAATTTTTAGCTTTTCAGCCTCTTTAGTTCAGGAAGGCTGTTTAGAAGCAGGTTGAAGTAGATGTTGAATGCCTGACTCAATGGCATTATCATCTTTTAACCCTATTGCCCTCATATCCATGTATGGTGGAAAATGTGTTTGAGGTCCCTATACTCCAAGTTGGTATCACACAACTTCACATTTAGAAGGGGTCTCAGAAATCACCTAGGTAGGTCAGAATTTTTCAAACTGGTTTGCAGGTCATGGAAGTTCCTTGAGGGGAATTAGAGACTGCCACAGTCATCAAGGAGAAAGGTTGGGGAGAAGAGCAAACACACAAGATTTTATAACAGCTCAGCTTTAATGAGTTTTAGGTTATGTGCTTAAAAAATAGTACCAAGCCACTGGCTAATCTAAGTTCTTCATTTTTACTGATGAGAAAATGAGGGCTAAGAGATGCAAATACCTTATCCAAGATCACAGAACTAATGAATAGTAAGGCTGAGACCAAAACAGGGTCTCCTGATCCTAGACTGGTGCTCCTTCCTCAACTGCACTGTGATATCTGAAGCTGTGTTCATTTGAAATTGCCCAGGATGCAGGATTTTCTGGATCCAGCACAGGCGGTGATAATCACCTGATTTCAGTATAAACACCAATGCCCCAGAGAAGTCTGCCTTGACCCAGGCCAAACCAGGTCTTGCTGTCATATCCTCTCTTGGAGCCTATACTTTCCCTTGAAGCACTCAACACAATTTTAATGAATAATTTAATCTTTATATTGCTTCATAGCTGTCTTTCTTGCTAGAATGTAGCTCCATGGAGCAAGGATTTTGTTGGTCTTGTTCAATGCTATATCCTCAGAATGTGGCAGTTTCCAATGGATGTCCAAACTCCAAAAGGGAGTGGAAGTCAGGGTAGGTAGGTCTAACCCTGCCTCCAGCTTCACTGAAGGGAGGGAGCAGTGACATAGAGTGAATAAGAACTATGGACTGAGTTCAGCCCTGGTCTGGGGCTCTATTTCCTTATCTGTTAAGTGGAGCCAATTATTTCATTCTCATATCACTGTTGTGAGGAAGAAAGGAGAGGAAGACTAAAAGTTGGGCCTGAACTTGGACACAAATTTTCCATGCCAGTCAAACTATGGGAGAAATTATAATCTCTGCCTAGGTGTTCTGAAGCCAATGGAAAGAAAGCCAAGAATGTGAGGACTGAGGCTCTTCCTGAGATCCTTGGACCTTAGCTCCTTGTTTTTACAGGACCTTCATTTCTATACTCTGGCCAAAAAATATAAATGTAAATTGTAGGAAAACATAGAAAATACAGACAATCACAAAGAAGAAAATTCAAAACCACCTCATGACCCAATGTCAATATTTTGGTGTGCAGCATCTAAGCCTTTTTTATATTTAAATTTATATGTCATCATTTATACTGCTTGTAACCTGCATGTTTCCATTAACAACATTTTGCGCACATTTTCGTATCTTAAATGTTGTTATATAATATGATTTTGCTACACTTTTTCTTTGAATTTTAATTTGTGATCTTTTTGCTTTTCTAATGGAAGCATTTAGTGCTATGAATTTTCCTCTCAGCCATGCCTTAGATGCATCCCACAAATTTTGATACTTTGTATTTTCACTTTCATTCAGTTCTATGCATTTTGATTTCCTTTTTTGAGATCTTTTAATTTTGATATCTGTTTTTTAAAATTGTAAGTTTAGTTTATTCATATGGCAAAACAATTCAAACAGTATAAAAGGGTGTTCAATAAAAAGAAAGTCTGTCTCTGACCCGATACCCCAGTTCTATTCAAGAAGTAGAATTTCACCAGGGTAACTATAGTGAATGGTAATTTTGTGTACCTGATAGAAATCTTCCAGTTATGTGCATGTATGTGGTGTGTGTGTGTGTGTGTGTGTGTGTGTGTGTGTGTACATGTGTGTTTGTATCTGTATGTGTTGATGTGTCTGGTGTTTTATCTTTTTACTGGACAAAAAGGAGCACACAAAACTCACTGTTCATTTTAGATATGTAGAATATTTATTACAAAAATTTTTTTATATCCCCCTCCCTGTTTTCATACTCCTTGAAACATCACTTTGAAGCTCTTTTCAACAAGAGAGGGAGAATATTCCGCTATCCCTTGAATCTGGGTTTGCTTTGGCCAACAGAATGCAGCAAGAGTGATGGTGTGCCAGTTTGGACTCTAAGCATCAAGAAGTTTTGCATGCTTCTACTCTCTTTTGGAATTCTACCACTGCCAAGTGAATAAGCCTAGGCTAGTTTGTTAGGATATGAAAGTCTTTATGGAAGCCAAGTGTCACAGCCAAAAAAAATTCTAAACTAGCCTACCCCAGATGACCACCAAACACATAAGAAAACCTACCCAAGATCAGCTGAGCTGCCTACCCAACCCACAGCTGCTTAGAGAGTCAGGAGGAAGGTCAATCAAGCAATAAAAAAAGTTTATTGCTGTAAGCCACTGATTTTTAGAGCAGTGTGTTATACAGTAATGGCTAACTGATACATTTTCATACCAGTATATTAAATAAATTAGCATGTATAAAATACTTAGAACAATGCCTAGAACATCTTTCAAGAATGTTAGGTATAATTATTATAACATACAAACAATGCCTTCGAGTATTCCATTGTATGGTTAACCACAATTTATTCAACTTATCTTTATTTGTTGAACATTTATATTGTTTTCATTTTTTCCTACTATAAAGAATGCTGCAGTTATCCCAGTATATACATTTTTGTCTGTCAATGGGAAAAATTCTTAATAATGTAATTGCTGGGCCAAAGTAAGCATTTTAAACAAGGATCGATAATACCAACTCACTTTGCAAAGCAGTTATTAAATTTATTCCCATCAATAGTGTGTGAAATGACATTTCTCTTCACCATCACCAGACCCAAGATTATTTTAATGGCTCCATAATGGTCTATCATAATAGATGCCAACATTTATTTGACCAGTCCTCATTATTGAACACTTTTCTTTTCTTCCCCTATTATAAACAAGACTGTCATTAACATCCCTGTAGATAAATCTTTTCACCCATTCATGATTATTTCCTAAGAGTAAATTCCTAGAAGTAGAAGTTCTGAGTCACAGGATTTGCACATTTTAAAGACTTTTGAATATATAATACTAAATTATTCCCCAGAAAAATTATACCAGATTATATTCATATGCAACCTTTTAAAACTTTTATTTATGGGAAATTTCAAAAATATGCAAAAGAACAGAGAATATAATAATGGCTCCCCACATGCAGCCATCACTCAGATTCAATAATGATTAACTTATGGCCAATCTGTTTCATCTACAACTCTCCCATCTGGCTAGATTATTTTGAATCAGATCCAAAGCGGGCATTTTTAATATACTTTTAGTTGAATAGCTGAGCATTCAAAAGACAAATGAGAGGCTCCCTTTGAGGGGGCCATGGTGAGAATCTCTTGGAATCTCATGTGATCCCACTCCAAGGTCCTAGGCCAGGAGAAGGCCTTGCTGAGGTGCCCAGGGCCCCCTGGGTAGCTCTGGTGCATTGTGTTCATTCCCTGCTTCATTGGAGCCAATGATTCTTCAGGAAAAGATTAATCCATCCCACTTCTGAGGGTTTTCAGGGCTTTTTCTGTGTCTCTGTATTCCCCAGCTGCATGCCGTTGATCATCTAAATGAAGCAGAGGTAGATAATGTAATCCATCCATGGCTCATGTAAGTGCAAATATTGTGATTTGTGTTTACAGTGATTGCTGCTGAGTGGGAGGCTCTTCTTTGGCTTCTGTGGAAATTTTCTAGACTGATTGAATTTTGTCATATAGTTGGTCACATTGCATGAACAATGAGTTGGCGCAACCTTAGAGCAGAAATACAAGTAATTTCCTTTAATGAGAAAGTACAGTAATGGTTCAGTCTCTTTCTAGCTCTTCAGGGCATATTACTAGGACTGCACCAGGAAACAAACTGCACAATAGTTGAGGTGTTGTACTTAGGGGAAAGAAAGAGGTAACTTGAAGACCTAAGGCAATTTGCAGATAAAAGAGCAGGAAGAGGTCTGTCTTCTAGACCAGAATAGTAAGTGGCGGGATGAGTACTCAAAGTTGATTTCAAAATGTCAGATTCAAAACACCCTCAAGAGTTCACTGCAGTTATTCCCAAGATACTGTATTAGTTCCAGAGGTCATCCAGCCTTGCTTTAAATAAGCCACATGATGATGCTTGTGTCATCAGAGTGCAAAGGAAAGGCCACAGGCTTTGAGACTAACAGGACTGGGTTTCAACTGCAGCTCCATCATCTACAAGCTGAGAATCTTGGGGCAAGTTGCTAGTTCATTTGTTCACTCATTCACTCACTCAACAAAAATGTTTTGAGCACCTGCTGTGTGCCAGATCTTGTGCCTGGCACTAAGGACTCAATGGTAAGCAAGATGTTGTTTCTAGCCTGGCGCGGTGGCTCAGGCCTGTAATCCCGGCACTTTGGAGGCCAAGGTGGGTTAATCACGAGGTCAAGAGATGGAGGCCATTCTGGCCAACATGGTGAAACGCCATCCCTACTAAAAATACATAAATTAGCTGGGCGTGGTGGTGCACATCTGTAGTCCCAGCTATTTGGGAGACTGAGGCAGGAGGATCGCTTCAACCTGGGAGGCCGAGGTTGCAGTGAGCAGAGATCGCACCACTGCACTCCAGCCTGGCAGCAGAGCGAGACTACATCTCAAAAAAAAAAAAAAAAAAAAAAAGATGCTATTTCTGTCCTTAAGGAGTTTACAGTCCAGTGGGGGACAGTGTGATGCTGTGAAAAGGGTAGGAGCAGAGTGATGAGGGACACATAAGAAAGAGGCATCTCAGCTGAAATCAGAGTCAGCAGGAGTCAGCCAACCATTGTGAGGGTTGGATCAACCCTTGGGGTGAAGGGAGGATCAACATTTGTGAGTAAGAGGATTCCAGACAGAGGGAACAGTCTTCAAAGATTTGGATAAAGAAATAAAAAGCACACTCTGGGCTTAAAGTTGTTGAGTGCATGGATCACAGCACGCCAGGACTGAAGTGACAGGGTGACTCATTCACGAGGGAGCAGAGCTAGATCATGAGGGGACATCCCATGACAGATCCAGGACAACTTGGGAAGCTGTAAAGTTTCGAGCCTGGTGGTAACAGGATCAGGTGGCTGAGAATTTCGGCTGCAATCCAGAGTGGATGGGAGGAAGCAGTTGTGGCAGTGAAGTGGTCTGAGCCAGTGCAGTGGCGGGGAGGAGGTGAGCTGTGGATGGAGCCAAGTGCCGTTTCACAGGAAAATGACTGGATGTGGTGACCATGGGATATGGTAGGTGAAGAAAGAAGGACCCAGGACTGTCACGGGGGTGGGGAAGATGGGGTGTTAGTGCTGAGCTTGAGGCTGAAGAGGTTCGGTGGGCAATTGTGTAAATGTATTTGGGGCTCAGAAGGATGACAGTGTTTGATCGTGAGTCGCTGACACACGCAGGGTCACTGAAGCCACATGAGTAGAGGTGACCACTAGGGAGAGCACCTAGTTAGCAAAGAGATAAAATTTCTTTATCAGTGAAACAGCTAAGGTCAGAGATTCAAAGAATAAGTGAGCTATCATACGTAAAGTGCCTAGGAGGGTACCTGGCCTACAGCTGGGTGGCAGTCAATGGCAGGGCCCTTCTCTTCAGCTCCCTGTGGTGCAATGGGGCAGCTCTGTCCCACATCCAGTGCCATTTTCAGACTCTTGCCTGATCTCACTGTTCTTGTCTGCCTCTCTCTTTGATTTAATAATGTTAGAGGAGCCCCTGCTTACCAGGCCTCTGATTTAATAAAATATGACCAGAGTGATTCCATCTTAAATTGAGTAACTAGGCACTCACACAGCACCTATAAGGTTAATACTTATGGTTTGAAAATAGCCACATTCTAAGCTGGCCACCACTTATAAGTGCAGAATATTTGTGGCCATACAGAACATCTTTCACCAAGCCCACAGAACATCCAGATGTTCTGAGTGCCCCCCACTTGACTTAAAGATAATGTTAATGAGCAGGCTTAGGTTGAAAGATGAGTGGTCACTGATAGCACCAATAGCCCCTACCTTTAATGCATACATCTGCACATTTCAAGCTTAATTATAGCTCCTTATAGTTTCTTAAAAGTAGCGACCCTAACAAAGGAAGGACACGAGTTCCTCCTCCTGCTTTCCAAGGACTCTCTACTCCATAATGGAGTAGTTTCCAATAATCTTGCTTCTTTCACTGTGCTCCCAAGCCCTGTGACTCGGCCTGAGTTCTTTCCTGCACAAGATTCAAGAACTCTATCTTGGGGTCTGGATTGGGACCCCTTTTTATGGCAACAATACCACCTGTGAAAATCTAAGCTTGTCCTCTCTTCTTACCTATGTCCCAGAAAATGAAAATGGGCTGCTTAAAATGCAAGCCCTGACCCAAATCCCGTAGTGTTTAGAAATAAATTCCCAACCAAGCAGGACTCGACTCAGAGACGGTGGCTGCCTGCTGCTCCAGGGATGAATCTTAAAGCCACGGTTTGCTTCATGATACATAGGAGAGAAATCTGGTCAGGAAACTCTAGAAAATCTTTTCTCAGCCATCTGTCTTCCCCTGAATGGCAGCCAGAGATGGCTCCCCAAGTCGTGTGCGGCAGCTCAGTTGGAAAGGGGCCGGGGCTGGGGTGCCAGGGCAGGGTGCTAGTGCTCTGTGTTTGGTGAAGGCACCGGCTGGCAGGTTACGCCCCGGAACAGTCAGTCAGCAGTACCAGATTATCCAAGGATGGGAAAATTAGCTTCTGAAGCCTTCCCAGATATCTTATTATTGAAATTGACTTTTCATCCGATGAGATGTAGTTGTGTTGAATCGACAGCCAAGCCCTGACTCCAGGTAGTGGCAGACTCTATGATGCTATTTTTTCAACTTAGTACTAGTTTGAGAGAAAATGTGAACTGGATACCTAGAATAGACTCTTCGCCAAGGGCTGCAGGAGTCTCAGAGAGATTCTATTATGCCCAGTTGCCCTGAGGGTCTCAGAGCAGGAGTTAACTACTCTTCCTTAGAGTCTGTTGAAAGTGGGCTGACCCAGCGAAAAGCCTGAATCAATGAACTGTGCTTTCAAGCAGGTAAAAGGAACGAAAAGAAGAAAGGTGATGCTCTCCAGGAGAGGCAAAATGTTTGTATTATAAATAAATACTTTCTTATAAAGAAGAAAGCTTTGTGGCTTCGTCCTCTCCACTCTCCCCTCCCCGCCATTCAGACTGCAGCATTGCTGACTCTGTGCTCTTCTTGGTATATACCTGCCATTGATTTAGAGCCACAGGGAGAAGGCAGATGTCCTTGATTTATCTAACTGGACTGGTTTTCATTTATGTGCCTCAGGGGCAATTTTGGCTGAACTGCAACCCGGTTATTGGAAGTGTTCTTGTCCCCTTCCTCTGTCTCTATTTATATGCACGACACTTAAGCTTTGTAATTGGGAGAAGAAGAAAGAAGGGGTTTCATGGATCTCTTCTCCACTGTCTGTCCTTGGCCTGGGTTTCATCTCTACAGGGATAAGGATCAGAATTGGATGGAATTATTTTCATGGCAGACTTGGTGAGATTCTGGGCACAAGCTGGGATGCTTTAGGACCCAGGTGACAAAGTGCGGCCTCGGAGTAGGGAAAGGCCATTCTCCTCCCTCCGTACAGAACTCAGGATTGGTGGCCTTTGAAGGCGTTTTCAAGCTGCTTAACGGGTGAGTGGAAGCCAGAGGAAGAGGCACCTCAGGGCAGCCCCCTGTGGTTGGTGCTGCTGGAAGCCTGGCCTGTGCCCAACGTGAAGCTTTCCTGGGGCAGTTCCCAGAATTTACTAGGGGCCCCTTGAGGGGCTCAGTTCTGGTTGGGGAAGGGAGGGCTTGCTCAGAGTCATTGCAATTGGGATATCAACATAATCATGACCTTGTTTTATGTCCCCAAACTGAGAGGCCACGGGACCCAGGATACTTTGTAGGGAGAGTGCTGGCATCTCATCTTCTGGCCACCTCTCTGGCTTCAGTTGAACTAAGTGGCAACTTTGAAGGACCTGCCCTGGAAGAGTAAGAGACATTTCCTTAAGTCACTCAAATGAGAGATTTCTCATCCAAGCACAGCCCTGCTGCTTGTGTGGGAGGTCTCATTGTGTGGGCAGGGGGTCATTGCAGAGAGGCTGGTATTGGGGGTGGAGTTAGTCTGGGGAAGAAGGAAAGAAGGAGGGAAGAAGAAATGGTCTTAGGTGGTTAATTCAGTCTATAGCTGTTGCCACTGATAGAGTTTCATTTTTTTCGTTTTATTAAATTATACTTTTTTTTTTTTTGAGACAGTCTTGCCCCGTCGCCCAGGCTGGAGTGCAGTGGCATGATCTTGGCTCACTGCAAGCTCCTCCTCCCGGGTTCACGCCATTCTCCTGCCTCAGCCTCCTGAGTAGCTGGGACTATAGGCACCCGCCACCACGCCTGGATAATTTTTTTGTATTTTTAATAGAGACGGGGTTTCACCGTGTTAGCCAGGATGGTTTTCCTCTCCTGACCTCGTGATCCACCTGCCTCGGCCTCCCAAAGTGCTGGGATTACAGGCTTGAGCCTGGGATACATGTGCAGAACGTGCAGATATGTTTGCAGAACGTATTACATAGGTATACACGTGCCATGATGGTTTTCTGCACCCATCAACCCATCATCTACATTAAGTATTTCTCCTAATGCTATCCCTCCCCTAGCCCCCCCATCCCCTAACAGGCCCCCGTGTGTGATGTTCCCCTCCCTGTGTCCATGTTCTCATTGTTCAACTCTCACTTATGAGTGAGAACATGCAGTGTTTGGTTTTCTGTTCCTGTGTTAGTTTGCTGAGAATGATGGTTTCCAGCTTCATCCATGTTCCTGCAAGACATGAACTCATCCTCTTTTTATGGCTGCATGGTATTCCATGGTGTATATACGCCACATTTTCTTTATCCAGTCTATCATTAATGGGCATTTGGGTTGGTTCCAAGTCTTTGCTATTGTGAATAGTGCTGCAATAAACATATGTGTGCATGTGTCTTTATAGTAAAATGATTTATAATCCTTTGGGTATAAACCCAGTAATGGGATTGCTGGGTCAAATGGTATTTCTGGTTCTAGATCCTTGAGGAATCGCCACATTGTCTTCCACAATGGTTGAACTAATTTACACTCTCACCAACAGTGTAAAAGCATTCCTATTTCTCCACATCCTCTCCAGCATTTGCTGTTTCATGACTTCTTAATGACAGCTATTCTAACTGGCGTTGAGATGGTATCTCACTGTGATTTTGCTTTGCATTTCTCTGATGACCAATGATGATGAGCTTTTTTTCATATGTTTGTTGGCCACATAAATGTCTTCTTTTGAGAAGTGTCTGTTCATATCCTTTGCCCACTTTTCGATGGGGTTGTTTTTTTTCTTGTAAATTTAAGTTTCTTATAGATTCTGGATATTAGCCCTTTGTCAGATAGATAGATTGCACAAATTTTCTTCCATTCTGTAGGTTGCGTGTTCACTCTGATGGTAGTTTCTTTTGCTGTGCAGAAGCTCTTTAGTTTAATTAGATCCCATTTGTCAATTTTGGCCTTTGTTGCCATTGCTTTTGGTGTTTTAGTCATGAAGTCTTTGCCCATGCCTATGTCCTGAATGGTATTGCTTAGGTTTTCTTCTATGGTTTCTATGGTTTTAGGTTTTACCTTTAAGTCTTTAATCCATCTTGAGTCAATTTTTGTAGAAGTTGTAAGGAAGGGGTCCAATTTCAGTTTTCTGCATATGGCTAGCCAGTTTTCCCAACACCATTTATTAAATAGGGAATCATTTCCCCATTGCTTCTTTTTGTCAGGTTTATCAAAGATCAGATGGTTGTAGATGTGCGGCATTATTTCCGAGGCCTCTGTCCTGTTCCATTGGTCTATATATCTGTTTTGGTGCCAGTACCATGCTGTTTTGGTTACTGTAGCCTTATAGTACAGTTTGAAGTCAGGTAGCCTGATGCCTCCAGCTTTGTTCTTCTTGCTTAGGATTGTCTTGGCAATGCAGGCTCGTTTTTGGTTCCATATGAAATTTAAAGTAGTTTTATCTAATTCTGTGAAGAAAGTCAGTGGTAGCTTGATGGGGATAGCATTGAATCTATAAATTACTTTGGACAGTATGGCCATTTTCATGATATTGATTCTTTTTATCCATGAGCATGGAAAGTTCTTCTTTTGTTTGTGTCCTCTCTTATTTCCTTGAGCAGTGGTTTGTAGTTCTCGTGAAGAGGTCCTTCACATCCCTTGTAAGTTGTATTCCTGGGTATTTTATTCTCTTTGTAGTAATTGTGAATGGGAGTTCATTCATGATTTGGCTCTCTGTTTGTCTATTATTGATGTATAGGAATGCTTGAGATTTTTGCACATTGATTTTGTATCCTGAGACTTTGCTGAAGTTGCTTATCAGCTTCAGGAGATTTTGGGCTGAGACGAGGGGGTTTTCTAAATATACAATCATGTCATCTCTGAACAGAGACAATTCAACTTCCTCTCTCCCTACTTGAATACTCTTTTTCTTGCCTGATTGCCCTGGCCAGAACTTCCAATACTATGTTGAATAGGAGTGGTGAGAGAGGGCATCCCTGTCTTGTGCCAGTTTTCAAAGGGAATGCTTCCGGCTTTTGCCCATTCAGTATGATATTGGCTGTAGGTTTGTCATAAATAACTCTTAATATTTTGAGATACATTCCATCAATACCTAGTTTATTGAGAGTTTTTAGCATGAAAGGGTGTGGAATTTTATTGAAGGCCTTGTCTGCATCTATAGAGATAATCATATGGTTTTTGTCATTGGTTCTGTTTATGTGATGGATTATGTTTATTGATTTGTGTATGTTGAACCAGCCTTGCGTCCCAGGGATGAAACTAACTTGATCGTGGTGGATAAGCTTTTTGATGTCCTGCTGGATTTGGTTTGCCAATATTTTATTGAGGATTTTTGCATTGATGTTCATCAGGGATATTGGCCTGAAATTTTCTTTTTTTGTTGTGTCTCTGCCATGTTTTGGTATCAGGATGATGCTGGCCTCATAAAAGTGAGTTAGGGAGGAGACCCTCTTTTTCTGTTGTTTGAAATCGTTTCAGAAGGAATGGTACCAGCTCTTCTTTGTACTTCTGGTAGAATTCGGCTGTGAATCCATCTGATCCTGGGCTTTTTTTTGGTTGGTAGGCTATTAATTACTGCCTCAATTTCAGAACTTGTTATTGATCTATTCAGGGATTCGACTTTTTCCTGGTTTAGTCTTGGGAGGGTGTATGTGTCCAGGAATTTATCCATTTCTTCTAGATTTTCTAGAAGAGTAATTTTACTCTTGCGTAGAGGTGTTTATAGTATTCTCTGATGGTAGTTTGTATTTCTGTGGGATCAGTGATGATATCCCCTTTATCATTTTTTATTATGTCTATTTGATTCTTCTTTGTTTTCTTCTTTATTAGTCTGGCAAGTGGTCTATCTATTTTGTTGATCTTTTCAAAAAACCAGCTCCCGGATTCAATGATTTTTTTAAAGGGTTTTTTGTGTTTCTGTCTCCTTCAGTTCTGCTTTGATCTTAGTTATTTCTTGTCTTCTGCTAGCTTTTGAATTTATTTGCTCTTGCTTCTCTAGTTCTTTTAATTGTGATGTTAGGGTGTTGATTTTAGATCTTTCCCACTTTCTCCTGTGGGCATTTAGTGCTATAAATTTCCCTCTAAACACTGCTTTAGCTGTGTCCCAGAGATTCTGGTACATTGTGTCTTTGTTCTCATTGGTTTCAAAGAACTTATTTATTTCTTCCTTAATTTCATTATTTACCCAGTAGTCATTCAGGAGCAGGTTGTTCAGTTTCCATGTAGTTGTGCGGTTTTAAGTGAGTTTCTTAATCCTGAGTTCTAATTTGATTGCACTGTGGTCTGAGAGACTGTTTGTTATGATTTCTGTTCTTTCGCATTTGCTGAGGAGTGTTTTACTTCCAATTACGTGGTCAATCTTAGAATAAGTGCAGTGTGGTGCTGAGAAGAATGTATATTCTGTTGATTTGGGGTGGAGAGTTCTGTAGATGTCTATTAGGTCTGCTTGGTCCAGAGCTGAGTTCAAGTCCTGAATATCCTTGTTAATTTTCTGTCTCTTTGATCTGTCTAATATTGACAGTGGGGTGTTAAAGTCTCCCATTATTATTGTGTGGGGGTCTAAGTCTCTTTGTAGGTCTCTAAGAACTTGCTTTATGAATCTGGGTGCTCTGTATTGGGTACGTATATATTTAGGATAGTTAGCTCTTCTTGTTGGATTGATCCCTTTACCATTATGTGATGCCCTTCTTTGTCTTTTTTGATCTTCGTTGGTTTAAAGTCTATTTTATCAGAGACCAAGATTGCAACCCCTGCTTTTTTTTTGCTTTCCATTTGCGTGGTAAATATTCCTCCATCCCTTTATTTTGAGCCTATGTGTGTCTTTGCATGTGAGATGGGTTTCCCGAATACAGCACACCGATATAGGTGTTGACTCTTTATCCAATTTGCCAGTCTGTGTCTTTTAATTGGAGCATTTAGCCCATTTACATTTAAGGTTAATATTGTTATGTGTGAATCTGATCCTGTCATTATGATGCTAGCTGGTTATTTTGCTCATTAGTTGATGCAGTTTCTTCATAGTGTTGATGGTCTTTATCATTTGGTATGTTTTTGCAGTAGCTGGTACTGGTTTTTCCTTTCCATATTTAGTGCTTCCTTCAGGAGCTCTTGTAAGGCAGGCCTGGTGGTGACAAAATCTTTTTTATTTATTTATTTATTGATCATTCTTGGGTGTTTCTCGGAGAGGGGGATGTGGCAGGGTCATAGGATAATAGTGGAGAGAAGGTCAGCAGATAAACACATGAACAAAGGTCTCTGGTTTTCCTAGGCAGAGGTCCCTGCGGCCTTCCGCAGTGTTTGTGTCCCTGGGTACTTGAGATTAGGGAGTGGTGATGACTCTTAACGAGCATGCTGCCTTCAAGCATCTGTTTAACAAAGTACATCTTGCACCGCCCTTAATCCATTTAACCCTGAGTTGAGACAGCACATGTTTCAGAGAGCACGGGGTTGAGGGTAAGGTTATAGATTAACAGCATCCCAAGGCAGAAGAATTTTTCTTAGTACAGAACAAAATGGAGTATCCTATGTCTACTTCTTTCTACACAGACACAGTAACAATCTGATCTCTCTTTCTTTTCCCCACATTTCCCCCTTTTCTTTTTGACAAAACCGCCATCATCATCATGGCCAGTTCTTGATGGTTGCTGTCTCTTCGGAGCTGTTGGGTACACCTCCCAGATGGGGCGGCTGGGCAGAGGTGCTCCTCACTTCCCAGATGGGGCGGCCAGGCAGAGGCGCTCTTCACATCCCAGATGATGGGTGGCCGGGCAGAGGTGCTCCTCACCTCCCAGACGATGGGTGGCCGTGCAGAGGCGCTCCTCACCTCCCAGATGGGGCGGCCGCGCTGAGACGCTCCTCTCCTCCCAGAAGGGGCGGCCAGGCAGAGGCCCTCCTCAGTTCCCAGATGGGGCAGCCGGGCAGAGGCGCTCCTCACCTCCCAAACAGGGCGGCCAGGCGGAGGCGCTCCTCACATCCCAGACGGGGCGGCCGGGCAGAGGCGCTCCTCACATCCCAGACGGGGCGGCCAGGCAGAGGCGCTCCCCACTTCCCAGACAGGGTGGTGGCCAGGCAGAGGTGCTCCTCACTTCCCAGACGGGGCTGCCAGGCAGAAGGGCTCCTCACCTCCCAGATGGGTTGGTGGCCGGGCCAAGGCGCTCCCCACTTCCCAGACAGGGTGGCGGCTGGGCAGAGGCACTCCTCACTTCCCAGACGGGGTTGCCAGGCAGAGGCGCTCCCCACCTCCCAGATGGGGTGGCGGCCGGGCCGAGGCGCTCCCCACCTCCCAGACGGGGCGGCCGGGCAGAGGCGCTCCCCACCTCCCAGACGGGGCGGCGGCCGGGCCGAGGTGCTCCCCACCTCCCAGACGGGGCGGCCGGGCAGAGGCGCTCCCCACCTCCCAGACGGGGCGGCCGGGCAGAGGCACTCCTCACATCCCAGACGATCAGCGGCCAGGCAGAGATGCTTCTCACTTCCTAGATGGGGTGGCGGCTGGGCAGAGGCGCTCCTCACTTCCCAGATGGGGCAGCCGGGCAGAGGGGCTCCTCACATCCCAGATGATGGGCGGCCAGGCAGAGATGCTGCTCACTTCCTAGATAGGGTGGCAGGCGGGCAGAGGCTGTAATCTTAGCACTTTGGGAGGCCAAGGCAGGCGGCTGGGAGGTGGAGGTTGTAGCGAGCCGAGATCACGCCACTGCACTCCAGCCTGGGCAACATTGAGCATTGAGTGAGCGAGACTCTGTCTGCAATCCCAGCACCTTGGGAGGCCGAGGTGGGCAGATCACCTGAGGCCAGGAGCTGGAGACCAGCCCGGTCAACACGGCAAAACCCCGTCTCCACCAAAAATACAAAAACCAGTCAGGAGTGTCAGCGCGTGCCTGGAATCCCAGGCACTCGGCAGGCCGAGGCAGGAGAATCACAGGAGCCCGAGGCAGGGAGGTTGCAGCGAGCCAAGATCATGGCAGTACAGTCCGGGCTCGGCAACAGAGGGAGACCGTAGAAAGAAAGAAGGGGGAGAGGGAGAGGGAGAGTGACAAAATCTTTAAGTATTTGCTTGTCTGTAAATAATTTTATTTCTCCTTCAATTATGAAGCTTAGTTTGGCTGGATATGAAATTCTGGGTTGAAAATTCTTTTCTTTGAGAATGTTGAGGCCGGGCTCGGTGGCTCACACCTGTAATCCCAGCACTTTGGGAGGCCAAGACAGGTGGATCACGAGGTCAGGAGATTGAGACCATCCTGGCTAACATGGTGAAACCCCGTCTCTACTAAAAATATAAAAAATTAGCCGGGTGTGGTGGCAGGCACCTGTAGTCCCAGCTACTCAGGAGGCTGAGGCAGGAGAATGGCATGAACCCGGGAGGCAGAGCTTGCAGTGAGCCGAGTTCATGCCACTGCACTCCAGCCTAGGGGACAGAGCGAGACTCAGTCTCAAAAAATAAAAAAAAAAATAAAAGGAATGTTGAATATTGGCCTCCCACTCTCTTCTGGCTTGTAGGGTTTCTGCCAAGAGATCCGCTGTTAGTCTGATGGGCTTCCCTTTGTGGGTAACCCAACCTTTCTCTCTGGCTGCCCTTAACATTTTTTCCTTCATTTCAACCTTGGTGAATCTGCCAATTATGTGTCTTGGGGTTGCTCTTCTTGAGGAGTATCTTTGTGGTCTTCTCTGTATTTCCTGAATTTGAATGTTGGTCTGTCTTGCTAGGTTGGGGAAGTTATCCTGGATAATATCCCAAAGAGTGTTTTCCAACTTGCTTCCATTCTCCCCATCACTTTCAGGTACACCAATCAGACGTAGATTTGGTCTTTTCACATAGTCCCATATTTCTTGGAGGATTTTTTCATTCCTTTTCATTCTTTTTTCTCTAATCTTGTCTTCACACTTTATTTCACTAAGTTGATCTTCAATCTCTGATATCCTTTCTTCCACTTGATTGATTTGGCTAGTGATACTTGTGCATGCTTCACGAAGTTCTTGTGCTGTGTTTTTCAGCTCCATCAGGTCATTTATGTTCTTCTCTAAACTGGTTATTCTAGTTATCAATTTCTCTAACCTTTTTTCAAGGTACTTAGCTTCCTTGCATTGGGTTAGAACATGCTTCTTTAGCTTGGAGGAGTTTGTTATTACCCACCTTCTGAAACTTACTTCTGTTAATTTGTCAAACTCATTCTCCATCCAGTTTTGTTCCCTTGCTGGCAAGGAGTTGTGATCCTTTGGAGGAGAAGAGGCATTCTGGTTTTTGGAATTTTCAGCCTTTTTGCATTGGTGTTTCCTCATCTTCATGGGTTTATCTACCTTTGGTCTTTGATGTTGGTGACCTTCACATGGGGTTGTTGTGTGGATGTCCTTTTTGTTAATGTTAATGCTGTTCCTTTCTGTTAGTTTTCCTTCTAACAGGCCCTTCTGCTGCAGGTCTGCTGGAGTTTGCTGGAAGTACACTCCAGACCCTGTTTGCCTAGGTATCACCAGTGGAGGCTGCAGAACAGCAAAGATTGCTGCCTGTTCCTTCCTCTGGAAGCTTCATCCCAGAGGGGCACCCACCAGAAGCCAGCCAGAGCTCTCCTGTATGAGGTGTCTGTAGACCCCTGCTGGGAGGTGTCTCCCAGTCAGGAGGTATTGAGGTGAGGGACCCACTTAAGGAGGTGGTCTGTCCCTTAGCAGAGCCCAAGCCCTGTGCTGGGAGATCCGTTGCTGTCTTCAGAGCTGGCAGGCAGGAATGTTTAAGTCTGTTGAAGCTGTGCCCACAGCCACCCCCTTCCCCAGGTGCTGTCTCCCAGGGAGATGGGAGTTTTATCCATAAGCCCCTAACTGGGGCTGCTGTTTTTCTTTCAGAGATGTCCTGCCCAGAGAGGAGGAATCTAGAGAGGCAGTCTGGCTACAGTGGCTTTGCCAAGCTGTGGTGGGCTCTGCCCAGTTCAAACTTCCATGTGGCTTTGTTTTCACTGTGAGGGGAAAACCGCCTACTCAAGCCTCAGTAATGGCAGACGCCCTTCCCCCTCCAAGCTCAAGAGTCCCAGGTCAACTTCAGACTGTTGTGCCAGCAGTGAGAATTTCAAGCCAGTGGATCTTAGCTTGCTGGGCTCTGTGGGGGTGGGATCCGCTGAGCTAGACCACTTGGCTCCCTGGCTTCAGCCCCCTTTCCAGGGGAGTGAATGGTTCTGCCTCACTGGCATTCCAGGCACCAATGGGGTATGAAAAACAACTCCTTCAGCTAGCTTGGTGTCTGCCCAAATAACCACCCAGTTTTGTGCTTGAAACTCAGGGTCCTGGTGGTATAGGCACCCCGGGGAATCTCCTGGTCTGTGGGTTGCGAAGATAGTGGGAAAGTGTAATATCTGGGCTGAAATGCGCCATTCCTCATGGCACAGTCCCTCACAGCACAGCCCCTCACGGCTTCCCTTGGCTAGGGGAGGGAATTCCCTGACCCCTTGCACTTCCCGGGTGAGGCAATGCCCCACCCTGCTTTGGCTCACCTTCCGTGAGCTGCACCCACTGTCTAACCAGTCCTAATGAGATGAGCTGGGTACCTCAGTTGGAAATGCAGAAATCACCCCCCTTCTGCATTGACCTCACTGGATGCTGCAGACCGGAGGTGTTCCTATTCAGCCATCTTGCCAGCCACGGGAGTTTCATTTTCTTTATAGCAGAGCAAACTGACATGGACAAATGTCCATGTCAATTCAGCAGAGCAAGAAAAGCTGCTTCTAGGAAGTGCTTTTTTCATTCCAGAACTTCCATGGTGGGTGTTTGGATAGGAAGTTGTAGCTTAGGGACCAAAATATTCAAAGTCAAAAAATGGCCTAAGACTAACTCCTCCAAGATACCCTAAACCCATTTAATAGTAACTCTAAATGTGGTCCAAATTTCAACCTGTATGAGAAGTTCGGGGTGGTGGTTCAAAAGGCAAATTCCTTGGCCCCACTCGTGTCTACTGAATCTGACTCCTTGGGGAGGGGCCTGGGAATCAATTTTTATGATAAGTACCCAGATCATTGCTATGCACACTAAAATTTAAGAAAACTTTGTCTACACCTGCACTGTTCAATATGGTATTAAATAGCTACTGTGTGTGAGTATTTAAATTAATTAAAATTAAATAAAATTTAAAACTCACTTCCTGAGTCATACTGACCATATTTCAAGTACTCATAGCCCCATGTGGCTGGTGGCTACTGTATTGGAAAGGGCACAATATTTCTGTCACTCCAGAAAGTTCTATTGGACAAAGTGGGCTATACTGTAAGGTATATTGTAAATATGATTTAGAAAATTACAAATATTTCAATGCTAAGATGTAAAATTAAATCAATTTTTCTATACAAACTCTGTTTGCTTCTAACAAGCGAGTTTTGCATTGGTTAGCATTGATCTGTGAGGATATGACGGTCCCTGTGAATCATCTGTTTTCTGCCTTTTGGGTAGCCCACACAGAACCTCTGCAGGAATTAGGTGGGTACAGCCTAATACATCTATAGGTGCGTACAGCCTTGTGGCTACCCCTAGTTGAGCACGGAGGGTCAATGGAGCCTTTTTGCAAAGCAAAAGGCTCCCATTGCTCTGGGCTGATGCAAGCCCAGGCCAAGGCATGTGGCTTGGCAAGCCAAGTGTGGGTTGGACTTCAGATCCTACCTGCCTCCTCAGCCAGGTGCCTTTGAGCAATGCACAATCTATAAAACCTTATGCAGTGGCCCTGGGTGGGGAGTAGTTTTATTGGTAGTTGCACGTTTCTTTATCCGAAACTGCAAAGCTTTAGTGTCCTGTTTCAAAGTACCTGCGAAGGCTGGGCCCCATGCTGGTCACCAGGGACCTAACAGCCAAAGACAGAAGGTCACTGCCCTCCAGCTGTTTGTGGCTGAGTGAGGAGATGCACTAAGTGGAATATCCAATGCAGCATTGTAAGTGCAGTGGTGGAGGGGTACCAGGGAGCTTCAGTTGCTTTCAGATGGGGCGAATTAACTATCTTGGAGGAGGCAGGGAAATCTTCCTGGGTGCCTGAGATGATGCAGAAGAAAACCTAGGAACCCAGTGAACAAGGTGGGGAAAGGCAGTGCGGGCAGAAGGACAGAAGATGGAAAGTAAGGAGAGAAACAGCATGGTGTTTAGGGGGCTACAGGTCTACACTGGTGTTGCTGAAGCTTAAGGTTTGAGTCAAAGAGAACTGGAGATGAGGCAAGGGAGGCAGGCAGAGTCTGGGGCTGGAGCACAAAGCTGAGGTTTTATCCTGCTTCCCATGTGGAGTCCAGAAAAGGCTTTTAGCTGTGGTGATTGTCATTTTAAGTAGATCATATTGAAAAAATGTCATAAATAATAATATATTTTTATTTTATCTGATTGACTTTAGTCTGCACAACACCCTCTAGAAAAGCAATATAGGCATTACTTAGTAATTTACAGGGGTGGAAAGTGAGGCTCGGAGGGATAGCATTACTTTCCAAGGGTCACATGACCCCAGTGTAAGCATTTTGGGTTTTTTTTTAATTTAGAAGTTATTTTAGGTGGCTCACACCTATAGTCCCAGCTGCTGGGAAGGGTGAGGTGGAAGGACTGCTTGAGTCCAGAAGTTCAAGGCTGTAGTCCACTAAGATCATGCCTGTGAATAGCTACTGCACTCCAGCCTGGGAAGCATAGCAAGAACCTGCCTCTAAAAAAATTATTTTAACATTATTATTTTCTAATTATAAAAGTAGAATATAGTCATAAAATTTTTGGAAAAATATGTAAGAATATGAAGAAAATAAAATTCACGCATACATCTACATTTACTATTATAATTCTATTTTATTAACTTTCAGTCATAGATATACGCATAGATATATAAAACTATACCACAAATATAAATTTTTATGTATAAATTATATATATATTTATATTTTATATGTACTATTTTTGTGCACTTGGTTAATGGGTTTTCTTTTTTTTTTTTTTGAGACAGAGTCTTGCTTTGTCACCCAGGCTGTAGTGCAGTGGTGTGATCTCAGCTCCCTTCAACCTCTGCCTCCCAGGCTCAAGCGATCCTCCCACCTGAGTCCCCCAAGTAGCTGGGACCACAGGTGCACGCCACCATGCCCGGCTAATTATTATTATTATTATTTTTTTGTATATTTTGAAGAGACACAGTTTCGCCATGTTGCCCAGGCTGGTGTCAAACTCCTGAGCTCAAGTGATTCACCAGCCTCGGCCTCGCGAGGTGCTGGGATTACAGACATGAACAACTGCACCCAGCTGGATAATTTATAAATTGATTTTTATATACAAATTTTTTCACTTTACAAATTTATCATAAGTAATTTTCCATGTGCTTAGGTAGTCTTTGGTGATAAGATGTTAATGACCACATATATCAGATTGTATGATACTTTCTTTAATTAATTCCTTCCTGTTAGACATGTTTTAGATTGCTTCTGATTTTTTGCTAATACAAACCTGCTTTAAGGAACATTACTATTTACCTTTGGATAAATTCCCTTAAAAAAAACAAATTACTGTGCCAGATGTATAAGCCCATTTAAAGCTCTTGATACATATTGCCGATGCCCTGCAGAAAGTCTGTATCAATTTGCACTCCTGCCAGCTGGGTATGACAGTGCCCTTTTCACTGAAGCTTTGCCAAGCCATAGTCACTCTGTTATAACTCAGCTCAGGCAAACACTTCATGTCATTATTACTGTAATGCTTAGAAAGAAGAGGGCAAGAGCCACAGTGCTGGTAAGTGTGTGCGTGTGTGTGCATGCATGCACGTGTGCGTGTTTATAGGGGTGTTGTTCCAATGAAGATTTGCCAGAGCAGTTTGTAGGCCAGAAGTGGGAGGAGAAAGGTGACAATTAAAGCAACTTGAGCCTGTCAGGACTTTAACAGGGCACAGTTGGCACTTGGTAAGAGGACACAGGACACACTGCCTTATCTTTCTGTCATTCCATGATGTTAGACTTTCTGCCCAACAAGTTTCCAAAACCAGAGTTCCTTAGCTTTTGGTACCTCATGAGGGGGGCTTTTAAAGCCTTGGATAAATATAGGAAACAGATTTCTGTTCAGAGCCAGGGATAACCTCTTTTCAACTAATAAGTCCTATGAAATGAAATCCATTCTTCTGATCCTAAATCCCATCTAAAGTAATTTTCATAAAATTGAGGGCATATTTGAGTACAGTGCATCTTACTTGAATGAGGGAAAAAATATGGTTTCTAAGGGAAAGGGGAAAAAATCTTGTAATCAAATGTGAAGAAAACACTCCTTGGCCTCCCAAACCAGGTAGGGTCTCGTTCTAAAAGGCCCCAAAGCAAACGAACTGTGTGTCAACAGAATGACCATTGTGTGGCTCCCTTTTGCTGCTCTAGTCACTGATGCAACTACAAACCAGAGAGCATACAGATGCTCCTCCAGCATTGCCACGAGCACCAGTGGACATGTGAGCCTTAGAGAAATCCCAAGACCCTGAGTGTCACAGTGAGCTGAGAGGTGCACTACTAGAAAGCCAATGGGGTGGGAGGGATAACTGTAGACACATCATGGCCACCTCAGGGCTTCTGGAGAAAAAGAGGTACAGTTGGGTTTTGCAGCCATTAGAACTGAGGACTGGAAAGTCAGGGACCTAGACCCTTTTTCTGTCTCCCAATAGCGACTTATTTTTGTTTGCTCTCTCTCTCTCTTTCTTTCCACCCACCCCCAGTTTCCTCTGATTAATCGTCTTTCAAATGGTCCCCAAATAGCCACTTCAGCCCCTAAGTCAGCCTGAGTTTTCAGTTCCAAGATTCTCCATCAAATTGACAATACCCTCTGTGTCTCTCAACTTAAAATCCTGGAAGAGAGAAGCCGACTGGCCCAGAGCATTCTATGGATGACCCTGCCTCTAAGTCAAGTGACCACTCTGGTTCCTCAGTCACAGGCAGGGAACAGATGGGCCACATGACATATAGGGCTGTGGCTGTGAGTAAAGCTGTTATGGTCAATTACAGAGCTTTTGAAGGAGGAAAAGAATTTTACTTCCTCTTTTAAGATAGCCTCACATTGCCCATGAGACCAAACCAGAAGAAAGATGAGAAAGGAAAAGTTAGGGGCCAAGGCCCATTTCAGGTGCAGAGATAATGTGCATGTGAGGAGAAAGAGCTCTGGGTTTGAAGTCAGAGGACCTGGGTTCAAATCCTGCCTGGCCTACCTGGGAGTTGGCTCTGGCGCCAGGTATTTTACTTCTTGAGTCTCAGTTCCTTATCTGTGAAAGATTCTGCTGGCCCCTTACAGAAGGGTTGAGAATAAAATGCTGTCATCTACATGAAAGTGAATTTTAATTGCAAATCGTAACCTCTACTCAGCCCCCACCTCACTCTTCCTGTTATATGGCTTTGATCTTTCTGAGCTCTCCAGAGAAGCAGAATATGACAGGAATGACTTGTTCTGTATCAGAGTCTTTTTTACACTCTTAAAAATTATTGAGTACCCCAAGCTATTTATGTATGTCACAGTTATTTACTGTATTCAAAATGAAATTGAGGATTTAAAAATATGTATTTAGCAATTTATTGTAAGAAAAAATAAGCTCATTAGGTAGTCATATAAATATTTTTTTATTTAAAAATAACTATATTTTCCAAAGCTAAAATATCAAGTGAAAAGAGTGGTAGGTACTGTTTTACATTTTTACAACTCTCTTTAATGTCTGGCTTATTACATTCAATCTGTTAGGATATGTTGTTTTTGTTGAAGTATATGAAGAAAATCTGGCCTCCATACATGTATAGTAGGAGAAGAGAGAAGTATTTTAACAGCCTTCTCGGATAATTATGGATGTTCTTTGTTATCATACCTACCCCACAAGAAGTAGTTACTCTAAGATAAGTTGCAACGTAAAATCTAAAATCACATCAATGAACTTTTCATTCTGTAGTATATTAAAATTCATTAGCCTATCTTACATGTTTGCAATATCTTTTATCCATGCATTATTTTGTAACATGATTCATTGGTCATCTGGGAAATATTGGTTGAATGAGTTCTATAGATCATCCAAATATTGATGCGTTTCTTTATACAACATAAAAAAATTCTATTCATTAATTTCACTGCCAGTCTCATCAGAAAAGTCTTCAAGTACTGGGAAACTGTCAAACTTACAGTAGTAGATGCAAAGTTTTAAAAAAAATGTTAATTTTTGCTTGAAAGCTCAAATTCTATCATTGGCAACAAATACTGTCAGTTGGTTTCTTTGACATGACGGGCTCTCTTTGTTCATTTCAAAGAAAAATTCTGCCAAATACGTAAGTCTGAATAACCACATTTTGTCCATCAGTGATGCCTTTAAATAAAAATACTGTCCTATTTAAAAAACAAAACAAAACAAAACAAAACAAATGTGCTTCTTCAGCTCACAACTCAAACCCTTCCCACAGAGCTTTTCTTCAAGACAACCGCCACACCTGGGCATGCAGCAGAACTGCGTCATGCTCACTTTCCAGTTGTCACAGAGAATTATGTGGACTCCAGGTCATGATTAATAACATCAGTAATTCTTGCTACTTCATTAAGAACATTCTCAAGTGAAACTGGCCACTGTTTTATTATATGAGGCGGACACAGTGACGATGAGTGCAGGGTGGTGGCTGAGGTCGTGGTGGGAGACCTCAGTTTCCCCCAGCCCTGCTTTCCACATCTGTGCAAATGGCAACACAGTGAAAGGGGTAAACAACATCTTGGTATTATTATGAAAATAGTTTTGACCTCTAGGGCCTCCTGAAAGGGTCCTGAGGACCCTTGTAGATCCATAACTTAAACTTTAAGAACCACTGTTCTAGGGCGTTTAGGTTGAAAGAAATGACACATTTCATCATTTTCTAAACAAAACTGATTGTGGCTTGAGGAAATTGACTGTGCTTAGTTTTCTGGGATTCTCTCCCCCTCGCTTGGATCAGACAAGCTTGGCGTAGGAAACAGGTGAGGGCCTTGGTCCCTGACGGTGGTTGGTGTGGACTCTGCTCTTTGCCCTGGCCCTCCTGGTCCGTTCCAGGGCAGGCAGCTCTGCTGGTAGCTCCACCACCCCAGTGCCACGCTCAGCTGTGGGGCCTTCCCCAGATCCCCCAGGCTCTGATGCTTGGTGCCCTGTCTGCACAGACCCTTGTTCCTAGATGCCGCCTCCATGGGTGCTGCATTTGTGTTGGTTCAGGTCTTCATCACTCTGAAACCTGCAACTCCTCCTCTCTTCCTAGTTTCTATGTCTCCTAGATCAGGCCTTCCCCTTTTCAACACTGAAGTCCTAAGCCTTTAAAACCCTTCTCTTCCCTAGCGTCCTGGCTTATTCACCCAGTGGACCTAAACTAGAAGTCCATGGTTCACATACTGTGCACGAGTGACTACACATGTTTTTGTTTTTTAAAAATTTAAATTAATTGCGTAGACTTAGAAATCTGGATATTTACAGACAAATGTGATATCTGTCTTCTCTGGAAGCATCGGAAGGTCTGGCAGCCTTAAGCCTGCATTTTCACTTGGTGGCAATTGGCTGCAGGTGAGGATGCACACTGTTTTGTCAAAGACCCTACCACACCCTATCATCTTACAGCAGCCCAGTTTGCTCTCTGACTTACCTGTATGGCCCCATTAAGATTTGAATTTGTTATTCCTGTCCAGTCCTTTGAAGGACAAAGCCTTTTTCAGGTTTATACTCTCCCAGAGGGCAACTGTACACAAATTAGTATTTTAATTACTCTGTGATAGCCAAGAAGATAGGGGTAAGCCTACCTGACAAAACTTTATGAAAGGATTGCTGTGTTGTCTCAAGGCCAGTTTAGAAGTGGAGCTTCTGTAGTTGAAATGTGTAGGGGCTCAGAGTCCTGGCTTCTCTGTGGCTCTTGAGACACCTATATGGAACCCCTGGGGGGTCTACAGAGCACTGGGTAACAATCACAGATCTAATTTATGCAAAGCTCACAAGAGGAAATCAGGAGTCCTTAATTAGCCAGGTGTGGTGGTACACACCTGTAGTCCCAGCTACTTGGAAGGCTGAGGCAGGAGGATCACTTGAGCCCAGGAGTTTGAGGATTCAGTGAGCCATGGTTGCACCACTGCACTCCAGCCTGGGCAACAGAGCAAGGCCCTGTCTCTTAAAAAAATAAAATAAAAATTAAACTTAAAAAGGAGTTCTTGACTGACCTCAGCTAAAGATAAGGGTGTTAGCTAGCTGACAAAGCACTGTTGAGGAAGACCACAGCTTGATGCTTACAGGACAAGATGGGTTGAAAATAATTGCTGACTGCAGAGCTTTGCCTCACCAGCCGGGTGCCCAGGATAGATCCCCCCAACTCTCCCAAAGCATGCCCTTGTTTTAAGCCTCCTCAACACCAACAGTCATTCCCAGTGTATGGTGTTCTTATTCAGGTGGGGCTGGGGAGCCACTTTGGCCAGCTCCTCTTAGAGTGGAAGCAGGCCCTGTCTGGGGGGTTGTGTACTGTGTTCATGGTCTTGAGAAAACCCTGGCCCCAACCATGGTCTGTGCCTGGGTCAGGGCAGAGCTCAGGTCTCACCAATGCCATCAAGTCAAGGCAGCTTAGGGAAATGCGGGGCGGTGTGTGTGTGTGTGGGGTGTCGGGGAGTTCAAACAGCATCACTGTTCCTTTTCACCCTCCTTTTGTATAAAAAGATCAATCTCATGTCTAATTCATTTGAAAATTCTCCACTTCTCTGTGTGTGTTTTTGGTAAAAATAGAAGTCTCTGAGGATTTCAGGCTCCTGCTGAATTTTATGAGCAACTTTTCGAAGCTTGGTAACCAGGTTCTTCTAATCTTTTCTTGAGTGAATTAAGCACCAGTGGGAGGCTTGCTTTCCAGATGACTGGTTTGAATAAAAGACTTTCAGGCTTGGGGGTAGGAGGCTTTTAAGGTCATTTAATTAATCTGCAGACCACAGTAAAGCACCACTAAGAGAGTGGGCAAGTTGGCAGAAAGTTGGCCTTATGACCCCCAGCTCCCATCCCTGTCCCTCCCCTCCCCTCCTCTCCCCTCCCCTCTCCTCCCGTCTGCTCCCCTCCCCTCCCATCCCTCCTTCCTTTCTTCCACTTTCACTGCCCCTTTTCTGGTCCCAGCAATCACAGTCTCTGCAACAGTCTCCCAGTTCGCCTCCCAGCCTCTTGTTCTCTTCCTAGACAGAAAGTACTTTCCAAAAGACAAATATGATGATATTTCCTCTCTGCTTAAAACCTTTAGTGCTTCTCTGGTTCAAACACTTCTGTGATGTTAGAAGTTGCCTTTGATGGGAAGAGTGGGGTTGGTGATAGGAAAGGGCATGAGGAGGGCTCTTGCATAGCTGGCAATGTTCTATTCCTTACCTTGGGCAGTGGTTACATGGGGAGTCATATTGTGATAATTTATTGAGCCATGCGATTATGATGCATGCATTTTTCTGTATGCATGCTATACTAAAATAAAAAATTTTTAAGTTGGTTCAGTGCTTAACATCACCCTCCTGTGCTTTCCAAGGTGAGGGTGGGGAATGGCTTTGAATGCTGGGGAAAGGGACTGTTGGGATTCCTGAAGAGGCCACTGAATCTTGTGGCAGCTTTGATGCAGAAGTATCAGAATCGTGAGCCAATTTCAATGACTGCTGGTGTGGCAGACTTGTAGACTGTCTGATGTATGGTGCCATGGGACTGCAAGAGTGCTAAGATAATGATGATTCCAAGAAGCCTCTAGAATCCTTTCCAGAGGTTATGCTTTGGTCCTGAGAAGGAGAATTCATCTTGGCCTTGTTTCCATCCAAGAAAGGCTGTGTTTCAGATGCAGGTTGGTTAGGCATGGGCTTGGAGAACCTCTTAGCAGAGTGTGAGGTTGCTCTCTAGGAAAGCTGGCCTGAAATTTGTGTTCAGGGCTACAGGGGACAGGAGGCCACAGGACCTGGGAAAGATGCCAGTCCTTCCCCAGTGGCAGGCTGGAAAACTGTCCCTCAGAAGTGACCCTAATGGGTGTGTCAATAGAGGGACCTTGGAGGAAACAGTGGAGTGGGGTGGGAGGAGGGTGCTGGCTTCCCCCAGCTGGTCCCACAGAAGAGCTGAGGAAGTCTCAAGCTAAAGAAAGAATTGGTGTTCAGTGAGTTGTGGGAACAGGCAGAGAGGGAACGGCTCCCCTTGCCAACTGAGTCAGCAACTTACTGAACCTTTGCCATCATTGGACTTTTTGTTCTTTGCATTTTAGGGGAAAAAACCACTCTTGACAACCTGGGTCTATCTCTACTTAGCGCTTTGCACATCACGTTGACATTTACCTTCTCGTGAGTTGTCCTTCCTGGAGGCCTTGCTCGCCTTGATGGCAGAAATGGCCCTTTATGACATTGCACCCAACCCCAGCACAGCGTCTAGCACTTTGCAGTGTCAGTGAGTGTTTATAGAACAATCAGAGCTGCGCAGGCCATCAGAGGGAGTGCTCACAGGCTCCACAACCACCCTGAGGAACAGGACTTGTCTTCCATAAAATTGAGGGAAGTTTATTCAAGGCACATGGCTCATCGGTGGTTGAACTGTGGGTTAAACCTTGGTCTCTCACCAAAGCCCTTTTCTTGAATCTCTATGCTCTGCTGAGCCTCAGTTACACTATCATAGTTATTTCCTGCTCAGCAATCCTATGGGTTGCTGACTTTTTATTCAGGGCAACTTAATCCTCTCATCAGTGGATCCCAAATATTCCGAAGACCAGGTTCCCCACAAAGTGTACGAATCTCTCTGAGACCTGGCCTCTGCCTGCACCTCTGGTCCCATCTCTAGCCACATGGCATCCTGAACTTCATGTGTTAATCATGCTGAAATGCCTGTCACTGCTTGCATGAATTATGTTTCTTTGATGGGTTCCTCTGTCTAGAATTATAACTTTCCCATTACTGTTGGTCTGGATAATTAAAAATAGATATTATGATGTTTTTGACTGCAAGCAGAAGAAAACCTACCCTCAAATGGCATAAAGAGTATTCATCATCTCATGTGGTAAGAAATCCTGGCCAGGTGTGGTGGCTTATGCCTGTAATCCCAGCACTTTAGGAGGCCAGGGCGGGTGGATCACCTGAGATCAAGAGTTTGAGACCAGCCTGGCCAACATGGTGAAACCCTGTCTGTACTAAAAATACAAAAATTAGCTGGGTATGGTGGCATGTGCCTGTAATCCCAGCTACTCTGGAGGCTGAGGCAGGAGAATTGTTTGAACCTGGGAGGCGGAGGTTTCAGTGAGCTGAGATCCAGCCATTGCACTTCAGCCTGGGCAACAGAGCAAGACCCTGTCTCCGAAAAAAAAAAAAAAACAGAAATCCTGAGGGAGGAGGAGGCTGCCAGTGCAGGGTGCCAGCTCCTGTCTTCTGTGATTCTCTCTGCTCTGCCCAGCTAATTTTTGTATTTTTAGTAGAGACAGGGTTTCACCATGTTGGCCAGGCTGGTCTCAAACTCTTGATCTCAGGTGATCCGCCTGCCTTGGCCTCCCAAAGTGCTGGGATTACAGGCATAAGCCACCACGCCTGGCCAGGATTTCTTATTATGTGAGATTATAAATACTCCTGTCTAAATTGGTTTTCTCCTCAGGCTAGATCACTGCAGTGGTTTCAGGTCTCACATCCAGACACATCAACATCCTGCACAGGACAAAGATGGACTATTTCTTCCCAGAACCTTTAAACATATCACCTGTATGGCTCGCTGTCTGGGACCTGATTACAGAGCCACACTCAACCAAAGGCAGTGGTATAACTGAGCTTAGTTTAAACCAGTTGGGATGTACCCCAGGAGCTGGGAATTGGCGTATGCTGGGAAAAGTTGGGCCCCTGAAAGAGTGGGACTGTCTGCTAGGAAGGTCTCAGGGTTGGAGTGGATCTTAAGTGGTCTCCAGCCCAGCCTTCCTAAGGAAGTCTCCTCCAGCTAGCATTTTGGCCTCCTCACTGCCCTAATTCTCATTTGTCCAGCCTTTTCCCCCATTGCCCTTCCACACAGTGTCCCTCTCACCTGACTGTACCTGCTTGCTGTCCTTCCCACACACCTCGCCAATTCACTTGCTCTGGTGCACTGCTTGACCAGAAACACTGTCTTCTCTCTGACCAGTCCCCAAGTATTTTCTCTAGGAGGCCACGCCCCGATTAACCCCATCCCATGGGAGTCCCTCCCCTCATTCCACAATCCTCTATCCTGTGGAAGTCTCTCCATCTGGTGTATCTGCTGATGCTTTGCTTGCAGACTTCCCAAGTTCCTAAGTCACTTCTCCTGCATTTCACAGGTAAGTTTTTCTCCCAAACTTGTATGAGTTCCTAGACAAGGGTGATATTTTCTGATGTCTTCTCCCGCATTACACACACACACACACACACACACATTCTTTATCTCTTCTGATTTCCACAACCACCCTGAGAGGGTAGGTAGCCAATCAATGCCCCTCATTAACTAATGAGCCAGGGTGTCCTCAGCCTCCCCTCCTGCTCTTGTCCTTGCTCCTCTGAATGTTCTGAAGGTTGCTGAAAGGCACAGCTCCAGCACTGAGGGCCAGAAAATCTTAGAAACAATTGCTCTTTGGGGGCTAGGGTGTTACATCTCTAGGAATAATTTAAGCTCTGTCATGAACAAACCAGGCACTGTCACTCGGCCAGGATACAGCAGAAGGAAACCAGAACCCACGGAGCACCTACTCTGTGCCAAGGGCTGGTTCCCTGCTTTAGTGGCTTGTCCTTTCCAAGGGTGCATTTGCCAGGGCTGCCTCCTCTGCTCGTCCTTTTGCACCTCTGCCTGGAGGGGTTCTGCATACCCTGCACGACTAAGCTCAAATAGCACCCTTGGTGAAGCTTCACCTGAATCCCCCAGGAAAAGTTCATTTCCCACCTCCTCTGCTGTTACACTTCATGCAAACCTTTGTGCAGCCCTAGCCCAGCATAAGAGTGTTTCTTACTTACCTGCCTGCTTCTACTGGTGTGTGACATCCTTAAGCCCAGGCACCATTTTTTTTTCCTGAATCTTTGGGTTCCCTGAGGACAGTTCATGTCTGTCAGGTAACAGGAGCTCAATAATTTCATCCCTGTGGCATTAAATTAAATTTAATTGTTGCTTAGCACAGCAGAAAGCAAGATTATGAAAAAGTGAAGATGCAACTTAACAAATACAATGGTTCCTAAATATGTATTTCTCCCCTTTATTATGGCTTAGGGATAAAAGAATTATAAAAAGGGAAAGAGATAGAATAAGTGGGAATCGATAAGGTTTTTCTCCCTCTTGAAATGACCTGCGTATTTAGAGCAGAAACTTTTATATCCCATGGCCCAGCCTAGTACCTAGAGAAGAGGAAGAGATCCATAAATACTTGTTGAATGAATAAATGATACATGGGTCAGGTTGTACTTTGGGATTTAATTCTGAGCCTTGACTGGGGTAGGGTGTGAGGAACCTGGAATCTAAGGTGGGCTAGGGAAGCCCCCAGTAAGGGAATAATCACCTTTACCTATTTAACCATTTTGGCCAGGGCCTGCCTGCAACTCAGGCCTGCGGTTGATCAACCAGCCCCATCCTCCCTTTATCCCCTGCCCCCATCCCATCCTGGGCTCAGTGACTGCACGGTCCCATTTTAGGCCCTGGTCTGAGGCCTCAGGTCAAGTGGATGAGACCTGGTCCTCATGCATGCCAGCCCCCTGGCAAGATAATCATAAACCAAGAGAATAAATGATTTGATGAAATATATTCTAGCTTCCTACTTTGACAAACATGCCTCAGTAAAATATACAGTATGTACAAAACTACAGTTTCTACGTGACTGAAATTCAGCCAAATATCAAAGATGACTGGATTAAATTATTCTTACATGTGTCTTGGTGTTTGGTTGATGGGCCAGTGATGTTGGGGTGAGTAATGAAATAAATACACACATAATTCAGAAACTATTACATATTCATCCATAGATTTTAGTTTTCATGTTTTTATTTTAGCAAAATCATAAATTATATTGTTATATAATCAAGATATTCATGTCATATGTGTTCTATTGATGGTAATGATCTGGAGTTTAGAAAAATGTGATTGTATTCAAAATGTCCAAAGTTTTAACATATTTTTATCATAAAGTGTAGATTAAACTAAAGGTAAACTATATGAGTGTACATTTTTCATGTTTTAAAAAATGAATTTTCTTTGATTGTATTAAAATGTGCCTATTAAAAATGAGTGAAAACTTTTATGATTAATGGATGTGAAATTTTTAATCAAAATTATTTAAATAAAACTAAGTAAAATTCTAGTGTGTGAGATCCTTGTCATTGCCAGTGTGAAGAAGCAGCATCACTTTTCATGCACTTATGTCTATAAACATGTCTATGTCTAGTGGTTCTCAAAGGGTGGTTTTGCTTCCCAGGAGCATCGTCTGGGTACATCTTTGGTTGACACAACTTGCTTCTGGTATCTAGTGGATGGGGATGAGCGATGCTGCTAAACATTCTAGGTCAGCCCCACAACAAAAAAGTAACCAGTCTAAAATGTCAATAGTGCTAAGGTTGAGAAACCCCGGCTACACACACACACACACACACACACACACACACACACACACGGGTTTTATAAACTGTTTAATATTGCAAGAGGTTCCTTAACAAAGAAGTAACCAGTCTAAAATGTCAATAGTGCTAAGGTTGAGAAACCCCGGCTACACACACACACACACACACACACACACACACACACGGGTTTTATAAACTGTTTAATATTGCAAAAGGTTCCTTAACTGCTACAGAAATTGTTGTGAATTCTACACTAGTTTATGGGTAACTCCAGAATCACAAATGGGAACATGAAGAAAAGCAAGAAAATGGACATGCGATGTATACTGAATTTTGCAAGAATCAATTGCATTCTTGGCTATGTGAGAGGAAGAATTTAACATGTTAACATATTTGTCTTTTCTTTTACCCAAAAAGGGGAGGTGATCGGTCACCTCCCCTTCCCCAGCTGACACACATTCTGAAATAATGTCCATCTCCAACACTGGAAACACCACAACCCACAACTCTTCAGACACAGTCACCTTTGTTTCAAGGACATAAGAGATGTGGAGAAGCATTGTCCTGAGGCTGGAATGGTGTCATTTCCAAGACAGCGTGTTTAACGTTCTGCGTCATGCTGTACCAGAGTTGAGCAGCAGATCCTGAGAGACAGAGGTGCCCAGGTTTCCCTCCACACATAGAGTTGGTGTTATGGGGGTGGGGCTGTAAAGCGTGAGGCCCAGGGCCTTCTCTGGTTGGAGCAAAAGGCAGCATGCTAAGAGGCCCCATGTCCCACTGTCAACCTTGGGCTCTGAGCAGGAGCCCGGGAGAGCTGGGAGGCTGTTCATATCAGATCATTAGCAGTTTCCCAGCTCCTTTGCAGAACAGCATGCTGTTTGGCTGCCAAAATATTAGGATTGAAAGCAGCTGGCAAAAGTGTTCAGTGAGGAAGTGAGCCTGCTTGGAGAAGCAAAAGGAAAAATTCCTCTTAGTCTGTGACCTGAGGGGGAAACCTCGCTCTCAGACCCTCTTTGGGATGCTCTCAGTCAGCCAGGTGGGCATTCCCTTTGACCCCAGGCCACTGGGGCTCCTTTGAAGCAGGTGGGCTCTGGGCCCTGTGCTGAGCGCAGATCCCTTCTGGGGCAGTAGAACTGATGAGACTCTGTCACTGCCCTGCAGAAATTCATAGCCTAATAGTAAATTTATTCTCAGCATATGTTTAATGAGTTTGCAAAATAAAGAGAATTAGATGGAGAAAACCACTGCAACCTAACCTCAGTTGGTATTTCTAAAGAGGTAGGCCAAAGGGGTAATTCAATGGCAGCAACTGTGCAGGTGAGTGCTGAGAGGAGAGACTGAAGACAATGGGTTCACTAATACTTCATCCTTGTGTATGTTTATAAGCCCCTTCACACGAGTCTCAGTTGATCCTCACAGCAACCTTAGCACAGGTGGGTTTCATATTTCCATTTTACAGACAGGAAAATTACCTTTGAAGATGGAGTAACTTGCCTAAGGAGGCACAGCCAGTTAGGCGGCAGAACCAAGAGTGCAATTGGGTCTTTGAACTCTAAGAACAATGCACTTTCCAGTGACATCAGCGTTTCAGGGCCTGTGGACACCAACAGTTTCAGTTATTGTAAGCAGTCTGTGAATCCAAATGCACAGTAAGCACCATCTGTAGCCTCCATCACTAGATAAGTGACCATTTTCATGTAAGGAGGGCCTAGAATGTTTTGACACTGATACAGAGTTCTGCAGAAGAGTCTGGGAAGCACTGTATTGCCCCTTGTGGCATCAAAGATCTTCTGGCAGAGATGGGGCATGCTTTAGCACTGGGGACGCTGGCTACAAAAATTCCTCGGAGTGAGATCACTGGGACTGCATCACCAACATTTGGTTTATGTTTCATGGTGCGCAATAGACTTATGATTCAAAGAGAGAACCCTACACACAGTACACAGTAGGTGCTCAAAGATTTTATCAACTGACTAAGTGCTGGCTGAATCTGAGGAGAGGAGAAGCCAAGTGCCATGAGGAAAACCAGCCTCCCCATGGTGATTAGAGTGGGGAAATCAGCCATCGAATCCCCTTACCCATTAGGGAAAAAGGAATGGAAACAAACAGCAAAAGCATTTAGCACATTGTTAAACACTGGAAAGCTGTTGCTTTTGAAATAATAACAACCGTGCACTCTCATTAGAGGTTCTAATGGGAACAGAAAAGAAATGCTTACGGCTAATTTTCTTTCTGGGCCTGTAATTAGTGGCATATTTTTAAAGCACTGAGTAGGCTGTTGAGTCTTTTTCAATCACTGCTAGTTCATTCATTCATTCATTCATTCATTCATTCAGCAAATGTTCACTGAGTTCCTATTTTAGGCCAGGCACTGATCCAGGTTTTAGGGGTATAACAGTGAACAAAGCAGACAAAAGACCCTGCCTCATGGAGTTTACACTCTAGACAGCAAACGAAAGGTACACTACATAGCGTATCAGATGGTGGCAAGTGTTACAGAGACAATGAGGCAAGGAAAGGGGGCATGGGGCAAAAAGCAATTTTAAACCGGATGATCAGGGAAAGCCTCATCGAGAAGGTGACATTTGTGCAAAAATCTTGGGATATGAGAGAGCAGCCAGACACATATCTGAAGTAGAACATACCTGGTGTGTTCTAGGTCAGCCAGAAGTCACTATGGAAAGAGCAGAGTGAGAAGGCAGAGAGAACTAGGATGAGATGGAGAAAGAAACAGAGACCCAGATTATACAGGCTCTTACGAGCTTTTGGAAAGACGTGGGCTTTTATTCTGATGAAGATGGGAAGGAGTGACATTATCTGATTTGCATTTTAGCAGATTGCCCTGGTTACTGTTTGAGAATAAATGCAGAGAGTCAACGGTGGGATTAAAGAGACTAGTTTGGAGGAAAAAGTCCAGGAGAGAGATGATGGTGGCCTGGACCAGATGATTGTAGCAATGGAGGTGTTGAGAAGTGACTGGATTTTGGATGTATTATGAAGGTGGAAGAGACAACATTTGCTAATAGATTAGATGTAGAGTGAAAGGGAAAGATTCCTCAAGGGTGATACCAAGGTTTTGAACCTTAGCAATGGTAAGAATATCGTTGCCACTAACTGATATGAGGAAGGCAGTGGTGGCAACGTGGGTCTGGGAAAGAGGATAGGAAGTTTAATTTTGATTAAGTTTGATTAATATGATATCTATCTGCCTATCAATTTATAATTTATCTATCTATATATCTCAAGTTCAAGGAAGAGATTCATATTTACAAAGGAAAAGAGAGCAGAGAATGGAACCCTGGGGATTAGAGCAGGTTATAATCAGCGGAAGGAGACAGCAACTGTGCGGCCTGTGAGATAGCAGGAAACCAGGATTGTATAGACTCCTGAGAGTCAAGTGAAGGAAACATTTCAAGAAGTGTCAGTTATTTCAGCTGCATCAAAGGCTGCTGAGAGGTTGAGCAAGATGAGGAGTGAGAATTGATCATTGGACTAGTAACATGGAGGTCAGTGATGAGCTTGATAAGAACAATTTCAATGGACCGGGGTAGGGTGACAGCTGACTACTAAGGTTTAAAGAAAACAGGAGGAAATGTAATCAGTGAATATAGACAATTCTTTTGAGTTTGTTGCAAAAGTGGGTGTAGAAAGGAGGAAGTGTAGCTGGAGGGGGCTGTCACTCAAGAGATAATTTTTTTTTTTTTTTTTGAGACAGAGTCTCACACTGTTGTCCAGGCTGGAGCACAATGGCACGATCTTGGCTCACTGCAACCTCGGCCTCCCAGGTTCAAGCAATTCTCCTGCCTCAGCCTCTCGAGTAGCTGGGATTACAGGCACCCACCACCAGGTCTGGCTAATTTTTTTTTTTTTTTTTTTTTTTTGGTATTTTTAGTAGAGACGGGGTTTCACTATGTTGGCCAGTCTGGTCTCGAACTCCTGACCTCTTGATCTGCCCACCTCAGCTTCCCAAAGTGCTGGGATTACAGGCGTGAGCCACCATGCCCAGCTGAGAATTTTTTTAAATGTGGGCAGTATTATAGCATGTTTATATGCTGATGGGATGATCCAATAGCGAGGGAAATTGAAGATGTGAGATAGAGAGGGAAGACTTGTGGAGAAATGTTGAGTAGGCAAAAGGAGATTGGACTTGCAGCATGAGTGCAGAGGCTGGCCTTAGAGAGGAGCACAGGTGAGTCATCTGTAACAATACCAGGGGAAGCCAAATTTACAGGCACAGATGCAGGTAGGAGGTAGAAGCAATAGTGGGAGAGTATGGAAGATGTCTTCTCATTGTTTTCATTTTCTCAATGAAATAGGAAGAAAGACCATGGGCTGAAAGTGAGAGGAGGGGAAAAGCATTGGAGCTATGAGAAGAGACATCCCTCCCAAGGCTATTGTGAGCCTTGTGACACAAGTCCAAGACCTTGCACATAAGAGGAGGTACTTAGAAATGTGAGTGCCTTTCCCTCTAATTGAAAGAAATTATACTACTGTCTTTGTCATTGTTGTTCACAGGAATGTTTTATTTATTTCTTTGTTTATTTTTTGAGACAGGGTCTCACTCTGTCACCCGGGCTGAAGTGCAGTAGCACGATCACAGCTCACTGCCTCCTCAAACTCCTAGACTCAAGTGATTCTCCTGCCTCAGCTTCCTGGATAGCTAGGACTACAGGCATGCGCCACATGCCCAGATAATTTTAAAATTTTTTGTACGAATGGGGTCTCAGCTGTGTTGCCCAGGCTGATCTTGAACTCCTGGCCTCAAAGCAATCCTTCTGTTTTGGCCTCCCAAAGTGCTTGGATTACAGGCATGAGGCACCATATCCAGCCTCAGCCTTATTTCTTAAATTATATATGTTGTTTTTATTATTTATCATTATAATATTTATTTCCCAGTATATAAAACTATGGAAAATGCAGAAAAACATAAAGAAAAAATCACTTATGCCATTTCCACAAAGGAAACGGCTATTAAGTTTGATGTATATCCTTTCAGCCCCTTTTTCTATAAATATACATTATATATATACTTTTAAAAATATTTCCTTTTTAACTTTACATTGTATTTGACTATTTTCCCACCTCATTAGGTAGTGTCCAAAAATACGATTTTTAATGTCAACACAGTATTTCATTATTTAGAAGGTACATTTATTTTAGACTTTTCTATTTTGAACATCGAAGTTAATACCAATTTTTCACATGTATAATTAACACTGCAATGGACATCCTTACAGAAATCTTTGTACTCTAATGAGTTTTTAAAAATAAACTCGTAGAAATGGAATCACTGAGCCAAAGGGTAGAGGCTTTTGAGGCTTTAAGGCTCTTGATAAGTGTTACCAAACTGCCTCCCTTCCAATGTGTGCTTCTCCCCGCAGCATGAGAGTGCCCCGACATGATCATTTTAAAGAACTTCACCAAGTCAGTGTCAATTATTGTTTTAATTTGTATTTCCTTGACGACATGAATGTAAACTTTTTTCCATATGTTTACTTCATTTGCGTTTCTCTGGAATGCCTCTCTGCCAGGGAGCTTGGCTTGAAGAAAAGCCTCTCAGTGGAAATGCTTTTGAACCTGCTGGATTTGTCTGGGCTGAGCCCTTCTGGGACATTCCCCTGCACAAGGACCCCAGCTCCAGAAAGCATGTGTGAAGGACTGTGACAAAATCCTTTGGCTAGATGACTCCTTTCCTTGTTCTTCAGGAGCCTCCTCCAGCCCCTTCTTGCCCCTAGATGGCACCTCCATATCAGGGTGACTTCAGTTACTTCTGTTTGGAATGCCAAACCCTGGAGACCAAAAGTCCTTTTCAGTATTCCACAAAGAGGATTTCATCTCATCTGCGACCTGGAAACAGGAGGTGTCAGGGGAGCACGGATGAATCTACAAAGGGGCCGTGTGCTGTTGTCTCCTCTACCTTGCTGCGTAGGGCCTGAGCCTCCACTGGTTTCAAAATTAAATATTCCTTCTCACTCAATGGAAGGAAACTGAAACCACTGCATCGTTAGCACTGGGTTTGTAAAAATGCTTCTCCCCGGAGTATCTTTAACATTCATTTTATTTTGTTGAAACCCAGCTTGTCCTTTTTTATCCAGAGCAGCAGAGACCTTCTGAGCAGAGGCTTTAGCCAAAAAAGGAAGATATTCTGGCAAATTTCTAGAGATAGAAAAATTCCCTTTTCAAGCAGCTTATTTTGTTAGAGATGCTTTCATTCTTGCTCTGCCTCTTTTCACACACGCACATGCACACATATACACAGGCACCACCATCACCACCATCACTACCACCGCATTCATTCCTCCACACTCACCACACCACACTACAAAACACACATTACACAACATGCACATGCTCATCCATAGAACCCAGACCCCACTGTACATGCACACACCATACAAACACAGCACACTTGACCTGCACAACACAGCACATTTGTACATCACACACTGTACCACACATACACACATATACCCCTCACACTCAGACCACACCGCACTGCACATGAGCACACACACACCATACTCACACAAAAAACACACTTGACCTACACAGCAACTCATACCACATCTCACACACAACACACGTGCACACACACAGACACCATCACACACTTGACCTGCATAGCACACCCACATGACATCACACACACACCGTATTACTCATAGACACACTCGCCTCATCACTACCACATCCATAGCCCCCACCACATACTCACATCCCTTCTCCCCCAGCCTCTCCCCCATCCCAGCCTTCCACTCTTGCGCTTTAAAAAACAGATGTGGTTCTGTGACTTCCCTGAAAACGAAAGGGATGTACACTGCCCTGGCTATTTTTCCTGTCCCAACAGGCACTGAAGTAGCCCAGATGTCTTTCTTCCTGCTTGTGAACGGTGGGGGGAAGAGGCAGAATATGCACAAGCCAGGGTTCTGGGATGGATCAGAGCATTAATTAAAAATTAGTGAGTCGTTCGTGAGGCAATCACTTTAGGCCAGAGCAAGCCTTGGACTGAGACCTTCTCCCTGCTTGCTCATTAAGATGGCTCATGGAACTGGCAATCTGGAATAAATTGAGTCCAGGGCAGATGGTCAGAGCTAGACAATAAGAACTTCGAAGCATCCACCCTTCTAATTTTCCTCCACATTCCTCATTTAATGATAAAGAAATTTAAAAAATAAAGTCTCAGAGGGGAGGGATGAAGGAGCTCCAACCATCCAGCTCTGCTAATTAGAAAGAGCAAATCTAATCAAGGTTGATCATCAACTTTACAAATTATCTGTAGTCAAATTTTTATGCCGCAGTAGTTTCTCCATTCCCACCCCTCCTTCAGAGTCACTCTCCTCTCCCACCTAGCCAGAGTAGTCTCGGAGATCATGGATATTTTTAATACCTGTCTGGAAAAACATAACTCAGAAAGCAATTCTGCTGCAAACTCTCCCAGTTAGGCCATCCACAGCCAAGTCCAAGTGACTCCCTGAGCACCTGTGCATTGGTGCTATCCATCCCACTCTGTCCTTCCATCAGCTTGGATGCTTGAAAACTATTCCCTCTTGCCTAGAGGTGTCAAGTTTGAGTTGTTTGAGTTACTAATACTCAGCTATTTCAACCATTGAAACATTGCCAAGTGGCAGTAAAGGTGGTAGATCACAGTGGTTAAGATCTTGGGCTCCTGATTCAGTCTATGTTTGGATCCTGGCTAGAACACTGGGCCTATCGACCCTGAGCCTAAGGTCTCTCATGTATAAAATGGATAGTAGGATTCACTTCATAGAGAAGGTGGAGAGGAGTAAATGAGGTGATGCACAGTGCCTGGCGCATAGCGAGGCTGCAATAAATGGCAGCTACTATTATTATGAAGGCCTCCAAAATACCTGATGGATGAGTTCATTGTTCTAGAACGTTTTGTTGCCCTGATAGTGCCCTGCAACCGGAAACACAGAGGGGAGATTTTAGCAGCATATTTTCAAAAAGATGAACTGCTGTTTCTGAATTGTAGTGAGAAAACAGCAGGCTAGTTGAGAGTTTTACTCCACTTGTTCTCAGCATCAGTGATGGGGGTCATCATAATGAGTGACCACGTTGTAATCATGTCCTTGCCCTTCCCATAGTCACCCTCATGAAACCCCCTTGTCTATTTCGCTTGTTCACCCATCTGGAAAGAGGTCTCCTTCTCCTTTGTATGAAATTGGCAAGTTATTATTAGAGTAATAATACCTGTTATTACCAGCCAATCTCTCTTTCAATAGTAAATTATTATTATACACTTGGCTAAAAAAGCCTGTGCTGTTGTAATTTGTAAAGGCCAGATTAAGCAGAACAATAAAATTCGAAGTAATAATAATGACATCTTGCATTTCCACGGTACATTTATTTTTCAAGTACATAGTATGTCAGCAAGCTGCTCTCTGACCTCCCCTGGCCAAGAAATCCTGGCGTGGTGCCTTTTATTCTGTTTGGAACCCTAAGTTTTCAGGTCACATGTCCCCTTGGAAATCTCTGTGCACTGCATCCTCAGGCTCCGGTGACAGCTGTGCCAGGCAGAGCCAGACCTGGTGGGAGGAGGTGTAGGGGGAACTGTTTTTCTGCAAACAGGCACCCCTGACCCCAAAGAAGCAGCTTCTTTATTGTGGCCATTTATTATTTACAAAGCACTGCAGGTGTACACGCACTTTATGAGACACAAAGACAAGGTCCCTGCCCTGTGTACTGAAAGGTTTTATCCTGCATTTCATCTGTCTGAGCTGAGGGATGGGAATGCAAGGCAAGCGGGCGGAAGATCCAAGAGCGATGTCTGGGACATCAGAGTGGAAGGAAGGATTTCTAACGAGGAATTTTAAATGGGGAAAGTCAGAGCAGGTGTGTGCAACTCGCAGCATCATTCCAGGATCCAGAGGAATCTTAGTGATATCCTGTGTTCCAGCCCAGGGAAGACAAATTCTGCCCCGGTGCCTTTGAACAGTTGGACTGGAATAAGGCCAAAGACTAGGAAGAGACAACAAATGCTCTCCCAAGAGCCTCTTAAGCAGCATGTACCTCCCCTTCCCCAACTTTCCTGAAAGTTATCTTGTTTTCTTTTGTGTGGGGGAGTGACGGAGGTAGGGAGGACCATTAGTCAGTCTTTTTTTTTTTTAATTATTATTAATTTACTGTGTAGCTTTAAGCAGATTTGTTTTCCTTCTCAAGTAGGGTAAATTTCAGGCTTTTTCGACCCCTAATATTTAGCTACCCCCTACCACTGGGCAATTACTCTTCTTCTATCTGTATCTGTCTCAGCCAGGCCAGCCCTAATGGTGCTTCCCAATCCCTGTACGTTACAATCACCTACCTGCCTCATTCTTCCACCTACTGAGAGGCAGGCCCTGGCCTGAAAAGATAAACAAGGTCCTTGTCCCCCAGAAGCAATAGAGAAATGGAAATGAGGATGTGAAGGGCCTCACAGGGAGGCTGGGGCCAATGCTGCCCTCTCCTGCAGGAGGAGATAGGTGGTTTGGTGATATGAGCACAGATTCCTTCAGGACTTTCAGTCATTCACTTGGAATGTTCTTGGGTTCCCACCATCTAGAACAAGGGCTGAAATTCTAGGAAGGCTTAGAAATCCAGCCTTGCCCCCAGGATCGGCAAAAACTGATCACGTCCTTGGCGTGGGATTCTTCCTGCTCAGAGCTCAGGGCTTAGTCTAATACCAGGCAAGTTCTGCAGCCAGAAACAGATATAAATTTGGCTGAGTAGCATGAGTGAAAATAAAATAGATTCTGTAATGTACCAAATATGCACCAGATGGCTCTACTTCCTACCAGCCCTGTAAAGCTGGTTAACAAAGCCTACTGCCCTCCTTCATCGCCATAATGATCTTCATCATCTCTTATTAAAGCCCTCTGGTACATGGTGTTCTGCAGAGTCCTCCAAGTCTGGATATCAAGCTGAGAATATCTCCTGCCTCCCTGCTCTTTGCTTCCCAATTGTGTCTATGGTCTGGGTCATCATTTCCTCCATAATCCTCTCTCCTCTTGCCTGACTCCATTTCCCACCACTGTCACCTGTTTTATCTCCATCCCTTCCACTTTCCAAGCCAGTGACTCTCAAAGTCTGGCCCTCACACCGCCTGCATCAGAATCATCTGGGGAGTGTGTTAATGGTGCAAATTTTTGGGAACCCTTCCACCCCTATGCTAATTCAGAGTGCCTAATAGCAGTCTGCGGGCATTTGCATTTTAACAAGTTCCCTGCTATGGAGTTTGAGAAATGCCATCCTATACGCTTTCTTTCCAACAAGAGTCAAAGACTTAGTCTTCCAGCGTCCCAGTGTAGAGTGGTACAGACCAGAAGTCAGCCCTAGAAGGGACACCAACAGTGATGTACCAGAGCTGGCTTGTACCTGATTGCAAAAGTACAAATTTCAGGAAATTAGAAAGCTGGTTGTTAAACCATTGGTAGCTTGAAAGTTAGCCACGGAAGGAATATTTATACCACAGACATTATCAAACACTATTAATCAAGGCTTTCACTTCTTTTTTTCACTGGAAACATTTCAATGATTATTGTTGAGCACACACTTTGGAAATTTTTTACTTCAAATGACAACAAGTTAAATAAGTGTTTGTAATATACAAAGAAAATACAACCAAAAGTAAAACTTGCTTTAAGTGTGCCTTGTGCTGAGACCGGTGTTCTCCCCCCTTAATATATCTTTATTTTTGAGCTACACAAACACACTTAAGACTTTGATCTTCATAGTATGGCATTTAGGAAATAAAAATATACTCCCACCTTAAAGAAATAAAAATGTTGTGCATGATTATATGCCAAACAAAAGAGAGAATGCTAGAATACTCCGATGGTGCAGGCATCATTAAAAAGGAAAAGAAAAAGCTTGAGATGCTCATTAATTCTCTACTTTTTAAGGAAGCAGATTTTTGACCAAGTTGCTTAAAAGCCAGCAAAATGCTTTCTTTCTTTCTTTTTTTTTTTTTTTAAAGAAACAGTTTACCAGCACCCCACTGGACACCAAGTATCATCCAACCCCACACTGTGATTTGCAGATGAGAGCACTGAGGCCTGGAGAGGTGAAGGAACCCATTTGAGGTCTTGTGACAAGTGAGAATAAAGTCACAGCTAGAATGATCCCTGTTCCAGTGTGCATGACAGCCCCATTCCTTTTTCATAAGTGCTTTGCACCTGTTGGGAGGTTGGTTTGGAGGAATTCTTATACACAGTTGACTTAAGTGCCTGTTACTCTGTGAGTCGGGGTTGATTGCAAACCACAGATTCTGACTCCCCCAAGCAGAAAAAAATTCAGTTAAGAGTCTCACTGAGTTCACAGAGTAGAAGAGAAAGCTAGAAACCAGACTTAAAGAATAATTGAGCTAGGGCAGCTCAGGATTCCATGGGGCAGGAATTAAGGGGTGGTTTCCTTAGGGAGATGCTGCTGGGTTGAACCAACTCCAAACTCTTCTTTCCAGCCTTGCTTCACTCAGCTCAAAATAAGAAGTCCTTGAAGAGAATCTGAATGCTCTTGGGTCCCATGCTCACCTCTTAGCCAGGGCCAGACAGGTCACATTGATTAACACCCCCAAGACTGCACAGAATGGGTGAGAGGGGATTCCCCGAGTAGAAATCCTGCTCCATTACAATGAGAAGAGGAAATTGAAGCAGCTAGCCAAAAAACTACAACGGCCGTCTATGTGCTTCAACACAACAATGAGCTCCAGGGAACTTGGATCAGGATCTCCACCCTCTTACCCCTAATACCCAGTGTTACGCTTTATGGCCTGGGCACATCCTGCCTTTGTTTGCTGCTGGGATTGGGAAACCTGACTTGGGCTTTCTAATGCTTAACTGTAAGGGTTCCCAGTCATCTTCTGTTCACCCTCTGTGGCCTCTCTTATTGTACCGACTACCATCTAAAGCTAATGATCCCCAACTCCGTTCCAGACCCATAGTTTGGGTTTCCCAGTGGGCAGAGCAATTTCCCAGGTTCAACTTTCCCTTCCTTCCTGCTGCCACTGCCTTAATTCAGGTTTGCGTCATTCTCACTTGGTCTTTCACACCAGCCTCTGGACCCTGTCTCCATCTTCATTTTCTTTCCTATCCAATCCACCCTCTACATAGCACCAGGTAATCTCTTAAAAACAAAAAGATCACATTACTCTCATCCTTCAATGACATCCAATGACCATAAAAGGCTTTTGTGATCTGATCTTGACCTGTCACTCTCAGCCTATCTGCTCCTCGCTACTGACACTCAGCCTTTGCCTTTACCACATGGAGCCACTCCGCAGACCTACCAAGCCTTTCCCACTCTCATCCCTTTTCACATGCTTTTCCTCTGTGTGCAGGGCCCTTCCTCAGAAACTTTCCCCAGAAAGTTCTCAAGCATCCCTTATGATCCAGAGAATAAGATAGTAAATGCGGGCTGAATGATAACACTTTAGGTGGGTGGGACAGGTGGAGACTCCCTTGGCGAAGTTTTCTCTGACCTGCTGTGTTAGGTTTTATTTCTCTGTCCTCTGTGTTTTCACAACTCTGTTCATAAAGTTCATAAAGCCCATATTCCATTCTAATATATGCATTTGCATGTATTTTTCACCTCATCATGGACACTTATCAATGTTTTGGCCACCCAGAACCTTTTCACATCTTCCTTATGTTTGGGGAATTCTGTTTTATGAATCCCCACATCCTAACTTAGAAGGCAGGTACTCACTCTCCCACCTTCCTTGCAGCTAGGGCACAGCTGCATCAGAAGGACTCTGAATCAGAAGCTAGCACTGCAAAGCAGCGAGAACTGGGAGGAGTATGTTCTGGCTAAGATGGCTTGTATCTTCCTCAATTTCAGAAGATGCTGATGAAAGCATCTGAGGTCCCACACAGGCAGGGTCACCAAGCTGTGTGTCTGTGCTGACAGGGGGGCCAGCATAGTCTCTTCTAGACTATTCTGCAAAGTGTTTTGAGGCATTATTCCTAGCTTCATAGCTTCCCGGAGTTTTTGTGACCTAATATTCTTTAGTAAATTCTCTTTCTGTTTAGAGTAGCCAGACACGGTTTCTGATATTTGCAACTAGGAATCTTTGAGTCTGAAAGACCTTCAAGGGTAGGGCCCACAGCTTGTTTATTTCTTTATTCCCCACACAGTGCATGGCACTGAGAAGCTTCTCTCCACGTGTTTGCTGAATGAATAAATGAGGTTGCTTATCAGCAGTGCTTGACTTGACTTTAAGAGCTGCAGGCTGGAGTTTAAGGGCTGACCATAATGCCTATGTTACTTGTGTCAGAAATCTGAGTCCTACATCTCATTTCAAGGGGCTCAGGAATGTTCCAAGAGAAATATTAAGCAATCTTGAAGATCATTTTAATTTTTATGTATAACTCCTTTTCTGCTTGACTTTTCCATAAGGCTCTTATACTTGGAATTTCGTTTCATTTCATTTTTTAAACACCACTATGTTTCTGCCTTCTTTCTCTTTCTTCCCCACACAGATTAATGAAAGGATTAAATGAATTTCACTGCCCCAAATGTAAAACCATTTCTCAGACAGAGTGTGGGCTGCCTGTGTGCCATCTCCTCATGAGGCCCTGGAAATGATTTCCTTTCTTTGCTAGTAGCAGAGCAGAATGGTGAAGGCCTTTGATTTCATAAGGTATTTGGTAGAGTCTCACCTTACTTCCTCGAGGACAAGACAGAAAATTGTGGCCTGAATGATAATGCATTAGGTGGATGGGAATGGTGGGAATTCCTAGGCGTCCACCAAAATCTCCTCCCCTTCTTCTGTAGGAATGGCAGTGGAGCTGGCCCCTGGCAGCTAAGCTGCCCTGCCTTTCCCACTTTCCCTATGGTGTGGCGCACCTTTGTGTCTAAGTTCTCCCCCATGTGCTTGTGAGCAGAAGTGATCCATGCCCCTGGCAGGCCAGCACATATATCTCCTCCACTTGCTCCTCTACACTCTTCTCCCGCTTCCTACTGGTGGGAATGGTGACCAGCAGAACCACTCAGAAAGCCACATGCTGAAGACAGAAGAGCTGCCATCAGCCTGGGTGCCTGGCTAATGGTGGGAGGATGGACTTCTGCCAAAGTGGGGCCTCTCCAGACTTTCATGTGAGAGAAACATAAACCTGTATACCAGTTAAGCCCCAGAGGTGCTACTGAACTTACTTACTAAACATACTTTCCTTTAATGCACGGAGTTAACTGGTGTAACAGCCAAATCCAAAGAATAGTGGCCAATACTTCAACATCAGCCTGGAAGGGGAACACTAGCAGCCTGCCATGGGGCTCTGTCTTTGATGCTGACACAGGTTATTTAAGCAACAACTCAGACGAGGCTGTGGAAGAGGTACTTCTCAGATTTAAAAATGACACAATGCTGAGAGGGATAGCTGGTCAAATTTTAAAAGATCTCAACAAGCTAAAAATAACAAGTGATATTTTCTAAGCATTTAATGTAAGCCAGGCTCTGGGTTAAATGCTTTCCATACATGATCTTGTTTAATACTTATGATGATCCTATGATGTAAATATGTTATCTCCCTTTCCATGATGGGAAAACAGAAACATCAAGAGATTAAGTAACAAACTGGTAAATGATAGCACTGGGATTTGAACCCAGACTCTGTGGTCCTAACCACTTTGCTTAGGGTGGTCCTGGGTCTAGGTTTGTTTGGACAGCCCTGGTTGTGTCTGTTGTCTCAAAGTGATTGTTGATAGTATTAATAGCACCTGTTTTCAATCTTAAAACTGTCACAATTTGTATGACAAATTATATGATCACTAGTGATTCTGCCCAGTCTAAACCCTGTAAGATAACATTCAAGACAAATCTCTATGAAGCTCCATATATCAAATGTTCAAATATGGAAAATCCAGTGGAAGGGGTTTATTTTCTCTAAGATTGCATTGAGCTAATAGTATGATGAGACTTTAAAAATGGCACTGGGAATTTACATATCATCATTAACAGGTGTGGTGAGCCCAGAACCAGGTACAGATGGTTCTATTGTGCTTGGTGCTGGACAGGCTACAGCTAGACTGTTGAGATCCTTTCAAGGAACCATATTTTCAGAGAGGTGAACAATCACAAATGGAGCACATTCAGGGGATGATGTGCTGGTGCAATATCAGGAAACCAAGTCATATGAGGACTGGGTAAGGGCACAAGGGATTCTTTGCCTGGAGCCAAGCAGACGTTAGGGACATGTGAGCTGTCCTCATATATCCCAATGGCTGCCATGTGGGGGAGGGATCAGGCTGATGCCAGGGACTCCAGATGGCAGATCCAGGACTAGGTGGAATGACAAGGAAGCAGATTCCAGCTCAATTTCAGGAAGAACTTTCTAACAATCTGAGCTGTCTGACAATGTGCCCGACTTGCAAAGGATGGAGCAGCCGGTCCGTGGTTGTATTCAAGCCAAAGCAGGCTAGACCTCAGTCAGAGACGTAGTAGTGGTGGCACCTGCCCTAGGAACGGAGTTGAGCTAAATGACCTCTATGTTTCTTTCTCAAATTCTGTTATTCCAATAACAGTGATAAAATCAGATTGTGGGCACAAGAGAGGGCACAGAATTTATTCAGTGTGTGAGTGGAAGAACCAATTACAGCCTAGATTTTTTAAAAAGCAAGTAGACGGCGCGCTAAATCTGTGCTTTGAGTGGCCCCATGGTCTGTAACAGGCTCCGAGTTAACATGGCCTGCTGAGGCAGGCTGGGGACTTGAATGAAGCTGGTTAGGGATGATTCTGTAAGTAGGACCAGGAGGTAGGGATTGCATCTCAGCAGCCAGATAGAAGAGCTCCTGGGTCTTCAGGGCCCAGGGGAGCTGAGAGAGGGATCCCTGATGTACTGTTGTGTAGGAACTGGGAGAAAGAAGTAGAACCACCATTGTAGCACCTGCCTAGAAAGAGCCAAGTGCTTATATTGCCCTCCCTGCTGGAGTTGCTAGTCCCCTGATTTCTTACCTAGAGCAAAGAAACTTATATTCACTCACAGCTAGGTGCCAGTCACTGTGCTGAGGGCTGAGGATTCAGTGGTGAATAAGGCAGAATTTAAGGTGTTTTCTTCATTGCAAGTAACGACAACAACAAGCAAACCCAATCTCATTTAAGTATAAAGGTAATTGATTGATCCATGTAATTGACAAATCTAGAGGTAGCTCTAGTTTCAGGCAATGCTTGATCCAGTGCCTCAAATAATGTGACCAGGACTCTGTTTCTTTGTCTCCATTTCTTAGTTCTGCATGACTCCCTTGCAGGCCAGATTCCACCACCCCAACCCTCACCTCCATTGGTGAAGATGTTAAGCCCCTGAGTTGTTACTGAACTTACTTACTGAATACCCTTTCCTTTAATGCACAGGGTTAACTGGTGTAACAGCCAGATCCAAAGAATAGTGGCCACTATTGCAACATCAACCTGAAAGGGGAACACTAGCAGGATGCCACAGGGCTCTGTCTTTGATGCTGACACAGGTTATTTAAGCATAACTGGAAGAAACCTTGGCTTTCTTCCAGTATCCCAAGAGGCTACATGTGCGGCAGGGGAGAAAGAATCCAGTGCTCATCTTTCCAGGCAGAGCCCTGAGGTGCAGCCTGATTGGCCTGGCCTGAGTCACATGTCAATCCTGAGCCACTGTGACAGGGAGAATGGAGGTAGGGTATGCCCATTAACTTAAGCTCTGCAGATGGAGTTGGACGTTAGCGTCAGTCGCACACAAACCACATGGCTGAAATAAAAAGGAAGGGAAATTTAGTAAACTCTTTCCAGAGGAGAGGAGGTAAATGCCGGGCTACAGATACCCAACATGCATGGTTCCTGATCTCAGGGCGCCTCTATGAAAGTACAGGTAATTATGAAGGCAAGCTGGTGTTCTCCTGTTATACAGGAAGTCCTGGGTGCCAGTGGAGCAGGGAAGTACCTAACCCACACAGGGGATAGTTAGGGAAGCCTTCCCTAGGTCAGGAAGTGACATTTACAGAGACCTGAGCATTAATAGGATTTAACTAGCTGATCAGAGGGAAAGAATCTTCTTGGTAGAGGCACAAGCATGAGCTAAGCCCGTAGGTGAGAGAGCATGACAAATTCAGGGACTGAAGGGAATTCAGTGTGGCAGGAGCGAGGAATACTGGGAGGCAGGTGCTCCAGATGGGTGATATTGCTGTCAACTGCGCTGACAAGGGAGAGGAGGCTGATTGGGAGCTGGAGCCTCATTTGTCCATGAGCCTGCAGCCAGTGGCAGCAATGGGGCTGAAAGCTCTGACTGGGGGAGCAGCCTTGACTCGTCCTCTCACTGTCCCTCAGAGGAGGGAGGAGGACAAAGTGTGGGTGAGCATGGGTGAGAAGGGCAGAAACCTGGGCTGCTCAAGTCTCAGCAGGGTCTCTGGGTAGCCTCAAGCTAAATGTCACAGTTTTGCCTAAAGGTGGCTTGAGATGAAAGGTTCTGTTAAATTGTAGACTACTGTAGAGGTAGGCGCTGCATTAATACTTGTCACTAGATCTTGAAGTGTGAGACAGGATCGCTATCCTAGCCTGTACGTGAGGATTTCCTAGGCAACAGTTTTAGAAATAGTCTTATGGTGACTATGACACTACGGTGGTGAGGCCCGTGCCCCGCGGGTGCTCCTGTGCACAGCCTGCGCGGACAGCCGCTGTCTGGGTTGCTTTATTGCTGGGGAGACAGTGTGGGCTGCAGGGTCAGGAAACTGTGGGCTTAAATCTCAGCTCTTCCATTTGTTGTGTGAGCTCGTGTGGGTTTCCTGGTCTTACCAAGCCTGGTTTTCCTCCCCTGTAAGATGAGGATAATGATAGTACCCACCTCGTGGGATCTTTGTAAGGATTACATGAAATTATGTTTGTAAACTGCCTAGGATATAATAAGCCCCCCAAGTGGAAAATACTATTATTACTGTGTTACAGATGACTTCATCTTTACGTACATCCAAATGCTGTTCAGTCACTCGCTTATTCTGGTGACATCCACTGAGACTCTTTTAAGTCCCAGGCACTGGGAATAGAGCAGTGGACAAAATAGACAAAAGTCCCTCCCCTTGTCAACCTTACCTTCTAGTCAGGGAGGAGGACAAGCAGCAAACAAACAAATAATAGACCATTTCAGATAGGGATAAGTGGTATGAGGAAAATAAAGTAGAATAAGTGGAGAGGGCTGAAGTACAGGTGGACAGAAAAAGGCCCGTGGAGGAGGTGAGAGCTGAGCAGACCTGAGTGATGGGGAAGGAGGGCCAAGTGGGAGCAGTGCACAGGGCAGGAAGAGATTCAGCATATTTGTGCAAGAGCAAGAAGGTTCCTGCGGCCAGAGTGGCGTGAGTCAAGTGGATGGTGGAATAAGCGGCAGGAGAGTGAGGCCGCAGCCAGCTAGTGAGCTGCAGGTGTCACTCTAAGGTGTGATAGAGGGTTTGGAGAGGGAAGTGATATGCTCTCGCTTATATTTTGTGAGGACTACTCTGGCTGTTATGGGGAAAATTAACAAGGGAATGTCATCCAGGTGCATATGAAGGATGTACATGCCTTTGTTCTACTCTTGGGGAGAGAGTCAACCTCCAAATGGTCTCAACCATCCTCACCTCCTGGAATTCACACCTTTCTGTAACCCCCTCCCTTCGAGTGTGGGCTGGATCTAATGAGTTGCTTCCATCCAATTTAATATGGTAAAAATGATGGATGTCACTCCTAAGATCAGATTATTGAAAGTCTGACTTCTGCCTTGCTGGGTTTCTCTGTTATCAGCTGCCCCATGGAGAGGTCCAAGCTGCAAGAAACTGATACCTTCACCTAACAGCCGGTGAGGACCTGAGGTCTGTCAACAGCCACCTGCGTGATCTCGGAGGCAGATCCTCTTCTAGCTGAGCCTGGGGATGACTGCAGTCCTGGCCAACGCCCTCATGACAGCCTTGTGTGAGAGACCCCGGGCCAAAGGGATGCAGATAAGCCACACTTGGATTCCTGACTCACCGTGAGACAACGTTTTGTTGTTTTAAGCCACTAAGTTTTGGGGTCATTTGTTCCATAGCAGCTGATAACTAATACACTTGATAAGAGTTAGTAAAAATATAAACCCTGTGTAGCCAGTCAGAAGCTTGAGAATTACAAAAAGATCACTGCATTTTCTCCTTAGACATGTCAAGTCTCACTCACCTCCTTCAGATCTTTAACCAGAATTCATCTTCTCATCAAGGGCTTTCTTGGCCACCCATTATGAAATGGCAAACCATTTGACAGTTTCTTTCTTCAGTTTAACGTTTGTTAAGCATACACTTATGATTGGACCCAGGAATCTCAATTCCAGATATTTACTGAAGAGAAATATAAACGTATTTTTTACACACTCCTGAGCCTTCCAAGTAGCTGAGACCACAGGATGTTCACCACCACACCCTCCACACTCTCCTGCTTTATTTTTCTCTTTAACACTTGCCACCATCTAGTATACCATATATCTTATTTACTTTTTTGTTTTTGAGTCAAGGTCTTGCTCTGTCACCCAGGCTGGAGTGCAGTAGCGTGATCTCAGCTCACTGCAGCCTCTACCTCCTGGGCTCAAGGCTCCAACCCCAGCCTCTGGAGTAACTGGGACTATAGGCATGTGCCACCATGCTATTTTTTTTTTTTTTACATGTATAGCATTTTAACTTTTTTATTTTTATTTTTATTATTTTTATTTATTTTCATAGATCTTTGGGGAACAGATGGTGTTTGGTTACGTGATTAAGTTCTTTAGTTGTGATTTGTGAGATTTTGGTGCACCCATTATCCAAGCAGTGTACACTGTACCCAATTTGTAGTCTTTTATCCCTCACCTCCTTCTCACCCTTTCCCCCAAGTCCCTAAAGTCCATTGTATCATTCTTATACCTCTGCATCCTCATAGCTTAGCTCCCACTTATGAGTGAGAACATACGACGTTTGGTTTCCCATTCCTGAGTTACTTCACTTAGAATAATGGTCTCCAATTCCATCCAGATTGCTGCCAATGCCATTATCTCATTCCTTTTTATTCCTTTTATGCCATTATCTCATTCCTTTATTATATATAATTATATATGTAAATATATAATTATATATATTTATATAATTATATATGTAAATATATAATTATATATATTTATATAACTATATATTATATAATTATATAATCACATATATATTTATATAATTATATATAATATATAATATATAATTACATATATATTTATATATATATACACACATACACACACACACGCCACGGAATACTATATATATATGTACACACACACACACACACACACACACACATCACAATTTCTTTTTTTTTTTTGAGACGGAGTCTCACCCTGTCTCCCAGGCTGGAGTGCAATGGCGTGATCTCGGCTCACTTCAACCTCTGCCTCCCAGGTTCAAACGATTCTCCTGCCTCAGCCTCCTGAGTAGCTGGGATTACAGGCGTGTGCCACTACACACAGGTAATTTTTGTATTTTTAGTAGAGACAGGGTTTCACCACGTTGGCCAGGCTGGTCTCGAACTCCTGACCTCATGATCCGCCCGCCTTGGCCTCCCAAAGTGCTGGGATTACAGGTGTGAGCCACCGCGCCAGGCCATACCACAATTTCTTATCCACTCATTGATTGAAGGGCGTTTGGGCTGGTTTCATATTTTTGCAATTGCGAATTGTGCTGCTATAAACATGCGTGTGCAAGTATCTTTTTTGTATAATGACTTCTTTTCCACTAGGTAGATACCCAGTAGTGGATGCTGGATGAAATGATAGTTCTACTTTTACTTCTTTAAGGAAACTTCACACTGTTTTCCATAGTTGTACTAGTTGACATTCCCACCAGCAGTGTAATAGTGTTCCCTTTTCACCACATCCCCACCAACATCTATTTTTTTTTATTATGGCCATTCTTGCAGATGTAAGGTGATATCACATTGTGGTTTTGACTTGCATTTCCCTGATCATTAGTGATGATGGGCATTTTTTCATGTTTGTTGGCCATTTGTGTATCTTCTTTTGAGAATTGTCTATTCATGTCCTTAGCCCATTTTTTGAAGGGATTTTTTTTTTCTTGTTAATTTGTTTGAGCCAGCTGATTTTTATATTTTTTGTAGAGATGAAGTTTCATCTGGTTGCCCAGGTGGGCCTCAAACATCTGGGCTCAAGCAATCTGCCTGCCTCTGCCTCCCAAAGTGCTGGGATTATAGATGTGAGCCATTGCACCCGGCCAATTTACTTATTTTGTTTATTGTCTATCCCTCCCTCACCTCATCCCCTCCAGCAGGGATTTTTGACTGGTTTGATCACCACTGTGTTCCCAGTGCCTAGAATCATGCATCACAGAGTAGGTGCTCAAAAACATTTGTTCCCACATCGACTGCTGTGCCTGAGCAGGCAAGGTAGGAACAAAAGGAAAGATAGAGTTGGCTGAAGACTATATTATTCTGTTCGGCAGTTCTCTACTTACACAGAGAACAAAGAGCATCAATCAAAGTGAACCACAGTGTCTGGGAGGCAGCGAGAATTCCAGAACATAGGATATGAGCAGCAAGAAAGAAAGCGCAAGAGATGAGAGAATGAAAGGGAAGCCGGAAGAAGCAGTATCTGAGGGCAGGTGCTGGCACAATGAACAAAGCTGCCCTTTTGATGCATGTTGGGCTAGTGCATTTAGCCCCCTGGCTACCCTCACTGTGGCTGAATGTGATCAGTCCTTGGAGTTACTCCATGGGATAAGTGGTGTGTTTGTGGTATTATGGCAGCTCATGCATCTTTGAACTGGCTCCTGTGTTCTGTGGTATGTGCTGTATCATCTAAGCCCTCTTCCTCCCTATTTCACATGGAAAAATCAGCTCTTTCTCTCTGAGAAATAATGCAGGGGCAGAGAAGAAAAGAAAAGCGAAGCATCTTCCAATGGAGCTAGAGAGTAAAGCTTTAGATTCTTAATCTTTGGTCTTTGGGGTTTGTTGTTGTTGTTGTTTGAGACAGTTTCACTCTGTTGCCCAGGCTGGAGTGCAGTGGCATGATCTCAACTCACTGCAACCTCTGCCTCCTGGGTTCAAGTGATCCTCACACCTTAGCTTCCCAAGTAGCTGGGACCACAGGCACTCAGCACCACACCTGGCTAGTTTTTTTTTTTAATTTTTTGTAGAGATAGGGTCTCACCATGTCGCCCAGGCTGGTCTTGAATTCCTGGACTCAAGCAATCCTTCTGCCTCAGCCTCCCAAAGTGCTGGGATTACAGGTGTGAGCCACCGTGCCTAGCCTCTCTTTGGTCTTTTTTTTTTAGAGGGAGTCTCGCTCTGTCACCCATGCTGGAGTGTTGTGGTACGATCTCGGCTCACTGCAACCTCCACCTCCTGGGTTCAAGCGATTCTCCTGCCTCAGCTTCCCAATGAGTTGGGATTACAGGTGCCCATCACCACGCCTGGCAAATTTTTGTATTTTAGGGGAGACAGGGTTTCACCATGTTGGTCAGTCTGGTCTTGAACTCCTGACCTCAAATGATCCATCTGCCTCCGTCTCCCAAAGTGCTGGGATTACAGGCGTGAACCATCACGCCTGGCCCTCTTTGGTCTTTTGATTGATCACTGTTGGCTTCCACTTTGGGGATGATCATGCTGACTTTTCCTCCATGAATGATCCTGGTAAACTTTTCTTTGAGCTCTTTAAAAACCAATTTCCCCATCCCACAGCATCTGTTTCAGGGAAGGCTGCTGCCAGCCTATGGAGTGTGTAAATTCAAAAAGGATACTCCTTGTGTGGACACAGCTTCACCAGCACATGGGTTGGTGGGAGCTGTTGCCTTTGTGCAAAGAAAAGGCATTCCTTCCTGCAGGACTGGAATTCAGCCCCACTTGCCTCCTTGGCTGGGCACCTTTGCACAGTGTATAAACTCGTGTCCTTACATAGTGGTCTTCTAGTCAAATTCTTTCTAGTCATCATCTGTAAACATAAAATACCTATAGAGTAAAGCTCTAAAACCTGCCAGGGCCAAAGGTGTATGTTGAATGGGGTTGTGCCAGAAGTTCTAGGATGTATTTCTAGATTTCCAAAGCGAGAAGATGAGATTCACTCCTGAAGTAATTCTTGCTACCAAAAGGAGCCAGTTTCCAGCCCAGCCCACCAGCAGAGGCAATTGAGCAGAGGCAAGCAGATGCTGATGATGGAGGAGATCAGCACATTCCAAGTAGAGAAAGGAGCCATTTTTGGGTTATAAGTAACTGACAGCAGGCATTTTGCAGAGCACTTTGGACGAGGCAACCTCCCTAGACAGCAATTGATGTGGCCTTTGTTATTTAAAAATCTGAACTTTGATAAATTACAGTTGTAGAGATTGAGAATTCTCTGCAATTAGTAACAAGATCCTTGATACAAAAAAAATCCATATGAACCCAGACCAATATGAGCCAAGAATTAGAAAGAATGGAAGATACAGGTCAGCTAGACTTGGGTAACATAAAATCAACACACCCATCAATTCTTTAGTTAGGAAGGCGTGGAGGTCAATATCAGAATTCAGCAGCAATTTTCCAAGTTAACAGTACAGTAGATTTTAGGCAGTCTTCATTACGTAATGTGAGACTCAGCCATTCTCAATTAACCTTTGTCTTATCTTTATTAAAGTCTAAATTAAAGAACAATTCTCAGTATTTTCATAAATGGAATCTGACTGGGAAAAGAGTCCCACCTAACTACTGCTGACAGGAACCCGGTGTCCAGAGTGGGCAGGGCAAATCTCACAGCCTCCCTTAGGGAATGCCGCCTCTGGCAGCCTTCTCCCAGGTCAGAAGGGCTGCACATTAAAGTGACACTATGCATGGCTGCTAGCCAGGCTAGCTTTCTTGTAGCAATCTGTGTGACAGAGTTTCCACCAAGTTGTCTTTTTGTGTACCTCATGGCATCAATAATCCAGCACATTCCTCCTTGTATCTTGCAGCTTGCCTTGGACAATCCCTGGGAGCCCCATTGCTGCTACTGAACCAGCTCCCCATGCAGGTTCATTTTTGCTTTGTCTCACCCCTCTAGTGCCCATGGCAGTTGGGGTGGGAGGAAGGCAAGGACTAATAACATTTAAGTAAAAGCTATTTTGATTCTAAGAAGGGAGAAGGCAGAACGAAATTGCAGCATTTTTTTTTTCTAGTGGTAAAATTTGTCTTCACTGCCTTGCCCATACTTCCTCTAGTCTGCCAGTAACAATCTCTTTTACTCTCATCTCCATGAACTTCCCTTTGACTACCCAAGACCCCTGGCTTTAGCCTGTTTATCTTCATAAGATTCCATGCCTCCAAATTATATCTCATCTTCCTTCCATTTTCTTATGGTAGGTGTGGGGAAAGCAATCTGATTAAACCCAAAACCCTCACCATTGAGATTGGTGAGATTTTGTTTGAATAAGCCATAAGCTCTCTGTCTCTGCCAGCAACATGAAGAGCTTTTGTGACTACTGTGGCACAATTTTTATACGCAGTACAATGTTGGCTATGAAATCTTTGCATTATTTTCTTTTTTGTGTATAATTGAAAATAAGCATTTTTTAAGACTGTAATTTCAGCTGCTGCTCACTCCCTCTTCTCTTCCTCTCCCCTCTTCCTACTTCTGCTGTTCCTTTTTTGAAAGAAATTACTCCATGTAGACTTTTCTTTTGCCATTTATTCTATGTGAGAGGGGTTTTGAGTGGGGCAGAGAGACAGGTGAAGTTTAAGAGAGCAGGCATTTGTCATTACACTGGGTATAGCCATGGGAGATTTTTTTTCTGGTGTGTCCAACCTGGAAAAAGGCTTGAGCATTATTGATTTAAGGGAGGGTTTCTGCCCACAAATACCTCCTCAGTACCACTTTAAATTCCACCAAGTAACTTTTGACTTCCGGACATTCCTAGAATTAGGTTCTGGGACTAATTACTGCCTCTGTGTTCCCTCCCTTTTTTTTCTTTCATCTTAAATGACAATAACTCAGCTCAAGTTTTCTGGTCCTTTCTTTTTTTTTTTCTTTCCTTTCTGTTTTTTTTCCATTTTTGAAATTTGTGGGAAAAAATGCATAACATAAAATTTCCAATCTTAACAATTTTCTGTTGTGCAGTGAATCTGTAGAGATTTTTCATCTTGCAAAACTGAAACTCTACAATCATGGAATGATGCTAATAATTCCTCTTTCCTCACCACCCTCGGTCCCACCCTCTAGCAACCACCATTCTACTTTCTGTTCCTAAGAGTTTGACTACTTGAAATACCTCATATAAGTTGAATCATATAGTATTTTTCTTTCTATAGCTGGATTATTTCACTTGGTATAATGTCCTCAAGGTTCATTCACACTGGAGCGTGTGTCAGAATTTCCTTCCTTTTCAAGGTTGAGTAGTATTTCCTTGTATACACATACCACATTTCTTTATTCTCCCATCGATGACATTTGGGTTGCTTCTACCTCTTGGCTATTGTAACTATGCTGCAGTGAATTTTGGTGTGCAATTAAAATATCCAGAAGGTAAAAAGAACTGAGGATAAAGCTCCACTTTGCCACAATGGAAAAAAAAAATCAGCTGCCTACTCTGTCACTCACTTAGGAATCTACTTGCTAGTATGAAAGTTATTTTGCATAAAATTATCTATTAACTCAAAAAGCTTTCAGCTCTATTTAAAGCTTCACTTTAAAGTTTGACTGTGTTTTTAGTCCTTCAGAAGCTTTTATTATCTGAAAGTATTCAGAAATGTCTCCATTCATTTGAGGTTTCTAGAATATCTTATTCTTGAACAAGGGTATCCTATAATTCACAACAATATGTGAGTGACTGTTGAACACGCTGCCTACCCAGCATTAGCTTTTAAAACCAGTGTATTTTTTACTTGGTGGAATTGGAAGTAGGTATTGAGGAGGTATTTGTGAACAGAAGTCTTCCCTTAAATCAATAATACTCAGCCCTTTTTCCATGTGGGAACACAAGAAAGAAAATCTTCCATGGCTATGCCCAGGGTAATGACAAATGCCTGCTTGCTTTAACTTTACCTCTCTCTCCCACTCAAAAAAGTATAAAAAAGAATACAAGTGAACACAGTGTGTGTTGTTATAGGGATAGCCTTGAATTTTCTCTTGCTTATTTTTATAAAAAGATAAATCATTTGCAAACTCCAGTATTTTAACTATTAACAAAACAAGTTACTTGCAACACACCTCACAAATTATTCACCATGCCATTGTGAGCACACTGTGGTTGAGAACATTTGTCTTAAATGGTGGCATTCAGCCTATTCCACATACCTGTGTATCTAGCCTTGGAAGAGGCAATGAGAGGCGTGATTATGGTTCCCTAGCTCCTTCCTTCCAACTAGGGAGAGGCAGAAGAAGAGAAACAGAGCAGATCGGCAAGCTCCTTTGAGGAGCCAGGGGTCTCGAATGCATTGTTAGGCTGCCTGCAACTTCAGTTATTTTGAGAACCGTAAATGACAAGCCCAAGTATTCAAAGTTGGAGTCATGGGGCTCTTGAGGATGCTGAGACAGTTGAGCTAGCAGAGTGCTGTGGTTAAAACACGCACTTTTGTGTTGGACAAATGTGGCTTCAAGTCCAAGCTCTGTGATTTCCTAGTTTTGTAAACCTTGGTGAGTTATATAACCAGTCTGATCCTCCATTTTCTCATCTGTATAATGGGCTTGAAGACATTCTATTTGAGGAAATCTGATGTTTCATCTAGTGGAATCCCTTCTCTACAACTTTTCCTGTAGGTAACCCATTCCATGGGGTTCAAATGGAGCTGACATCCACTTTATTCTCCCAGTGACAAGGGCGGCATGTGACCCAGGTACATCCAATCAGAGTATTTCATCCCCCAACCACCAAGGCTGATTCAAGAAGGAGCATATGACCCAAATGGGTCAGTCAGTTCTTACTGGTGGGGCTATCAAGAAAGACAGATTCTTTTCTACTAGAGCTGCTAAAATGGGAGCATAGGAGTCTGGGGGTGTGGTTAGCTATCTAACCTACTATGTGAAACAGGCTGTCCAAAGAAGGGAGCCAAGCAGAAATAAGCAGAGGTTAACACAGAAAGAGAGAGCCCTAATGAAGTCATTTGATTTCCTGGTTCTTGCCATGTCTGAAAGCAGATACCTTTCTGGATGTCCCAGCTTTCTGAGCTAATAAATCCCCCCTCCCTTTTTTTAAACTAGTTTCAGCTCCTGACATTTGTCACCTAAAGTCTTGACTAGCATACTCCCTCAAGGTTGTTGGGGGAATAATGCCAGTAAAGGGATTCAAGGTTGAGTCATGGTGTTACATCTCCCTTCCCTAAGACAAAGTTGGGGAAGGCTGGGCCTCAGGCATCCACGCTAAAGTTGGTAGAAGCCAGAAAGCTTCTCCTTCTGGGTGTTGGGCTGGGAGAGAGGGAAAGGCAGAGCCACAGACTCTTTCCCGATCTCCCCTTGCTCCATCAATGTGCATTTGATCCCAGAAACACTTGTTCTGGAGGGCAAAGTACCACTAAGTATAGCTCTTTGAATATACAGGGTTAATTTACTTGCAAGTGTTACTTGATTTTTACATTAAACTCTACTTATGGAACTATTGAATATTAGAGCTGGGAGGTACCCTACAAGAGGAAATGTCTAGATTGAACCCTTCAGTTTCACCCCCTTGTAGACAAAAGGAGCATTGGGTGAATAACCTACTCCAGGCCTTGCAGCCAACTAGCCAAGGCAGGTCTGTATCTAGTCTCCTGATTTCCAGTTCACTTCACCATTCAGCTTCATGGTCAGACTTTGTATTTTTAGCTTAGTCATCTGTCTCACCCTAAGAAAAACCAGAGAAAATCTGGCCAAAATACTTAATCCCCTTCCTTCCTTCCTTCCTTCCTTCCTTCCTTCCTTCCTTCCTTCCTTCCTTCCCTCCTTCCTTCCTAAGCACCTCTCCCATTGTCTAGGCACAGCCTATGAAAATCTCACAATTGGAGATTGTTTCCTTGCTCTTTCCCCACCTTCCTATACTTTTGGGGAAGGATAAAAGATTAAGACACTTAATAAGAATAGGTTTATTAGACATCTTCCCCGAAGATGCCTGGAAGGGAGGTGAGAGGAATGATTCCAAAGAAGGAGAAGGGCAGAGATGGAGAGGGCTCACAGAAGGCACCCATTGTCAGCTTTGCCCCTTGGACAGGCGGAAATCCAGGCACCACCTGTATGACACGCTCTAGGACTCAAGCCCTGGCTGAACCTCTAGCTGTGGCTACTCTACTCTAGCTGGGGAGCTCCTCTATTCAGCAGTGGAATGTCAGTCATCACACTGGGGTGCCTCTCTGAAAGGAATGCACCCTCAAAACAAGCTGGGACTCTTCTCAGCCTCACATCCAGCCTTCTCCTCCCTCTCACAGAACACCCATATGGAACTGCAACCCCTAGGTGTGCTTTACTCACAGGCCAGGCAGAGTGCTGCCCTGTCCTTCTCCTGGGTGTTCTGAGTGCATGGCCAAGTCCCCACCTGATGCATGGTGGATTCTCCTTCCCCTCCCCCTCCTCCAATCTCTGCCTCTCCTCTCTTCTCTGTCCCTTTCTCCCATGGTTCTCTGGCTCAATCTTCTTCTGCTCCTCTCACTTCCCTGGCTTTTTCTCTCTTCTTCTTGGTTTCTCCCTCACTTCTTTTCTTTCCCCTTTTCATTCTTTCTCCCTCTCCTACTCTCCCCTCCTGCTCTCTACCCCTCTTGCTTCTTGTCTTGCTTACCTGGTCTAGTTGGCCCCATTATTCCTGGGAGGTTAAGTCACATGGAGGCCAATGTTCTAAAGTTAGAATTCCCAAAAGGTGATCTAGTGACCAAAATTCCAATAATTGCTAATACAGGTTTCATGTGTTTAAAAAGTTAACAAATCATGAATTATCAAATTTAGTGGGTAAGAATTGAAATTCAAACTTGGATGTGCAAGAACTGTCATATTGCCTTATTTTCTTAAAGTCAAATTGACTGAACCTGAACCTCCAACCCACTGGACTAATGGAAAATCTATCCTCAGCTGTCACTGAGGGTTCCTCTGATCCTGCCCTCCCCCTCCAGGGATATGACAATGTACTGAGGTATGACACAGAGTGGGACCCTCTGGGCTCAGGATAGAGTGGCATCAACAATGGTCTCTTGGTCCAGGCCTGCGTGACTGTGTGACGGGGAATGGTTCTGCTGAGCTTGTGCCAGGGTTGGGTTTGGGGAGCTTTGCTGAGGCCAGAGACTCAGTACCTGGTGCCCAGCTTCTTCACATGCCCCATCAGGTCCTGACAGCTCCACAGGGGCCCTTTCTGGTGCCAACTTCTCCCAGAACCCCCCAACTTCTTCTCCCTTTTCATCTTGGAGAATTTCTAACTCCTCTGTCTGCTTTTGCCTTCCGAACCCACTCTCTACCAGGCAAAAGCACTTGCCCATTTCCTCCCCACTCTGGGAGGATCGAGCAGAATTTCTCCCAATCAAAGACAGGAAGGGTGTGTCAAAAAGTGACTACGTAGATCCTACAAAACAAATCTCTCAATCAAGAGGGCACCAAAAAAAGACAGGAAACTTTCTCAGAGAGAAAATATTGGGGAACAAAAACTACAGTGAGAACAAAATGCAAAATATAATCTCAATAAATTGCCTAGTCATTATCAGAGCTGCTGCACATTGTAAACCTCCAGGAGACAGACAGAAAATAAAACCTGTCTTGTGTGTATATGACCTGGGAACTACTTCTCTGCCCAGCATCTCAAGGATTTGTTCTACAGAACATAGCTTGGGAAATTCTGCATTAGAAGATGGCTGTTAATGGTTCCTAGCTCTGGCCTTTGCCTCTCAGTGTGGACCACTGTGTGACATTACCTAGATGACACTTGGAAGGAGAGAAAGATGCTGGAGTGTAGTGATGAGGGCATGGGCTGAGGGTTCAAATCTGGCTTAGCTTCTCTGAAGTTCAGTTTTCCCATCTACAAAATGGGATTAGTAATAATACCTACTTAATAGGATTGTGTGAAAGTTATACAAGGTTACGTATAGGAAGCATCCAGAACAGTTTTGGAATGTAGCAGATAGTCAACAGTTGTAGTTACAGGTGTCCTTGCAAGCACTGTTATCAGTCAGCCTGAATCTGAGGGGTCTGTGAACATTGGTGTGGCCCGTCAAAGTGGGCTTCAGAGACATTTATTTGGCAGGGCTGAGGAGTGTGAATGGGGCACAGAACCTGGAAGCTGAGAGACAAGTTATTTGGAGGAAGGATGAGGGAGGAGGGGAGCAGCATCTTTTCCCAGCAGAGCTCCTCAGTGTGCTGCCTTTCCACAATTTAAAGTAGTCTGTTAAAATAAATCAAAAAAGTAATCCCATTTACAATAGCCACAAATAAAACTAAATAACTGGGAATTGACCAAAGAAGTGAAAGATCTCTATAATAAAAACTATAAAACACTCATGAAAGAAACTTGAAGAGGACACACAAAAAAACGGAAAGATAGTCCATGTTCATGGACTGGAAGAATCAATATTGTTAAAATGTCCACAACACTCAGTGCAATCTACAAATTCAGTGCAATCTCTATTAAAATCCCAATGACATTCTTCACAGAAATAGAAAAAACAATCCTAAAATTAACATTGAAACACAAGAGACCCCGAATAGCTGAAGCTAGCCTGAGCAAAAAGAACAAAACTGGAGGAATCACTTTACCTGACTTCAAATTGTGCTACAGAGCTATAGTAACCAAAACAGCATGGTACTGGCATAAAAACAGACACATAGACCAATAGAACAGAAAAGAGAACCTGGAAACAAATCCACACACGTACAGTAAACTTATTTTCGACAAAGGTACCAAGAATATACACTGTGGAAATGACAGTCTCTTCCATAAATAGTGCTGGGAAAACTGGATATCCACATGCAGAAGAATGAAATTAGATTCCTATCTCTCACCATATACAAAAATAAAATCAAAATGAGTTAAAGACTTAAATCTAAGACCTCAAACTATGAAACTACGACAAGAAAACACTGGGGAAACTCTCCAAGACATTGATATGGGCACAAATTTCTTGAGTACTACCCAACAAGGGCAGGCAACCAAAGCAAAAATGGACAGATGGGATCACATCAAGTTAAAAAGCTTCTGCACAGCAAAGGAAGCACTCAACAAAATGAAGAGAGAACAACCCACAGAATGAGAGAAAATATCTGCAAACTACCCATCTGATATGATTTAGCTCTGTGTCCCCACCCACATCTCATCTTGAATTGTAATTCCCATGTGTTGAGGGAGGGAGGTGATTTGATCATGGGGCAGGGGTTCCCCCGTGCTGTTCTCGTGATAGTGAGTGAGTTCTTACGAGATCTGATGGTTTTATAAGGTGGTTTTCCCTGCTCTTGCTTGCTGTTTCTCACCTGCCACCATGTAAGATGTGCCTGCTTCCCCTTCTACCATGATTGTAAGTTTCCTGCAGCCTCCTCAGCCATCTGGAACTGTGAGTCAATTAAGCCTCTTTCCTTTATAAATTACCCAGTCTCAGGGAAGTCCTTTATAGCAGGGTGAAAATGGGCTAATACACCATCTAATAAGGGATTAATAACCAGAATATATATGGAGCTGAAACAACTCTGTAGGAAAAACTTCTAATTATCCAATTAAAAAATGGGCAAAAGACTGGAATAGACATTTCTCAAAAGAAGACATACGTATGGCAAACAGGCATATGAAAAGGTGCTCAACATCGCTGATCATCAGAGAAATGCAAATCAAAACTACAATGAATATCATCTCACTCAGTTTACTTGACTTTTAACCAAAAATCAGGCAATTACAAATGCTGGCAAGGATGCGGAGAAAAGGAAACCTTCGTACATGGTTGGTGGAAATGTAAGTTAGTACAACCACCATGGAGAACAGTTTGGAGGTTATTCAGAAAAATGAAAATTGAGCTACTATATGATCCAGCAGTCCCACTCCTGGATATATACCTATAAGAAAGCAAATCAGTATATTGAGGAGATATCTGCACCCCTATGTTTGTTGCAGCATTGTTCACAATAGCCAAGACTTAGAAGGAACCTAAGTGTCCATCGACAGATGAATGAAGAAAATGTGATACTTATACACAATGGAGTACTAGTCAGCCATAAAAAAAAAGGGATCCTGTCATTTGCAACAACATGGATGGAACTGGAGGTCATTATGTTAAGTGAAATAATCCAGGCACAGAAAGAAAACATCGCATTTTCTCACTTATTTGTGGGATCTAAAAATCAAAACAATTGAACTCATGGAGCTAGAGAGTAGACGGATGGTTCTCAGAGGCTGGGAAGGGTAGTGGGGGCTGGTGGGGAGGTGATGATGGTTAATGGGTTAAAAAATGTTAAAAAGAATGAATAAGACCTAATATTTGATAGCACAACAGGGTGACAATAGTCAATAATAATTTAATTGAAAATAACTAAAAGGATATAATTGGATTGTTTATAACACCTAGAATAAATGCTTGGGGGGATGGATACCCAATTTTCCATGATGTGATTATGATACATTGCATGCCTGTACCAAAATGTCTCATGTGTCCCATAAATATATATACCTACTGTGTATCCACAAAAATTAAAAAAAACAATAATAGTGTGTTAACAAGGCTGCCTCATAAGACTGATTAAACAGAATAAAAATAGGTCTTGGAGTGAATGCAAGACCCTGAGACACTGACCCATCGACTTTTATCTTGTGTTAAAACATGATTTCACTGCTGTGGAAGGCCACTGAGACATTTAGGTGAGGGTTTCTAAGGATCTGAACCAGAAAAATTGGGGGAGCAGAGAGAGATATCTCCAACATCATAGAATTAGAGCCTTGCCATCACCTTGCCCGCTGGCCTGCAATGCTCCTCTTCATCCAAGGAGGATTCCACCCGGCTCGGCTTCCTCCAGGTGGACCATGCAGCTGCTCCTAGTGGCAGGAATTGGACTAAGACATGGTTCAAGGCCGGCAATGGGTAGGGATGGGGATCTTATTTATTTTAGTATCCCTTACACTTATCATGGGCCTTTTTCCTCCCTATGAGGACTTGGTGAGTCCATGCTGAATGGACAGGCATGATCCTCTGCTTCGTCATGGCTCTTGCTCCCAGGGCTGCAAGGCTGACAGACGAGGCCGGGGCAGATGTGGGCAGCTCTCACAGAACAGCTCCCACTGTCTCCTCCAACCCCTCCACAGCTGGCTAGGGAGGCTGAGAAAGGCGAGAACGCCAAACCAAAGTGAAATGGCTGCTCTTGTCCTCTTCCCGCTCTCTCTCCACCCACACTGTCTCTGTCTCCTCGGTTTCTTTGCAGCTCAGATGAGTGGCAGTAGGAAGAGGATCTTGCTTCCAACATGAAACCATTTTCACAGGCACAGCTGGTGCTGTGCTTTGCCCCCTCCTAATGTTGCTCCAGGAGCAAAGTGATTTCAGCTGCGGTATTAGAAACAGGCTGTTGAGTAGTAACAGCACATTAATCTTGAGCATGTGCAGAGGTACAAGTGGCAGTTGTGAGCTGAGACGTTTTATTTGTATAGAATTGAGGTTTGTGACAGCTTCCTCCCTCCATCACTCTTCATTCACCTTTGACATGTAGAGCAATGTGGGACTGTCTTCAACAGGTTGGCAACTATGAAAGGCTCTATAAGACATAGGGTAGTGCAGGGTGGCAATGGTGTCTTGGAATCATCAAATCGTGGACCCACAAGACTATGATTTGATGAGGCTTTGGGTATGGGTCTATCCTGGAGCCACCTTTTATGGTGTGGCCCTGAAACCCAAAAGTAGAAAAACTCAGGAAGGGCATGGCACACACAGCACCAGGGCAAGGAGAATCCAGGGTTTCTGACTCCCCCCTGAGTGCTTCCCCCACCACCACTAGAATTTCTTCCCAGCACCTGTTGTAGTCTAGAATCTTTTCACCTGAAATCTATCTGCAGGAGGGATAGAGCCCAGCGAGTCAGCTCTTCCTGGGGCTGGGCTGCAATGAGTTTCCAGGAATCCAGGTCCAGAGGACTGGCCTGCTGTGGAGCATCTTGCGTGCAGCCTGTCCATGGGGCCTCACTTACTGGCTGGCAGGACCCCTTCTGTCTATTAACCCTACTCCCTCCTCACCTCTCCTCCAGTTCCCTCCTCTCCTCTCTGCCTTCAAGAAGGGACACAGCTCCACTCCTGATGGGCAGGACCGGGGCCCTGCCTCAAAAAGCAACCACTCTTAGAGCTGCAGGGAGCCTCAGAGATGATCCAGTCCAGTGATATGGGAGGACACTGAAGCCCAGGGAGACCAGTATAAAAGCCACACAGCTCGGTAGCATCCAGGCTGAGATCAGAACCCAGGACTACTGACTCAAGTCTTAGAGGCCTTCCCTCCCTACCCCACAACCTCATGGAGAAGACATAGCATACTCTAGGCAGGGTTCCTCAGAGCAGGACCTATGGACCAGTCGGCTTCAGAATCCTCTGGGAAACTGTTTAGAACTCAGGTTTCTAAGGTCAATTTCAGACCAACTAGATCAGAACTGATGAGGTGGGGGTCCAGGAAACCACTTCTTATCTACCACTTTCTTGGAGAACCATTGGAGCATATGTCACAAGTAGTGGTGAGTGGTGTTGCAAATAATTGGTTACTAATAATACTTAAAGCATCCAATTTGGGGAGTGATTTACTTTTTGAATAGAACAGATATAATAGCCTGGCTCTCACACACTTGAATAATGATCAGCTTCTTTGACCAGAAAAGGGAATTGCACGTGCCCCAAAGTCTGACTTTTCAGTGCACCTGTAAATGTGTCTTGCCAGTGACCTGATACTTTATTTGTGTTTAGGCCTCCCTTAAGTGACTATTTAGTGGGAGAAACTTGAGTGCACCAGCTTTGGAGACAGGCAAATCTGGGTTTGGATCCAAGCTCTACCATTCACAATCTGTTGATCAAATCTCTTGACTTCTCTCAGTTTCAGTTTCCTCATGTAAATTGGAAAGAATAGATCCTACCCCTTAGAGTTTCTATGAAGGTTAAATTAAAACATACTATTGTATGTGTTTTGGAACAAAATTAATGTGTAGGCATCCACAGCTCTCCTGTGGCCTGCAGCAGGGCATTTGGCCATTGCTTTCCCCCTTTCCTCTCTGAGGAGAAACAACCCACATGGCTGGATTCTGGAAAGGAAGAACTGCATTCCCAGGGGTCTGTGCTTAACACAGTGCTTTCTTCTCAGTAAGCGCTCACTAAACAGAAGTGACAACATTACTCCCAGCCACTGCAATCTTGACCACCTCTCACCTTTCCGCAGCAGCCTTCAGTGAAGCTGGGATCCTCTCTGCCCACCCCCCACCTTCCATCACAGAAGATTCTCCCCAGTCCTGAATCCACTTTAGTGAGAACACAGGTAGGGCAGGGTGTCAGGTGGAGGCTGGCTTTGGAATAGATAAGACACACCCCTGGCCTTTGAGAAGCTTATTTTTCAGGGGAGAAGGGCTGCTAGGCCCAAACACTTATGCATCATTACTTTAATGCAATTCCACATCACTCACTGGTACATCGTCTGCTCTTCTCTAGTATGGATGGCAAAGAGATAGCAATTCCAGCAGCGTGTTTGTGGATTCCAGTGGGTTGGCAAATTTGATTCCCACAAATACTTCTCTTCTCCATTCCTGCCCCTCCAGCCTCATCTTACTCTAGAAGTGTGGTTACCTCCCGATCTAAGCCACTTAATGGGCAGCTCTTTGGCAGTTCCAATGTATCGATGTAGGCGAGTGTTCACTGATAATGACTCACAGTGAGAAACAAATTTTTCTGTTCACTGCACATGGGCCTGGTTAAGGCCTGTAGCATCTGTGATATCTCTAGAGAACATAAGCCAGGCTGGGGGCCTTTCTCAGTATGTCAACTCCTCATAAATAATGGGTGGAGGCCCAGTGGGGGCCACTGTCCTTATTAACCTACTCCCCATTGTCACTCATGGCACAATAAAGAAACATATTCCAAACTAAGAAACTGAAATAATGAGAGATCTAAATATGAGATCAATATTCCTCAAAGCACTTGGGAAGAGAGAGGCAACAATGGCCTTGTGATTGGACCAAGAGATTGGGGAGTGCCTTGGTCATACGTAAGTCCCCAGTTTTGGTTTCTGATTGCAGACCTCAGAGAGAAGCCTTTTAAAAAGCAGGTGCCCCTTCTGCTCCCCATATTTTGCAGACAGTGCCTTTGACTCCTATCTGCAGCCCTCCCTCCACCTGTCAGCAAAGGAGTTCATTAGCACTTGCTTGCAAGACCCACATCAAAGATGGCTCTAGTTGCAGTTTGTAGGAATCAGGTTGCCTTTAATTATCCATGACCTCAGGGTGGGTCCTTGGGACGTGGACAATTTTTTAAACTGCAGTTTATCTAGAAATGGCTGGATGACTACAGAAGACCTGTGAAATTATTAAAAACAATTTTGGTGATGGAAGTAGTGTTGGGATGAGGTTAAAGAAATGTTGAATTTTTAATCTGTCTTAGCTTATTTTATTTTAATCCCTTGGATGTACAGAGACTCATAAGTAGGGGCGACTCAGATATGCACCTGATAACGGCAGGGAGTTGGATTTGGATTCACGTCTTGCAGAACTGACTTGTACATTTAACAGGAGACAGGGCCACCCTACTTCCAAGCAGTAAAAAGACTTCACACCGGGCTTAATTAAGTTGTACTTTTTTTTTTTTGAGATGCCGTCTCACTCTGTTGCCCAGGCTGGAATGCAGTGGCGCGATCTTGGCTCACTGCAACCTCCTCCTCCTGGGTTCAAGTGATGTGGTGGCTCAAGCCTGTAAGTTGTACATTTTTGTTGACATTTCCTCCTCCAAGAACCAACTATATGGCTGACCTGGCCCAGCCTGCCCCTGCTGTGTCTGGAGGGAGAGTTGGGGACACATTTCAGAGGAGCCAAAGCCCCCATCCACTTACCCCCACACCTTTTCTAATAACATGTCACAAATGCCCCCTGGAGAACTCACCCTTCTGTCCTCAGCAGCCTCCATCAGGTTAAAACTTCACAAACTCCAGGAAGCTTCCCTGTTGGTCCCCTAAGCCTTGGAAGCCTGGGTTAGGTACCTCTCTTTGGTGTTTCCTTAGCACACTGAGTTCACTTTTAATGGTTTTATTTAACAAACACTTGCACTGCATAACACTTGCTAAGCACTTTTAGAAATGTTTCCTCGTTGAGGGGGGCGGTTCCAAGATGGCCGAATAGGAACAGCTCGGGTCTACAGCTCCCAGCGTGAGCGACGCAGAAGACGGGTGATTTCTGCATTTCCAGCTGAGCTTGGAAGAGAGTAGTGGTTCTCCCAGCACGGAGCCTGAGATCTGAGAACAGACAGACTGCCACCTCAAGTGGATCCCTAACCCCCGAGTAGCTTAAGTGGGAGGCATCCCCAAATAGGGGCAGACTGACACCTCACAGGGCCGGGTACCCCTCTGAGACTAAAATTCCAGAGGAATGATCAGGCAGTGACATTTGCTGTTCACCAATATTCGTTGTTCTGCAGCCTCCGCTGCTGATACCCAGGCAAACAGGGTCTGGAGTGGACCACCAGCAAACTCCAACAGACCCGCAGCTGAGGATCCTGACTGTTAGAAGGAAAACTAACACACAGAAAGGACATCCACACCAAAACCCCAACTGTACATCACCATCATCAAAGACCAAAGGTAGATAAAACCACAAAGATGGGGGAAAAACAGAGCAGAAAAAAATGAAAATTCCAAAAATCAGAGCGCCTCTCCTCCTCCAAAGGAACACAGCTCCTCACCAGCAATGGGACAAAGCTGGAAGGAGAATGACTTTGAAGAGTTGAGAGAAGAAGGCTTCAGATGATCAAACTTCTCAGAGCTAAAGGAGGAAGTTGGAACCCAACGCAAAGAAGTTAAAAACCTTGAAAAAAGATTAGACGAATGGCTAACTAGAATAGCCAATGCAGAGAAGTCCTTAAAGGACCTGATGCAGCTGAAAACCATGGCACAAGAACTCCGTGAGGAAAGCACAAGCTTCAGTAGCTGATTCGATCAACTGGAAGAAAGGGTATCAGTGATGGAAGATCAAATCAATGAAATGAAGCAGGAAGAGAAGATTAGAGCAAAAAAGAATAAAAAGAAACAAACAAAGCCTCCAAGAAATATGGGACTATGTGAAAAGACCAAATCTACATCTGATTGGTGTACCTGAAAGTGATGGGGAGAATGGAACCAAGTTGGAAAACACTCCACAGGATATTATCCAGCAGAACTTCCCCAACCTAGCAAGGCAGGCCAACATTCAAATTCAGGAAATACAGAGAATGCCACAAAGATACTCCTCGAGAAGAGCAACTCCAAGACACATAATTGTCAGATTCACCAAAGTTGAAATGAAGGAAAAACTGTTAAGGGCAGCCAGAGAGAAAGGTCGGGTTACCCACAAAGGGAAACCCATCAGACTAAAAGCTGATCTCTCGGCAGAAACTCTACAAGCCAGAAGAGAGTGGGGGCCAATATTCAACATTCTTTAAGAAAAGAATTTTCAACCCAGAATTTCATATCCAGCCAAACTAAGCTTCATAAGTGAAGGAGAAATAAAATCCTTCACAGACAAGCAAGTGCTGAGAGATTTTGTCACCACCAGGCCTGCCCTAAAAGAGCTCCTGAAGGAAGCACTAAACATGGAAAGGAACAACTGGTACCAGCCACTGCAAAAACATGCCAAATTGTAAAGACCATCGAGGCTAGGAAGAAACTGCATCAACTAACGAGCAAAATAACCAGCGAACATCATAATGACAGGATCAAATTCACACATAACAATATTAACCTTAAATGTAAATGGACTAAATGCTCCAATTAAAAGACACAGACTGGCAAATTGGATAAAGAGTCAAGACCCATCAGTGTGCTGTATTCAGGAAACCCATCTCAAGTGCAGAGACACACATAGGCTCAAAATAAAGGGATGGGGGAAGATCTACCAAGCAAATGGAAAACAAAAAAAGGCAGGGGTTGCAATCCTAGTCTCTGATAAAACAGACTTTAAACCAACAAAGATCAAAAGAGACAAAGAAGGCCATTACATAATGGTAAAGGGATCAATTCAACAAGAAGAACTAACTATCTTAAATATATATGCACCCAATACAGGAGCACCCAGATTCATAAAGCAAGTCCTTAGAGACCTACAAAGAGACTTAGACTCCAACACAATAATAATGGGAGACTTTAACACCCCACTGTCAACATTCAACAGATCAACGAGACAGAAAGTTAACAAGGATATCCAGGAATTGAACTCAGCTCTGCACCAAGCAGACCTAATAGACATCTACAGAACTCTCCACCCCAAATCAACAGAATATACATTCTTCTCAGCACCACACCACACTTATTCCAAAATTGACCACATAGTTGGAAGTAAAGCACTCCTCAGCAAATGTAAAAGAAGAGAAATTATAACAAACTGTCTCTCAGACCACAGTGCAATCAAACTAGAACTCAGGATTAAGAAACTCAAAACCGCTCAACTACATGGAAACTGAACAACCTGCTCCTGAATGACTACTGGGTGCATAATGAAATGTAGGCAGAAATAAAGATGTTCTTTGAAACCAACGAGAACAAAGACACAACACACCAGAATCTCTGGGACACATTCAAAGCAGTGTGTAGAGGGAAATTTATAGCACTAAATGCCCACAAGAGAAAGCAGGAAAGATCTAAAATTGACACCCTAACATTACAATTAAAAGAACTAGAGAAGCAAGAGCAAGCACATTCAAAAGCTAGCAGAAGGCAAGAAATAACTAAGATCAGAGCAGAACTGAAAGAAATAGAGACACAAAAAACCCTTCAAAAAATTAATGAATCCAGGAGCTGGTTTTTTGAGAAGATCAACAAAATTGATAGACTGCTAGCAAGACTAATAAAGAAGAAAAGAGAGAAGAATCAAATAGACGCAATAAAAAATGATAAAGGGGTATCACCACCGATTCCACAGAAATACAAACTACCATCAGAGAATACTATAAACACCTCTATGCAAATAAACTAGAAAATCTAGAAGAAATGGATAAATTCCTCGACACATACACTCTCCCAAGACTAAACCAGGAAGAAGTTGAATCTCTGAATAGACCAATAACAGGCTCTGAAATTGAGGCAATAATTAATAGCTTACCAACCAAAAGAAGTCCAGGACCAGACCGATTCACAGCTGAATTCTACCAGAGGTACAAGGAGGAGCTGGCACCATTCCTTCTGAAACTATTCCAATCAACAGAAAAAGAGGGAATCCTCCCTAACTCATTTTATGAGGCCAGCATCATCCTGATACCAAAGTCTGGCAGAGACACAACCAAAAAAGGGAATTTTAGACCAATATCCCTGATGAACATCAATGCAAAAATCCTCAATAAAATATTGGCAAACCAAATCCAGCAGGACATCAAAAAGCTTATCCACCATGATCAAGCGGGCTTCATCCCTGGGATGCAAGGCTGGTTCGACATAAGCAAATCAATAAATGTAATCCAGCATATAAACAGAACCAACAGCAAAAACCACATGATTATCTCAATAGATGCAGAAAAGGCCTTTGACAAAATTCAACAGCCCTTCATGCTAAAAACTCTCAATAAATTAGGTATTGATGGGACGTATCTCAAAATAATAAGAGCTATTTATGACAAACCCACAGCCAATATCATACTGAATGGGCAAAAACTGGAAGCATTCCCTTTGAAAACTGGCACAAGACAGGGATGCCCTCTCTCACCACTCCTATTCAACGTAGTGTTGGAAGTTCTGGCCAGGGCGATCAGGCAGGAAAAAGAAGTAAAGGGTATTCAATTAGGAAAAGAGGAAGTCAAATTGTCCCTGTTTGCAGATGACATGATTGTATATCTAGAAAACCCCATCATCTCAGCCCAAAATCTCCTTAAGCTGACAAGCAACTTCAGCAAAGTCTCAGAACACAAAATCAGTGTGCAAAAATCGCAAGCATTCTTATACACCAATAATAGACAAACAGAGAGCCAAATCATGAGTGAACTCCCATTCACAATTGCTTCAAAGAGAATAAAATACCTAGGAATCCAACTTACAAGGGATGTAAAGACCTCCTGAAGGAGAACTACAAACCGCTGCTCAACGAAATAAAAGAGGATACAAAGAAATGGAAGAACATTCCATGCTCATGGATAGGAAGACTCAATATCATGAAAATGGCCAGACTGCCCAAGGTAATTTATAGATTCAATGCCATCCCCATCAAGCTACCAACGACTTTCTTCACAGAATTGGAAAAAACTGCTTTAAAGTTCATATGGAACCAAAAAAGAGCCCCCATTGCCAAGTCAATCCTAAGCCAAAAGAACAAAGCCAGAGGCATCACACTACCTGACTTCAAACTGTACTACAAGGCTACAGTCACCAAAACAGCATGGTACTGGTACCAAAACAGAGATATAGACCAATGGAACAGAACAGAGCCCTCAGAAATAATACCACACATCTACAGCTATCTGACCTTTGACAAACCTGACAAAAACAAGAAATGGGGAAAGGATTCCCTATTTAACAAATGGTGCTGGGAAAACTGGCTAGCCATATGTAAAAAGCTGAAACTGGATCCCTTCCTTACACCTTATACAAAAATTAATTCAAGATGGATTAAAGACTTAAATGTTAGACCTAAAACCATAAAAACGCTAGAAGAAAACCTAGGCAATACCGTTCAGGACATAGGCATGGGCACGGACTTCATGTCTAAAACACCAAAAGCAATGGCAACAAAAGCCAAAATTGACAAATGGAATCTAATTAAACTAAAGAGGTTCTGCACAGCAAAAGAAACTACCATCAGAGTGAACAGGCAACCTACAGAATGGGAGAACATTTTTGCAATCTACTCATCTGACAAAGGGCTAATATCCAGAATCTACAAAGAACTCAAACAAATTTACAAGAAAAAAATCAAACAACCCCATCAACAAGTGGGCAAAGGATATGAGCAGACACTTCTCAAAAGAAGACATTTATGCAGCCAAAAGACACATGAAAAAATGCTCATCATCACTGGCCATCAGAGAAATGCAAATCAAAACCACAATGAGATACTATCTCACACCAGTTAGAATGGCCATCATTAAAAAGTCAGGAAACAACAGGTGCTGGAGAGGATGTGGAGAAATAGGAACACTTTTACACTGTTGGTGGGACTGTAAACTGGTTCAACCATTGTGGAAGACAGTGTGGCGATTCCTCACAGATCTAGAACTAGAAATACCATTTGACCCAGCCATCCCATTACTGGGTATATACCCAAAGCATTACAAATCATGCTACTATAAAGACACATGCACACATATGTTTATTGTGGCACTATTCACAATAGCAAAGACCTGGAACCAACCCAAATGTCCAACAATGATAGACTGGATTAAGAAAATGTGGCATATATACACCATGGAATACTATGCAGCCATAAAAAATGATGAGTTCATGTCCTTTGTAGGGACATGGATGAAGCTGGAAACCATCATTCTCAGCAAACTATCTCAAGGGACAAAAAACCAAACATCGCATGTTCTCACTCATAGGTGGGAATTGAACAATGAGAACACTTGGACACAGGAAGGGGGACATCACATACCGGGGCCTGTTGTGGGGTGGCGGGAGAGGGGAGGGATAGCATTAGGAGATATACCTAATGTAAATGATGAGTTAATGGGTGCAGCACACCAACATGGCTCATGTATACATATGTAACAAACCTGCAAGTTGTGTACATGTACCCTAGAACTTAAAGTATAATAAAAAAAAATTATTCCAAAAATAAACAAATAAATAAACAAACATAGCCTGCATTAAAAGAGCTGTAGCCTTCTGTGTAATTAAAGCCTTTAATAAATCAATTATTCTTTCTGAAAAAAAAAGAAATGTTTACTCATTGAATCCTCATAACAAACAATGAGGTAGTTGCTATTATTATGCCTATTTTATAGATGAGAAGACAAAGGCACGCAGAAGCTAGGCAACTTGTCCAAGGTCACACAGCTTGTACGTAGCAGGGCCAGAATTCAAACCGACCAATCTTGTCATAGATTCTGAGCTCTTAACCACTATGCCATACCATATCTACCATGGCGCCTAATGTTTTATAAAATACTCCTTTTATAAATTTTTCTCCCTCACAACCCTATGAGCCCTACGAGGGCTGGTTTCAGTACCAAGTGCACAGTAGATGCTCCAAAGCTTCTGGGAATAACATGCCCCATGTGAAGTCCTACCCTGAGTCAGGAAGGAGCACACAGCATCCGGTCATTTTCCCTTGGCACCAAGAAGGGAGCTGTTATGGATTGAACTGTATCTCCCCAAAATTCATGTGTTGAAATTCCAAGCCCTAGTACCTTAGAATGTGGCCATACTTGCAGACAAGGCTTTTATAAAACTAATAAAGTTAACTGAGATCATTATTGTGAGCCTTAATCAAATATGATCTGTCTTTATAAAAAGAGAAAATTTGGACCCAGACAGACACACATAGAGGAAAGTTGATGTGAAGGCACACAGGGAGAAGATGGCCATCTACAAGCCAAAGAGAGAGGTCTGAAACAGATCACTCCTCACAGGCCCCAGAAGGAATCTCCCAACACCTCAATTTCGGACATCTAGCCTTCAGAACTATGAAACAATCAATTTCAGTTGTTTAAGCCACCAAGTTTGTGTGGTACTTTGTTACTGCAGCCTTAGCAAACTAATACAAGGACTTAAAATGAGTAGAGGGGCGGTAGCCTCAGGTCAGGATCAGCAAGGTTGTCTGGTGGTAAGGACTGTCCTCCTTGTCTTGTGCTGACTTGCCTGGCTCCTGCCTGCTGCCCTCTCCCCTCCCCCATCTGTAGGCTCAGCCCCATTCCTGTCCTGGGAAGAGAGAGCACAGGGACTCCTGAGCTGGCCTCTCAACAGTGCTGCTCCTGGGCTTTCTCTGTCTATGTGCCTCTGTCACAGGCACTGGACTCTTGCCAGACGATGTGTTGTCCTTCAAAGGATACCAGCTTCCGACCACCCTGGGTTCAAACCCCAGGGCCGGCACTTACTATCTATGCAAACACGGGGAAAGTTTTCGGGTCAGCCTGAGCCTCGGTTTCTTTTCTGATAAATGAGCATAACCCTACTTGCTCATAATGGTCAGGTGCTGTTTCTCAACTGCCCATTCCCATCAGCACTTTCAATTCCTCTGAGGACACCACCTCTTTCCTATTGGAAACATTTTTGACAGGGTTATAAATGAAGGTGACCTGCCCTCCCCCAGCCAAAGGGGCCAAGAACCTTAAGTTAGGTCAACTGGACTCCCTTTTCCTGGACTTTGAATCTGGACTACAGTCACACATGGATGGAAATGACCAATGGATGGTGGCAGGTGGGTGCATGCCTGCTCCCTTTTGCCTGGTCTGAGCCCTTCCTGGATGTGTGGACTCTGTGAATGCCTTCTTCTCCCTGCCCAGTCGTCACCTCTGGACTTCGACCCAAGCCGACTTGGCACTGGGCCTCTTTGGTCTGGTTAGGTCTGACACCTTGACTCCCGTGAACTTGTACCACTTTTCGTCTATACCACCAACCCCAAGGAGTGACCCTTACTGTGGATCCCTCTGGTCCCTGACCTGCTCTTGCTCCAGACCTCCAGTAGCCAGCATCCTGTTTTCTAGGCCTTCTCTATCCTCTCTTCCAGGAAGTGTGTCCTGCTGTGTTCTCTGAGTTCAAGGATATATGAACCGAGGGGCCCAGGGGTCAGGGGAGAGGCTGAGCAGAGGAAAACTATTGGTGCCACTATTATGTGTCTTATACATTCAAAGAAAATACAACTTAAAAGGAAAAAAACTCCCCTACGTTAAAAAAAAGTTTGAAACTGTCATCTTGGACCTTTCTGAAGCCATCAGATTGTTTCTGTAGCCCTCTAGCATTCAAGAGTTCTGGTTTGTTCAGAAGTCAGTTTACTTAATATTTCCTTAGTGCCTACTCTGGAAACTTTAAGCCCTACTACCTTGCAATGTGGCCTTACTTGAAGATAAGTCTTCTGTGCCAGGCACTGTGTGGGGTGCTGGGGATTCCAGATAAGGAAACCGAGCCTTTGTCCTCAAAATGCTCAGGAGCTAGCATATTGCTCCCCAAATTTAGTGTGCATACAAATCACCCAGGGATCTTTTTAAAATGCAGATTTGTGTTGTGCAGATCTGAGATATGGCCTGAAATTCTGCATTTCTAACAAGCTCTTAGATGATACTATTGCAAGGTTTTATAGTATTGTTCTCAAATGGAATCAGGAGCCCCAGGCTATTTCGGCCCATGCTTCAAACAATCTCAGTGCCTAGGCCGTGATGAAATCAGAGTCTCTCCTGGAAGGATCCAAGAATCTTTAATTTAAAAATAATCCCAATGATTCCAATTAAGAACAGATTCTCAATCTGTAGCCAAGATTAAGAACCACTGACCTATAGGAAGAGACAGACTATATTAGTTTTCCAGAGATAAAGTGACAAATTGCCACAAATGTAGTGACTTAAAACATCACAAATTTATTATGTTATAGTTCTGGAGCTCAGCAGTTCAGAATGGGTGTCACTAATTCACCCTCATTAAAATCAAGGTGTTAGCAGGTCTGCATTCCCTTCTGAAGTCTCTATGGGAGAATCCATTTTCTTGCCTTTTTCAGCTTCTAGAGGCTACTGCATTCTTGGCTCATGGCCCCTTCCATCTACTCTGATGGAGCCTTTATCACATTGCATCACTCTGACTCTCCCACCTTTATTTTTGATTTATAAGGACCCGGGTGATTACATTCGAACCACCCAGATAATACAGGATAATCTCCGATCTGAAGATCAGCTGATCAGTAATGTAGTATAGCATGTTTACACATTCTGGGGATTAGGATGGGGACATCTTTGGTGGGGGTAGGGGCTATTCTGCCTACCACAGATATTGAATAAGTAGCACAATGTGGTTCTGCCTTGAAGAAGATAGGCACAGGTGCTGTGGCTCTTCCCCAATATTGGGAAAGGGAGAGGAAGAGGGATGAGGAAGGACTTTCTGGAGGGCACGCAGTGATGGACATACTGGCTCTAGAGTACTGGTTGTCAAATTTCCAGGAATGCTACCTAAAATAACCATTTGTGGTTTGAAATCAGCCATGGGAGGAAGATTTATGGCATGGAAATTGACAAATGTGACAAATCAGGGTTTTTTTTTTTCCTTTCCCAGAGAGCCAGTTGTTAAAAATTTATCAGCACACTACTGATGAGGTGGCCCCAGAGCTGAGTCCTAAAAGAGTAAACATTAGCCAGATGGATAAGCCATTCACCTCTGAAATATGTCTGCCAGCACCAAATATAATGTAAGCTGCCACTGGACATATTCCAAATTTCAGTATCTCTAACACAGGGCTTTTCAGACTTAATGGGCACGTGAACTACCTGGAGATCTTGTTAAAATGCAGATCTGATTCAGGAGGTCTGGAGCGGGGTCTAGTAATCACAGACTCCAAGGTGATGCCCATGATGCTGGTCCAAATACCACACTTGCTTGGAGCAGCAAGGCTCTAGAGCACTGGTCTCTAAAAGTGATCATAAAACAATTCATTTGGATTAAGACGAGAAGATTCTAAAATTTTTACTTACCATATTTTATCTACCAAAAATGCCACTAATTACCATTTTTTAATGTACATTAGGAAAAACGTTTAAAAGCTCCCAATTAAAATATGGCATGCTATGGTTGTAAAATGCATTCTAATTTCAGAGGTATTAAAACATAAAAAAAAAGAATGTCTTTGAATCAATAAAATTCAATGTTTATATTTTTATAATTACAAAAAATAAGAAAGAAATTGTACTTACCAATATTTAATATATGACCTGACACCTGAGTCTCTGCTTGTTCTATGTGTCGGATGGTTCCGAACCATGTATGATCTAGAGGGACACAGAGGCAGAAGTGGGAGACCTACACCCAGAAGGGTTAACATGGTGCTCTTTTCTATCAATGCATTTTTTCGTATTCCCATAATTTTTAATTTTTATTGAGTTAGAGATTATGTAATTTAGCTGTAACTAAACTACTCTTCATAAAATGGAAAAATGGCTTAAAAGAATCCCTGTTGTTTGAGCTTAACACCAATAATAATAAGCCTGAGTGAACGATAGGAAAGAGGTAGAACTGACATTTCTACCCCAATATGAGCTCAGCATCTGTTACATTATGCAGTAAAAAAATGACGATCCAATCAAATCTGACAAGACACTGGCCAAAAAAAAATTAGAAATTATCAGAAACACCTTTTGAAATGTGAGTTTATTTTTCTTAGAGATGAATGTCACCCAAAGGACCTTGAAGAATGAGTTAATTATGGCAGTGCATGTATGTGGTTTATAAATAAATAAACACACATTGGGGAGCGGGTCTGCTCATCGTAGTCACCCTGGGGCCCATGGTAAGATGCTCGTGGAGCTGCCACCCGCTCGATGCTCTCACACCAGCAATTAAATGCTCCAGTCTGAAAGTTTCACTTTTTTTGTTTGTTTGTTTACAAGTTATTGGCCCAAACTAAATATATGGGCCCAAACACAAGGAGAACAGGAGTTGCCATCTGGGCAAACAGTATTAATAACCACGACTCCTGATTCTCACCAGGTCCCCTTTCTCCACCAATCATGCTGTCTTCTGCCCATTTGGGGTCATGATTGTTGCAAAGCACAGACAGCCCTTGATTCTCCATGCCAGAGGAAGCTGCCTGGGTAAGCCTGTTTGGCCCAGAAAAATCTCATCCAGGCTTTGAAATGCATTAAAATCTGAAGATTTCCAATATTCAGAGAAATTGCTAAGCTCTAACCAGATAATAAAGCCAAACTATGAAGAAATAATCTACAAGGGTTTGAACATTTGCCCAACTCTCCCAGGTCAGCAGGTCAGCCCTATTCTGTGCTAGGAAATGTCAACATCCCCTGCTAACCTTATGCCAAGAACTGAGCTAAGGAGGTCTTTTCTCATCCTTCCCATCTTGGTTGTAGTGAGCATGAAGAGTAAACAAAGCTGGTCATTATCACATGGAAGGATTATGCCAAGGAGAACCTGGAAAATAAGAACCTGAAAGCAAGGCTCATTCAGAAAAATTCCCAGTGCTGATCATGCATCTGAAGAGAATCCAGAGTTACAGAGAACATTTTCCACCTACCAAGGTTATATATACAACTTGATTTTTTAAAAGAGCACCAAGTGGTATAATAAGCACAATGAGAGAAATGATTTCTTGGTGACTCCGTAGGAATGTGTCTGAGCTGACTTTTGCATGATGCAAACCTCATTCACATCTAATACTGAATAAATGAATGGAAAACAAAAGGCAGTGTTTAATTAGGGTGCAATTATTCATCCTTAGTGGGCTCCCAGCACCATGTCCTGTTTTCATTACAGGAACATCATCTCTTCATTAGCAGCAGGAGCTGTGTCCCAATTTTACCTGCCTGGGGGCCAGTACAGTTTAGAAGGATCAGCAGCTGTGGGAAATCACCGCCATGTGTCCCAGGGAGGAGATAGCAGGATGGGCAAGGAGAGGTGGGTTCTTGGAGTATCTACAGAGAGGCTACAGATGGCAGCCTCTGCAGCAGATGAACAAGGAAGCCTTTGCTGTGAGGAGTTGTGCTGTGCTGAGAATGCACCCAACTTAGCCTATTGAATTAGTACCACATCTGGTATTTTAAAATATTTTTAAAATCTAATATGAAACTTTTTCAGGGCTTAGCAACCTCCTCTGAAAAGTCCTCCCAGAAACCGCCAAGGCTGAGTTAGGTGTCTCACTCCCCCACATGCCGTGTCCTTATCCCTATTATAGCACTGTCATTGTAAGAGTGTTTGTGTAAGCATAGTTGCTCCTGCTGTCTGCCCTAGGCCATGAGCTCCCTGAGAATGGAGACTGTGTCTTGTTCAGTGCCATACCCTTGGTGTGTGAGAAGTATAACACATACTTGGTATATTTGATTGAAAGGAGGGGTGAATTGAGTGAGTCTTTTTAAGCCCTCAATTGAAAACCCTTTGAAATACCATGGAGGACATAGTGCTGGGCTGTGTAGGCTTTGCTTATAGCAGGGATTCTTAGTTTGGATCCTTTGCACCCTGTGGAAGGGCAGTGCGGTTCATGAATGGGATTCAGGGTGGGATGTCTAAATTTGATGAAGTCAAATACAATATTTTATGTGTTTGTTCATATTTCTAAAGAGGGCACCCATAGCTTTTATCAGCTTTTCAAAATGATTCATGATCCCCAAAGCATAAGAAATTCATATGCTTGTGTAATGTTTGGGCCTTGGCCCTGGTGGAAGAAAAGGAATGGGAGTGAATTCTCGTTTTGCAGGGCAGCATCAACCATCTGCTGGAGAGACTGGGTGGTAGATAGTCACTCCCAATCCCTTAGCCTCTGCAGATCATGTGTCACTCTGCTCAATGTTTCCTAAACACAGTGAGATAAAAGTATGTCTGAATTTGAGTAACAGCCTTGAAGTACGACCATTTTGGATTTTAGAAGGCGATTTGGCTGGAAAAGAGACATCTGAATGCAACAATTCCAAAGAAGCAATCAGGGATGTTGAGCCCAAGGCAGACAGGAACGTTGTCTTGTGATACATTAAGAATTGTGTGCAGGAGTCTCTGGAGGGTAGAACTGGGATCAATAGATGGAACGTTTCCAGAAGTCAATTTCTACTCTTACAGAGAAAGAAATTTCTTCCAGCTAGACTGCTTTAAAATGGAATTGTGTGTCTTAGGAAGTAGTGAGTTCCTTGTCACTAGGGAAATTCAAGCAAAGGCTGAATGAACAGACATCAGGGATACAGCGTGGGTAAAAATTCTAAGGTTTTGAGTTTTCATTTCAGTTTCTGCTTTCCAAGTAATTCAGTTCATTTTGAAAGGCAGTTCACATTTATTAATTTGGTCCTGTAAGAGATCCCCTTTCACCAACCTCACCCATAGTTTCTACCCTTTTGTCTCCAAGTTGAAATCAAGGAAGGGCTTCTGTAGGCAAGCGGACTCAAAACACACTAATGAGATTCTGAGCAAAATCCCTCTGGATAATGTAGTGAAATATACTCTTCTAAAATATAAAACAGATAACGCAAAATAGCTTTTATTCTTTGTTTTCTTGAATATCCCAGAAGCAACCACTCTTGAAGATTGAACTGTCGGAGTCAAAGGCTCTGAAATTAATGGAATGCAATTTTCTGCCATTTGTGATAAATTTCTGGCCCTTTTATGCATATGAAAGTCAGGCATGAACAGAAGCAAAACTACTAAACAGGAGGTTATTTTGACAAGCTTCCTCCAGCCATCCCTCTATTGTCTTTTTCCATCACAGCTTTTTGTTTTGCACTGAATAACAATAAAATAAAAAACGAGAACAAGTGAGAGAGGAAACCAATGATGCAATTTTAATGTTCAGCCAACATTGCAAACAGAATAAAAATGTTCTTCAATTTGAGACAAAGGAAGAATAATCTGGTTAAGGGCAAAAAGTATCGTAGCACTTTATAGAAAGCAGGTATTGGGAATACTGTAACTTTTCTGAGCCACACAAAGGGGTTCATCTAGAATGTTACTTTCACTTCCCATACCTGCTTAGGCATTGTTGACTAACAAGTCTGGTTCAGATCCTAGTTTCTTGGAGGCTTTGTTGGGGAAATTTCTCTTTCAGACTGGAGCGCTGTCCCTTAAGCCTAGAGGAATCCTATTCTTGCTTTTGAACTTGGCTTTATACTTCCTTTTCCCTCCGCCTGGGACTTCTGACTCCCACGCCCATCTTGTTCAGACCACCTGAACGAAAGCAGCCCATCCCCACTCTCATGGCCAGATACCATCAAGAACATCCCTTTTTCATTTTCTTCATAACACTTTTCATTATCTGATACTATCTTGTGTACTTATTTATTTACTTCCTTAATTGAAATGTGATCTCTGTAAAATCAGGGTCCTTGTCTGTCCAGTTCATAACTCACTCCCAGCACCAGGAATCACACACTACTTACCTTTCCTTGGACCTGGAGCTAGGGTCAGTGCTCTCATGCCTCTTTGCCACTCTCAGCCTATTTTTGTCCTCCTGCCCTGCAAGAATTGTTCAACTGCTTTGAAGCACAGGCTATCAGATTAGACACCGGGTGTCCTCCCTTTTTGCAATTATCTACAATCCTCCCGGACACCCCCACTTGCTGATTATTTCATCACCTGGTTTACCTGTCATGGATCTTGGTGACTTCTATAGCCATCTAAACATCCCTGGCCTTTCAGTCCCTTGGCCTGCTCACTGTCCAGTACTGTCCTCCTCCTCCTTAGCTGCTGGCTTCCATTCAGCTTTGCCTACGGTGTCATTATGCCCACAATCAGCACCTCCAAGCCACTCACTGTTACCCATTCACTCTCCATTCCTCTGCTCATGCCCACCTCCCTCTTTACCCAGCATACGCTCCCACATCCATCAATATAATCACTGCCCTGCATCATTATCATCAACTCTGTTGCCCCTGTCTCATTCTTGGCAAAATTCCAATCCTGATTAAATCTAACTCTCTGCCTGCTCTTCACCTACAATCATGTCTGGAAAAAATACACACCCACATTGATTTGTCTCACTTTAAATTCATGACCACAGACCGCAAGTGAGCCCTTGGTGCTGTCGGGCAATGCTCCTACATTCACTCAGTTAATTCACTCTCCTGCTCTCCAAGAGGACTATCGCTTACTTTCTCCTCTCTCCTTAAACCCCCGTACCTGTGATGCTCTCCTCACTCTCAGCTGATGGTCTAGCATATTATTTCACTGAGAAAATAGAAACTCCCACTGCCGTAACCATCAACCTGCTGATACACTGAATCCACACAGGCTGCCTTCCTCTTGTTGCAAGGAACAAAGTGTGCATGTCTCCATCAAAGACCCAAACCTTCACCTGGGCAATGGATTTCTCCCTTCTCCTATTCAAGGCCATTGATCCTGAACTAACTCCTCTTTCTTTTGCCTCATTACTTTGCCCTTCCTGTTGGATCATCCTTATCAGCATACAAACATGCTGTATCATCTGCCATATTAAAAACAAAGTTATCCCTAGACCCCACAATTGTCTCCAGTAACTGCCTGGCAGCACTGAGAGTTGCCCCTTTATAGCAAAACTCCTTGAAAAACTTGACTTTATGCTTGCTATCTCTACAACCTCACCTACTGCTCTCTCTTGCATGCTCTCTAGTCACATTTTTCTCCCAATCTCTCCGTGGATAGAGTCATCATCAAGGTTCCCCCATGATCTCTATGTTGTCGTATTCAGTGGTTAACTCTCAGGTTCCCTGTTACTAAACCTCTTAGCTGCTTTGGGTATGACTGGTCCTTCTTGAAACAATCATTCTACTTGGCTGCCGGGCACCAAACTCTCCTGCTCTCCCACCTAATGGACTGCTCCTTCATAGCTATTTTGTGGATCCTCTTCTCCAGCATTTAAATTGTGCCGGTGCCAGGCTCTGTTTGTAGACCTTTTCTTCTCTCTTCTCTCTCTCTCTGTGTGTGTGTGTGTGTGTGTGTGTGTGTGTGTGTGTGTGTGTGTGTGTCTTAGTCCTTTTGGGCTACTATAACAGAACATCATTAACTAGATCACTTATAAACAACAATAATTTGTTTCTCATAGTTCTAGAGGCTGGGAAGTCCAAGATCATGGGCTGGCAGATTCAGTGCTGGATGAGGGCTGATTTTTCATAGATGGCAACTTCTTGCTACAACCTAATATGATAAAAAGGTCTAGCTCTCTGGAACCTTTTCTATAAGGGCACTAATTCCATTCATGAAAGTGAAGCCCTTATGACCTCATCGCCTCTCAAAGGCCCTACCTCATCACCTTGGGGTTAGGATTTCAGCGTATGAATTTGGTGCGTCGTGGGAGGAGACATAAACATTCAGACCATAACACCCTGGATGAGCTCATTCAGTCTTACAGATTTAAAGATCACCTCCCAGATTTTTGGCTTCAGCCCTGACCTCTTCCCTGAATTCCAAAGTTGAATATAACTTGTATCTCTGCATGGATGTCTAATAGACATCTCACACTTGACACATACAAACTGAATGCATGATTTCCATGCCACCTTCACTCCCACCAAAACCTCTCTTCCCCAGCAATCTCTAGCTCAGTGATTGGTGCCACACAATTCATCCACTTTCTCAGATCAAAAACCTGTGAGTCATTGTTGATTCCTTTGTCTCACATACACCCCACATCTACCCTATTGGCAAATTCTTTTCAGTTCTGTCTTTAAAATATACCTTCAAATCCACTAAATCTCACCACCTCTACCACCACCATCTGATCCTGGCCACTACCATCTGTCTTGGATTATTGTAGCAGTCTCCTAGTTGGTCTCTTCACTTCCACCCTTGTCCCCCTAAAAAGTATTCTCCACACAGCCAGAATGATCCTTTAAAATGTAAATCAGACCCCTCCCAGAGTTTTCCATCTCTCTTAGAGAATAAAATCCTAAGTCCTCACTGAGGTCTACAAGGCTTTATACCAACTCTGTCCAATAGAGCTTTCTGCAGTGGCATCCAATATCTGTGCTGTCCAATATGGTAGCCACTGGCCATGTGTGGCTATGAGCACTTGAAATGAGGCTACACCAACTGAGAAATTAAATTTCAAATTGTAACCCATTCTAATTAATTTAAATTTAAATAGTCACATGTGGCAACTCCCACACTGGACAACACAGCCTACATAACCTCTCCGACTTTGCCTTCTACCCCTTTCCCTTCTCTCACTTGGCTCAAGCCACATTGGTCATCCAGATGCTCCTTGAACATTTCAAGCACATTCTCATCTCATAGCCTTTGCATTTGCTCTTCTCTCTATCTAGAATTCACTTCCTCTAGGTATTCAAATGTATCACTCCTTCACTTTATTCTGGTCAAAGGCCAAAAATTTTGCCCTGTCTCTGTCTCAGGGAATGTTACCATTGGTATCAATGATACCAATGATACCATTGGTACCATTGGTATCATTGGATACCAATAAAGGCATCACCTGTTACTCTCTCTTTCCTTTGCTTATGTTTTTGTTGTTGTTGACAGTTATTGCTACCTGATTGATATGGTTTGGCTCTGTGTCCCCACCCAAATCTCATCTTGAATTGTAGTCCCTATGTGTCAAGGGAGGAAACTGTAATCCCCTTGTGTTGAGGGAGGGAGGTGATTAGATCATGGGGGCGATTTCCCCCATGCTGTTCTTGTGATAGTGAGTGAGTTCTCTCAAAATCTCATGGTTTTACAAGTGTTTGACAGTTCCTTCTTCACACACTCATGCTCTCTCACCACCTTGTGAAGAAGGTGCCTGCTTCCCCTTCTGCCATGATTGTAAGTTTACTGAGGCCTCTAAAGCCATGTGGAAGTGTGAGTCAATTAAACCTCCTTTGTTTATCAATTACCCATTCCTGGGTAGTATCTTTATAGCAGTGTGAGAATGAACTAATACACTGACATCATATTATACGCTTGTTTTTTTGTTCATTATCCACCTCTCTCATTGGTTTATAAGCTTCATGAAGACAGGGAGCCTGTTTTTGCTCAGTGCTATATCTCCTGTGCTTAGTTAGTGATTTAGTTATTAGTTGAATGAATTAATGAGACAGGCTCTGGCCAAGGGTAAACACCTTTGCAAAGCACTGTGGGGATACAAAAGAAACCCCAGGGCAGGGACAGCCATCTAGAAGTTCACAAGAGATGACTTAACATTAGCAACAAGAATTTATGTCATGTGAAAGGGTCTGTATGAAAGGCTAGGGGCTCAATGCCAGGAGATCAAGCGTGTTGTCAGGGGGTAGACTTTGAGAGTGGTGTGGATGAGCAGGTCTGCAAAGGTTGACATTGGAGAACAAGAGGTAATGAAAGAGAAGACTTCCTGAAGAAGAGCATGCGAGGGACATGATTTGGCTGAAGAGATTTGAGCAGGGTCCCCAGGCCAGGAGAACACCTTGAGCAAGGACTTGGAGGCCACAGGCTGAACAGGAAGCCTTCTTCTCTACATACATGAGGCCTTCCTGGACAGACCCACAGATTCTCCTGGCTTACTTCGTAACACTCTCCAGCGTCCACACTAGTGAAGGTTTGACCTGTTCACATAACCTTTTACAAATGGTGTGGTATTTTTTTAAAGTTCTTGTGGGCCAGGCACATTGGTTTCACACCTGTAATCTCAGCACTTTGGGAGACCGAAGCAGGCAGATCACCTGAGGTCAGGAGTTTGAGACCAGCCTGGCCAACATGGTGAAACCCTGTCTCTACTAAAAATATAAAAATTAGCTGGGTGTGGTGGCATGCACCTGTAATCCCAGCTACTCGGGAGGCTGAGGCAGGAGAATCGCTTGAACCTGGGAGGCAGAGGTTGCAGTGAACCGAAGTTGCACCACTGCACTCCAGTCTGGGTGACAGAGCGAGAATCTGTCTCAAAATAAATAAATAAATGAATAAATAAATAAACTTTCATTGTTTTGGCTGCATCCCCATCCCTTCTCCCATGGCTTTTAATTTAAAATCACCCCTGACTGATGAGGAGCAGGGAGCTCTTTTGGGCCTTGGATCTACGTTGTTTTCCCCAGTTCAGCAGATATTTTATCTCATTTTTATTTCCATGTCTGCTTCTGCTTTAGAATCGGGAGATGTGACTCATTGGCCCCCTCAGCAACCTCAACACCCCCAGAATCATTTCAAAATGTCACCTTTTCTGAACCTTCCTTGATTCTCAGCATATTCATGGGTTCCTCCTCTGGCTTCTGCAGCTGTTTGCACACACTTGACATGGGCTTAAGACACTGTCTCTGGACTATCACGGTACCAGACAGGAAACTTGTAGAATCTGACCTGTCTGTTCCTTGCTGGCTCCCCCAACTCTCAGTGCAGAACAGGTGCCTAATAAGCGTTTAGTCAATCCGTGATGAACAGATAGCCATGGCTACTGAGACAGGGGCAGCAGAAAGGCATTGGCAGAGCCCCAAGCCAGCTTGGTAGTGATCATGAGAGGCCTATCCCATAGGATGGCTGTTATAATATCCCAAAGAGATATCTCTGTACCCAAGGCTCCAAGCCACACCTCCAAGAAGCCTGAGCTTAAAACAGAATTTTCTGGGGCCCAGGCCCTGTCTTGGGAAAATGTAGGTTTTTCCCTCCTGTCCCCATCCCCACTCTAGTGACTGCCTGTGCCTGGCTGCTGTCTAGGTTATCCCATTCGGTTACCAACTTTGGAGAGAGGAAATTAGAAGCTACTATTAAAAACCAACCACTTTGGATCCTAATAAAAAAATGCACCAACTATAAAAAGACATTCTCAAATAACAGCACAATTTCAGTGTGGACAGGGTAATATTAGAGAATTATTGTTTTGCTGGTTTTGTCAGGGGTGATGAGTACTTGTATATAGGTAAGGCCACGTATATTTAGAGTCATACTCATTTAAAGTTTTTATCAGAAGTATGTGCAGAAGAATAGACAAGTGAAATGATATAATGTCTGGAATTTGTTTTAAAATACTTCAGGAAAATAAAGAGGTGAGAAAGACATGAAACAAGATAGGGATAATGTTGACAATTTTTGAATCTAAGTGACAGTTATATGGGATTTCGTTTTATTATTCTGTGTATATTTGAAAATATTTTATTAAAAAAAAAGTCATCCTCTTGGTCTCTCCCATCTTGAGGCTGTAAACAAACAGCAGCCTCTCAGGCCCCAGAGCGTCACTCCCTCATGGAGTGCCCTGTGTTCTTTTTGTCTGAATGTGATTGTTTCTATGTATCAGTTCGATTAGAACCCACAGACCTACTAGTGTGACAGCTTTATTAATACAGTCAGATTCAGCTTTAAAAAAAAAAAGATGGATGATGTCAACAAGCTTTGAAGAATAATAAGGTGTTTTGCAAAGTCAAAGGGATGAGGGGAGCCCAGAGCAGGCCTGCCCCTAGACTAGAGCATGACCTTCATCACAGTGAGAAAATTTTCCTGCCACAGAAATAACCACACGAACCAGGGGTGATGAAAGCAAAAGCACCAGGCCCTGGGCTTTGCCGGCTGCGAGCAGAATTTGCCCCCTACCGGGGCTAGTGCCAGAGCACAGACCACCCAGCAGTGGGAGTAATTAAACTAGCAAAGGTCACTGATTCATAATTTATGTCCCAAGGGCTCAGTTTAACCATCAGCCCCTCCTCGCCCACTAGGGCCCACCTCAGCTTCGAAGTGAAGGGGACCATCTGAAGGTTTCTAGGGCACAGCAACACCTCTTTACCTTACCTAGAGGCAGACTGCTCTCTGGAGCTGAGGGCAATTTCTGTTCTCTTGTGGTTCAGTTGGTGACCCTTAATGGGGGATTTTATCAAGGTCATACTTTTAGATTAGAGGCCACTCAGTAAGGACTTATCAAGTTCAAACAATAATCACAGAGCTATCAGTTATTGAGCATTTACTGTATGCTAGGCCTTTTACGAGTACTATCACATTCAATTCTCCTGGCAATTCTAACAGGTGCTTGTATTATCCCCATTCTACAGTTGATGAAATGGAGGTTTGGAAGTACTGTATACAGAGAGAGAGAATAAATTACACAGACACGATTTACGTCCACCTTTTTCTAACTCCAAGACCCATACTCTTAACTTCCTCTGTGTCTTGCCAATTGGAATTGTGTTGGGCTAAAAATGAGGGTCATCCAACTTTCTGAGTGACAGTTGACTGTGGTCTTCTCTTAAGTTTAAAGACTAGCTGTGGCTAGAAAGAAGGGAAGCTCTCTGCCTTGCCCCAAAATCCTTTATTCTTGCTCAAGCCACTCAGCCACAGAGCACACCAGAAACATCCCCCAAAGGTAAGCTCTGAACATCCTCAAGTGTCTGTGGTGGTTGCCCTGGGACCTGACCAGCTTTGTGTTGGCCCCACCCCTAGCTTTCCCTGACATTCTGGGTTGGCAGGTGGAGTCTCAGCTCCTGTCTCTGGTGCGGGTGGCCTTTAGCTTTTGTTTCTCTGGTATTGCACAAGTGACCTCTTGGCTGCTGCTGCAGAGCTTGTGGTAAATGTCAGGATGCCTCGTTCCTGCTGCTCAGTTGGGGACCTCTGAGAACTAGCTCCAGCCCCCACCCGACAGGGCCAGGACCCAAGCAAGATGCCTGTGATGTGGCACCTGCTCTTTCTGTCTAGAGTGTGACGATTCTTGGATATCCAAAAACTATTTATATGAAAGGTAATTCCTTCCTCAGTCATTCTTAAGGTTCTTTTTCAATTGCCAGCCTGCCATGGCATCCGAGGAGAAATGAAGAAGAGGATTTTGTCTTCACTTGGGTGGGAGCAGCAAGAGAGGTAGCAATGCCCTGGAAGAACATGAAGGAGGCAGCAGGAGTAGTCAGCTGCTCCCCGGCGAATGGGAGGGAGTGAGGCCACTGGTTCAAGGAAGAGGACTTCCAGAGCATGGAGTCAATCAGGCAGCACCTGCCTGGAGGTTCTCTGGAGGCGCCGAGTACCAGCACCGCAGAGGTCAGAGAAAGGAGAGCAAGGCCTCCCAGGAGGGTGGCTCCTGGTGCAGGAGATTGAGCTCTACGGGAAGATCTTGAAGCTTTACCTGGTAGATCTTTACAGCAGTTGTTCTCACCCTGCGGCCCAGGTTTTAGGAACTCCAGGTGAGAAGGAAGACATGCCCCTCTCCTCCTCTGTGGTCAGCAAACCTTCTCTTTGCTTTGAGACACTTAGTGGTTTTTCCCTCCTCTCCTTTGCAAGCAGGAATTGATCTACCTAAAAATGATTCCCCAACTCCCAAACTTTGAAACTCCTATCTCAGCTAATTCACCCAGTTAAACTATCTTGAGCACCTACTAGGTAACAGACAATATAGCAAGGGCTGGGAATACCAAAGTGAACAAAACAGAACTTGTGGTCTAGTCCCTGACATATCTGTCTAGGAGATGGAGAAGTAAATTAGCAATTACCGTAAAATCTGAGGGCAGTGACAACAGCAGAAATGGAGGGCTCAGGGGGCATCTAACCCAGATTAGGAAGATGGGACCCTCTCCTAAAGGAGATGCTCAAAACAAGGCAAGTCTCAATGTTGGTATCTCTGGGCCTAGCCCGTGTGGGAATGAGAGGCTCTTCAGAATTGAGGGAGGTCACCGAGGTACTTTCTTGTCTGCATGAGGGTGACAGAGGAAAGCATTGTCGAAGTTCCGCTCACAAACCCGAAGGCAGAGTGAAGCCACTGTGAGCCTCCCAGGACACCTCCCTCACCAGCTCAGTTAACAATTAGAATGGCTTCCAGAGAAAACAATGGACTTCCATTTGCTGTGCTGTTTGGCTCTAACAGTTTAATCCAATGAATAATGAAAAGCCTTTGCCATCCTCCCTACTGCCCCCAACCCTAGGTTAGCACAGCTGTGAGGAAAGTGATTGGTTTTTGTCAATTTTCATGCGCAAGAATCATAAAGAATTGGATGAGAGGCAAGCCAGGCCATCCAATCCAATCCAATCCCTACTGGGGCTGAGGCATTCATGCTCTGTGCTGTCCGTGGCTTCCCTGAGCCATGGAGCTGTGACCCTGCAGTCATGCCCACGCCTGTTCTCCTTGCAAGCATCTGCATCCAAGCCCCACTTCAGCAACCTCCTGCCCCTGAGCCCTCCTCCTGAAGCCACAGGCTTCACTATTGCCCCTCCTTCCTTGTCCTCCTTCCCTCATGGGCCTCTTCTGCCCACCCTCTTCCCCAGGCTGGGGAGGTTGGGCTCCATCAGCCACAGCTGACTTCTGCTCACCAGGTCAGTGGGCAACTCTACAACCCACCATGGAGATGCCTACTCAGGAACAGAGGCCTCAGTGAGCTCCCGGCCTCCCCTACATAATTTTCTCGGCAGTTTTTAAACTCTCCATCTTACAAAGGCTGCTGAGGTGTCCAAAAAGCTCAACAGCCACCTGGGAGGAGGAGAGCCTATCAGAGAACCTGTCAGGTGCTTCCAGGAGCAAGGCTGAAAAATCCCCCTGGGGGTGTGTGTCTGAATGTGGTCTATGTATGTGTGTCTAAGAGTGTGTGTGTAGGGAAAATAATTACTCAGAATGAAACGAAATATGTTCCCATCAAGCTTAGCTGCTGTTCCCACCAGCAGCCTAAACAAACACAGCATCACCCACCCACAGCTCTGTTACCTAGCCCTGGCACTGGGCTGTCTCCCCACTGCTGGAGAAAATTCCACTATTACCAGGGCATTAGACAAAGTCTCTAGGGTGACAGATCACTGCTGCATACCCTGAAGGGTAAGTTGCCACCCCCCACCTCCCCTGGCTACTGCCGCCACCCTTATTTAACTTTCTTTCTTTCTTCTTATTTTTTTAGAGACAGATCTTGCTCTGTCACTCAGGCTAGAGTACAGTGGTGAGATCATAGCTCATTGCAACCTTGAACTCCTGACCTCAGGTGATCCTCCTGCCTTAGCCTCTTAAAGCACTGGGATTACAGGCAGGAGCCACTGCTCCCAGCCCCTTGTTAACTTCCTGGTGCCCAGGTCAAGGCCAGCCTCTCCCTCCTCTTCATTGGCACCCCTTGGTTCTCTGCCCTCTCCCAGTTACCTGGGCACTTTGCTAATTTGGGAGGCTTGAGAGTCGAAATCCAATGTCTGACAGCCTCACCTGGGGCCCTCCCGTCTCCCACTACCAGCTCTGTGGTTGGGAGGGAGGGGTGTGAGAAGAATGTGTGTGAACTGGGGAGAAAAGAGCAGAGAGAGGTAGAAAGGGTGGGGAAGGAGTGGGAAGCAAACTTTGCCTACCTCATTAGCAGCACTAATTGTGCAGTAATGACTTGGTGGTATTATCAGAAATTTATCCCGGAAAACAGTCAGCTGCCCCAGAAGACACACGCGTGCTTTACAGCGATGGCTTGACATGAGAAAAATCAGCAATTTCTTTAAAAAAAAATGTATGAATATATTTTTCTCCTCAATCAACACTTTTGGTAAGCAATTTATTCTAAAAAAGAAACTTTTCATGACCCCAACTCTGGAGAGCTTGCAGAGGAATATTGACTGGGTGCTTCCTGGCTTCCTGTGGCTTCACTGGAATCTCCTTGAGGGCTGGGGTTGGGCCTCCCTCTGCCTTGGCCTCTGAGGCTGGAACAAGCCCAGCTCTTGATAACAACCCAGCTGAGTAAGATGAGCATCAGAGCAGTGAACTGGGATTCCTGAGGGTCCAGGGTCCTCTCTCGCCCCTTGTCCTTTGCTCACTCCTTCCTGTGAAATGCTTATTTTTGCCTGAGCTCCCTGTGTCACAGGTATCCTGCAGCCTAGAATGAATGTGCTCCCCCATTCCTTCCAGTTCCAGACGAACTACTCTACTCACAACTCTGCTCTTCCAAGAAGCCTTCCCTGACTTGGCCCGTGGAACTGTCCTCTGGGATTCCTCCTGCACTCACACACTCACTTTGCATCGCATTACACTCACACATTCAGCCTTCTTCAAAGTGATAGACATTTGCTGTGTGTGGATCAGGTGTGAGGCGCTGAGGGTATAAAGATCAATGAGAGATAGATGCAGCTCAGCAGCTCATGGCCTAGTAATAGTCAACAGTATGGTTTGTTAAACTCTGTGACAAAGAAAACCATTGGGTGCCATGGGATGTCAAGAAAGGGAATATCTGAGTCAGCTCTGGAAGTCAGAGAACGGGATATTCTGAGTGCTTCGTTCATATCAACTCATTTAAACCACCCAGTAAACTAATGAGAGAGGTACTACTATTATCATCTCCATTTTATGGACAAGAAAACAGAGGCACAGAAAGGTTTAGTAACTTGCCCAAGGTCACACAGCTACTATGTCATTCATTCAATTGGATGGCAGATCCAAAATTTGAACCAAGCAATCTAGCTGCAAAGCCTACACATTTTTTTTCCTCCAACTTTTGTTTTAGGTTCAAGGGGTACATACACTGGTTTATTGCATGGGTAAATTGAGTGCCTCAGGGGTTTAGTGTACAGATGATTTTATCACCCAGTTAATCAGCATAATACCCGATGTGTTGTTTTTCACTTGTCACCCTCCTCCCACTCTTTACCCTCAAATAGACCCCCGTGTCTATTGTTCCCTTCTTTGTGTCCATGTGTATTCAATGTTCAGTTTCCACTTATAAGTGAGAACACGTGGTATTTGGTTTTCTCTTCCTGTGTTAATTCGCTTAGGATTATGGCCTCCAGTTCCATCCATGTTGCTACAAAGGCCATGATCTCATTTTGTATAGCTGTGTAGTATTCCATGGTATATATGTTCCATATTTTCTTTATCCAGTCCACTGTTGATGGGAATCTAGGTTGATTCCATGTCTTCGCTTTGTGAATAGTGCATACACATGCATGTGTCTTTATGGTAGAACAATTTATATTTCTTTGGGTATATACCCAGTAATGGAATTGCTGGGTCAAATGGCAGTTCTATTTTAAGTTCTTCGAGAAATCTCCAGACTGTTTTCCACAGTGGCTAAAGTAATTTATGTTCCTACCAGCAGTGTATAAATGTTCCCTTTTCTCTGCAACCTCACCAGCATCTGTTACTTTTTGACTTTTTAATGATTGTTATTCTGACTCGAGTGAGATGGTTTCTCATTGTGGTTTTTATTTGCATTTCCCTAATGATTAGTAATATTGAGTGCTTTTTTCATATGCTTGTTGGCCACCTGTATGTCTTTTGAGAAGGGTCTGTTCATATTCTTTGCCCATTTTTTAATGAGGTCGTTTTTTGCTCGTTGATTTATTTGAATTCCTTATGAATTCTGGATACTAGACCTTTGTCAGATGCATAGTTTGCAAATATTTTCTCCCACTCTGTAGGTTTTCTGTTTATTCTATTGATAGTTTCTTTTACTGTGCAGAAACTCTTTAGTTTAATTAGGGTCCCAGTTGCCAATTTTTGTTTTTGTTGCAATTGCTTTTGGAGCATTTGTCATGAAGTGTTTGCCAGGGCCAATGTCTAGAATGGGTATTGCCTAGACTTTCTTTTGGGTCTTTACAGTTTTAGGTTTTGCATTTAAGTCTTTAATCTACCTTGAGTTGATTTTTGTATATGGTGAAAGAGAAGGGTCCAGTTTCAATCTTCTGCATAAAGCTAGCCAGTTATCCCAGTACCATTTATTGAATAGGGAGTCCTTTCCCCATTGCTTGTTTATCTTGGCTTTGTCAAAGATCAGATGGTTGTAGGTGTGCAGCTTTATTTCTGGGTTCTCTAACCTGATCCGTTGGTCTTTGTGTCTGTTTTTGTACCAGTACCATGCTGTTTTAATTACTGTGGCCTTGTAGTATAGCTTCGTTGGGCAGTGTGATGCCTCCAGCTTCGTACTCTTTGCTTATGATTGCTCTGGCTATTCAGGCTCTTTTTTTGGTTCCAAATGAATTTTATATATATTTTTAATTCTGTGAGAAATGTCATTAGTAGTTTGATAGGAATAGCATTGAATCTGTAAATGGCTTTAGGCAGTGTGACCATTTTAACAATATTAATTCTTCCTATCCAGGTACATGAAATGTTTTTCCATTTGTTTGTGTCAACTCTGATTTCTTTGTGCAGTATTTTGTAATTCTCCTTGTAAAGATCTTTCACCTCCCTGGTTAGCTCTATTCCTAGGTATTTTACTATTTTTATGGCTATTGTGAATGTGATTGCATTCCTGATTTGACTCTCTGGTTAGATGTTATTTGTGTATAGAAATGCTACTAATTTTTGTACATTGATCTTGTATCCTGAAACTTTGCTAAAATTGTTTATCAGATATAGGCGCCTTTGGGCAGAGACTATGAGGTTTTCTAGGTATCGTATCATATTGTCTGTGAAGAGAGATAGTTTGACTTTCCATCTTTTTATTTTGATGCCTTTTATTTCACTCTCTTGCCTGATTGTTCTGGCTAGGACTTCCAGTACTATATTGAATAAGAGTGATGTGTATGGGCATCCTTGTCTTGTTCTGGTTCTCAACGGGAATGCTTCCAGCTTTTGCCCATTCAGTATAATGTTCAAAGCCTACAGTCTTAACCTGCGTGTGCCACTGCATCCAGTAGGAACAAGCTGGGTGATGAGGAAAAGAGGGAAGGTGTTTGGGGCAGAGGGACAAGCAGTCACAAAGTTCTAGACTCTAGAATGGAAGAGAAGAGGAACTGCAGGAACAAAATGAGCAAAAATGCAGAAGGTGGGGTGGAGAGTGAGGACAAGGGACAGGGATTACCACTCTGTGACCACCGCATAGGTGGCCCGCAGAGGATACCCAGGAGTGTCTAGAGAGAAGGCTACATAAGTGGACAAAGGCCAGATCTGGAAGGGCTTTGTTTGCCATACTGGAGGGTTTCAATTTCATCTCAAAGGCCCCAAGAATTCTATGAAGGATTTTAACGGAGAGGGTGACATATTCATATTATCCCATAACATAACTGCCATGATCTGGAAGAGCGCTATTGGGTGCTGGAGCTAGGGCAAGGACAGTGATTCCAAGGATGAGGGTATCCTTACGTATGTTATCTCATTACATACAACAAGGCGGACAAGGGTTCAAAACACTTGAGAAATAGAAACAACAGAATTCAGTCATGGATGAATGCAGACGAATAAGGGAGAGGGAAGCATCAAAGAAGCCTCTGAGATTTTTAGTTTGAGCCACTAATTTGGTTTGGTTATAGCCTTCTTTAAGGAGAGAGGTGGAGCAGGTTTGTGAAGGAAAATATAATTTCTGTCTTATATGTATTGGATTCAGAAGGTCTAGGGTCAAGTTGTTCAGAACAGGAATTTATAAATGCACATGGAGAAGCAAGGAGAGATAGATGAGTCAGAGATGCAGAATTGGAAATCCTTAGGGTGGGCGCTGGAGTGAGACTGCATGGGTTTAAATTCTGGCTCTATCATTTGGTACCTGCAAATTGAAGGCAATAATAGGATTGTTGTGAGGATTAAATTATGCAACCCTTATTAAGCAAGCAGCATGGATCCTGGAAAAGAGTAAGTGCTCAGTAAATGTTTACCATTACTATTAATGTTGGCATTGTTTGGTATCTGAAGCCCTATAAATGGATAAGACCATTCAGAGAGCACTGAGATAGGAGAAAGAAAAGCTGAGAGCTGAACCCTGGAGAAAGCAGAGGGTTGACAGGAGGCAAAGGAGAAAGTAAAAGAAACAGAAAGGGAGGGAAATCCAGGGAGAATCATGTCAGAAGAGAATTTCACTGTTCATGTGGGTTGTGCAACTGCGCATCAAGGAGGTCAAAGAACTCATTTTCAGTCAATTTCACACACAGCCTCTTTACACAACTGATGGTGTGCACTCCCTCAGGACAGAGCCCATATGCTCAGGGCTCTGTATGTGGTGTGGCTGAAGGCCATTGTATACAGGAAACAGCACAGGATTGCATCCCATGTGCCTGGCACAGACTGGGTCTTAGTAGGACCTCAATAAATGTTGAATGAGTGAACGAGTGGCATGAAAAGACAGACTTGAGCTCTGGCTCGGCCACTCACTAGCTGTGAATCCTGAGCCAGTTATTTCTAGCCTCTCTGGGACCTCACCAGTGAAATGAGAATAATACTGTCCAATCTTGGGGTTGTTGTATGAAATGAGATAACATACGTAAGACTGTTGTGTAAACTGTGCCATGCTTTACAAAGGTAGAGAAGTATTAATAAAGGTTGGGGGCTGACTCATTAAAACCATTACTATGGCTCTAGCAAACAGCAGAAATGTATATAAGGCTTGGGGGCTGGGATAGAAAAGGATTTTTATTCTACCAAATGGATGGAAGCTGGAATTTGGTAAACAGATTTGTTCTCTCCAGGGACTCCAACACCTCAGTTCTGTAGGGGGCTTCAGTCCACTGACCCAAAGCATGCTCTGTTGATTCTTCCTACCTGAATTCTGTTGAAATCAAGAATTAAGACTTCCTAGTTTTGACAGGGCCTTTTCAGGTTTGTTGTTTTAATTAGTTTTGGCATTTTATCTGGTTTCCTTTCATTAGTGGAACAGCCAGAGACCTAAGATTGCAAACTCTCTCCAGGCTCCTTGGGGAGAGCTCCAATCTTTGGAGTCCTGGTCTTACAAGAATCTTGGCTTGGCCCTTTCCTGGAAGCAGGGCTCTGACCACAGGACACAGTCCAGGCACAGAGACACCCCAAGCTGCTCTCTGAGGAGTCCTACCTCTGTCAAGAGTGAAGCAACCAAGCACATATGGAGCCATGAAGCTGTCTGGCCCCAACCCCGTATTTTATCAATGACACCATCTTTCCTCTAGACCAGTAACTGGGTCCAAGAGGCAACTGAAATGGCTAAGGTCAAAGAGCCAAGAGCATTGCAAAGAGGCACAGGAAAAAATCTTTCACTGCATTGTAATTTATTTCTAAATTTTTATTTATTGTAAAGGCAATTTTAAAATATTGTAACCTTTTGTAAGAAAATAAGAAAAAGTATTCACATCCCCACCATCTTTCTGCCGCATGGTGAAGAAGGAAGGAGCGCTGATCTGCTGTCTGAAGGCCTGAATTCCAGTTCTCTGCCATCTCCTCCCTTGTGGACTAGGAACCAGTCACTTAATCTCCTCATCTACTAGATGGATGATTAGGATCCACCCATTGTGCCTCTCAGTATTTTTGTAAGAATTACATGAGATAAATTCCTTCTGGACAATTTGCAGAGACTTGCCCCATGGAAGAATACAGGTTAACCTCTGAATAGTGTACCTGCTAAATTTTCCTCTACATTCTGAAAAAAGGAAGAAAGGGGACAGGAACCATCATTTAACACTTGCCATGGATCAGTCACAGTACCTTCACCATTTAACCCAACTCATGTAATCCTTGCCTTGTACACTGTGAAGCAGGCCCTATATGTCCCGTTTTACAAATGAGGAAGCTGAAGTTCAGAGAGCTAAAGTATAGCACCTAAAGCAATCCAGTTGGTAAATAACAGACCCAGGATTTGAACGCAGATCTGTCCAACTCCAAAGCCGTGCTGTTTCTTCTGTACAAGGTCAGTGAGAAGAGGACTATTTGGCTCCCTTCCTAGCCCTTCCATTCTGACATCATCTTCACTTCTCAGTAATGGAGACAGACCTCGACCCACCATGGTTAGGCCTAGCTCTAAAGTTGTTTGAAGGATGATACTGCCTTCTGACCTTCAACCTGTCTCTGCTTCCCCGAACTCCAGCCTGCTTTTGTCCACAAAGCCAGGCTGGATGCAGAAAACATTGTCCAGTCTTCCCAAGTCTGATGTGGAATATTGTGTGCTTGAGCAGAGAGCACAGAACAGAGATGAGACTGCTGAAATAGGGGAGGAATGGGAGAGAGGCAAATATACCCTGGTTCAGGATGTTTGAACTGCCAAGCATATTTCTTGGAATAAAAGCAAGAATGGACGCTTTCAAAAAGCACCTAGGCATTGACCTTGAGCTCTGCAACGTCTTCTGCATCTTCTCAGGTAAGGAGGAATCCCTGAAAACTCTGATGATGGCTTGGGACAGCATGATTTGCAGAAGTCACCCAGCTTTGGCTAGATTTGCTATCTTGGTATGGGGGCTGGGGGAGAGAGTGTCATCTGCAGGAAATACTGATAAAGCTGTTCTGGCTGAAACCCCATAGGGAATCCATAGTACAGTTTATTCCAAATAATGATATGAAGTTATACCCTCAAATACAGGACCTCAACTTGATTCTGCAGTAGACTAGGTTCAACTGATGTTTGTTTTTTTGAGTAAATTAACACTTCTGCAGAAGGCGGCTACATGCCTCAGTAAGCAGAGGATGGGGGAGGTGGGGAGAAGAGACCAGGGGCCCTCAGGGTTGGGTCAGAGCCTCCTTAGCTTCTATCCACGTGGCAAAGCTGTAGGTGTGCTTGTGTGTCTATTCCTCTGTGTCTCTCCCTGCACGTCAGACAATCCAGCTACAATCGTCAGACTGCTCCCTTTACATTTCTGCTGGGGACTTGGAGGGAGGAGGGAATGGGGAAAGGGCTCCCTATTTAGAAATTGCATTGAGATGGAAAGACAATATGACACATCGGCTCATGTCAAAGGAGCTCATTCTTCCCGCCTACAGCATTAGCAATTTCCTACCAAGGTTCAATTTTTTTAAAGAAATTATTATTTGGTTTTAATTTATTTTATTTGCAACATAACTCAACAAGACATTGCTGCTCAGAGCAGAGTGGGAGCCTGCCCAAGGGCAGAGACTTAAGTTGGGGGCAGGAGATGAGCACATTGGCTATTTCCGAAGAGAGGAGGGCATAGGAGTGGGAGGCCTCTTGTTTCTGTCTCAAACCTCCTCTCATTCTGCCTCCCATTCCACCCCAGCTCCTCTTCCTGCATCTGAGAAGTCTGGTCTGGAGGTGCCCAGACTCGGGATGCTCCATGCATGGCTGTAGGCGCAATGAGAACGATGGGGGAGGGGGAGCTGAAAGTGAGTTGGCCTCTGTAAAACCACCCTCAGCTTCAGAGCCAGGAAAGGCTGCCTCCCTCCTCCCTTTGCCCCAGCCTCCTCTTTTCTCCCTCATGTAAAATCCTAGAGTGCTGTTGCTGGAAGGAGCCTCAAAGAGCTCCTAATCCAACTTCACATAGGCACACTGAGCCCCAGATAGGGGATGTGACAGCCTCGTGGCTGCTTTGGTGCACCAGCCCTGAATCCCAGCCCTCCCAGGCCCTGTCCAATGTACTTATTTGCCACCACTCCATGCTTAACTGTCTCTGCTCCTGCTTCTCTCCTCCCCACCCCTAAACCCAAACTCAGAATGGGATTTCTCTGAGAGATAGAATTGAAGGGCAACAATTCCACTTCTTTCCACCTCTTTCCCTCTCTGGGTTTGAGTGGGACCCTGGATCCTCCCTCCCAGCTCTTGGTGGGACCCTGGGACTCTGAATTTTATCTCTTCATATGGGAAGAAGCAAAGGTGTGTTTGGGGGTTGGGTTTGCAGGGCAAAGGGGTTTGAGAGACAAAAAAGTTTCCATCATTACATGAAGAATTTTTCTGCTTTGTGGCTGGTTATGTGACCACAGTGGTATCAGCAATTGACCTGGGGGCTGGGGGAGGTAGCGGGCTAAAGAGGACAACTAGGGTGAGGCTTTACCTTAATGTCTCCTTCTGAATGTGTGTTTCTTTACCTGTACATCTGTCTCCCTGTCTGTTTCTCTGTTCTCTATTTCCTATAACTGTCTCTCTGTATCTCTGTCTCATCCTCTGTCTCTCTCATTTGTATCTGTCTCTTGCCTCTATTTCTGTCTCTGTTTCTTTCTCTCTGTCTCTCTCATCTCTGTCTCTCCCACACACGCTAACTCCTACAATCCAACTTCAATAGCTATTGACTGACCCAGGGGCCCTAACCTGTTTCTGCAGCCCTATCAGGGCAGCAGCTCCTTCACACTGCTAGATTGAGAAATGCCAGGTCCGGAGCTGCTGCCGGGGCGCCAGAGACGCTGCAGAAGCGCCTGCCGAGTGTGGAGGCTGAATCCAGGAACAATGAGAAATTATCTGTTAATTCTCGGCTCCTGCCACCTGCTCTGCTCCAAACAAGCTCCTTTGCCTTCAGTTTAGATGCAAATTCCCCCACTCGATGTAAGCAAAATATTGATTTCCCTGCATCACAGGTCTGGGCCCTTGGAATGGTCCTGTGTTTTTTCATTCTCTGCAAAGGCAAAACAAGGTGCTTTGTTCTGTGAATTTCCCCCAGGAACTCGCGAGGGGGAGGGAGAAATAGCAGGGGAGTGACAGAGTTGCCATAAACACGGGCAAAGAGCAGTTCTCCATTTGTATTTTACATAAACACAAACCTGCCACTTGGGAAACTGCTAATAAGCGTTTAGCCAGAGGCTCTTCTGGGTGCTGAGATCTGCATCGGGTGATGGAAAAGAAATTAATGGGGCCTCTAGGCTCCTCAGGTGGGTTTTCAGAAGCACCAGGAAGGCGCATAGGGATGCCAGAGCCCCACTTGTTCTTGGAACAGCAACCAAACACCTCCAGCAGGAAGGCAGCCCGGATTGCACAGTATCGCCTGCGTCGTGTCTGCTTGGTCCCTGCCTGAGTTCCTAGCCTTCTGCTATCACAGGCACAGGGGTCAGGGTGGAAGCTGCGAACCTTCAACAATTGCCTCTCCCTCGTCCCCTAAACTTATGCCCACGCGATGGTAGCACCAACTGGGTCTTCAGCACCGTGGACAGAGCCAGGGGGCGCCTCACGGTGGAAAAGCCGCCTGGCTGGGCCAGGGTCCTCACAGGCCTTGCCTTAGCCCTTGGTGCCCCAGGCACCAGCTGCTAGGGGATCGCAAGTCCAAGGGCCGGTTGGCACAGATGGCGCGCAGTGGAGACCGCCAGGAGCTAAGGCTCCGAATCTCCTCCCTCCGGAACGTGAGTCACTGCCCGAGTCACTTCCAATAAGCGTGTTAATTAAGAGGCAAGACCTTTCTCCCTCGCCAGCCACTCGGGCATACACCAACCCAGCAGCCTCCAGGGGCTGCAGCTAAAGCTTCCTTCCCAGCTCCGGGAGAGCAAATGGACCTGAGTCTGGGGCTTCAGGCGAGCCCCACACAGAAGGGGCCCCACCGCCGACAGGTGTAGATCAAGAGACTCCCGAGATAGGCCCCTGCAGGGCGCTGGTCCCCCGGCCTCCCTGACCATGGCTCACAGACTTCCAGCGCTGAGTGAGGCAGCTCGAAGCCTCTCAGCCGATCTGTTCCTGGGCCTCACTCCACAGTTTCTGAGGGGATCTCTACTTTAAGTCTAGCCTCAATCCTCCCGTTGAGCTTTCTGTCTTTCTTGTTATGCTTAGCAGAAAGATACATGATCTCTGGTGCTGTTTCACCGAAGCAAGGAGGTGGGTCGGCGGAACTGAGCGCCCTGCGCCCTCTTGAAATGACCCCCCATTCCTGTTTGCCAGAAACTTTTCCCTCCCGTTGCCATGGAGAGAGACGGCCGCTGCCTCCCGTCGCCATAGCAACATGCGGGTACCGCGGACCGCAGGATTGCGGAGCTCGGAAAGTCTTGCAGTTCGCATCGCCCGCCTGTCTTGGGGTCTTCTACCTCCGAAGCTGGGACTCGGGGGCCAGTCTAACTGCTCCCGTCAGGAACCTCGGCCAAGGTCCTCCCAGACCCTGCCTGACCGTCGCTCTTTCTGTTACGGGGTTATCTATTTCTCTGTCATTCGTGTGGCATGTGGCAGTTTACCCAGTGTTTTCACAAACACGATCTTTCTATCCCCAGGGAGTCCGTGAAGTACTTAAAATCATTACACCTCCTTTACGGAGAGGAAAATTGAGGCTCAGAGACGCCCAAGGTCACACCAGGCAGTGAATGCGGAGTGGGAACCCGGACTCTTTCCTGGCCTTGCACCCTCCGAGATTCGGGACAGCCCGGCTTCCCGCCTCGAAACCCCCACCCCCCGGACTCAGGCCAGTCCCTGAGTGTAGAGGGGGCGGCCGCGAGGCGCCAGACTCGCCAGCTGCCGCGGGATGCCACGTGAGGGGCGGGGACCCTGCGGGGAAGTGATTAAAAGCAGAGCGGAGCCGCAGGGGGCCGCTGCAGGGAGGGTCTTCTTGGGGCCGTCGTGCCCCGCCCCAGTGCGGCCGGGGCGCGGGTTCGAGCTGCTGCTCGGCAAGCCTGGGTGTCTAGGGCATGAGCGGAGTGTGGGGGGCCGGCGGGCCTCGGTGCCAGGAGGCGCTCGCGGTCCTCGCCTCGCTGTGCCGGGCCCGGCCGCCCCCTCTCGGGCTGGACGTGGAGACTTGTCGGAGCTTCGAGCTGCAGCCCCCAGAGCGGAGTCCCAGCGCGGCAGGCGCAGGTAACGGGAGACCCAGGGCCCCCTCCCTTCCTGGATATCCGTCCTGCGATCTCCCTTCCCCAAAGCCCCGGTCCCAGGAGCCCCAGAACCTAGAGAGAACTCCCCAGCTCGGGATTCTGGATTGGGAGCCAGCCTCGTCCAGCCCTCTGGCCCATCGCTTGCACAGCCAGGAGAGACCCGAAGGGGAGCGGAGGTTGGGGTAGAAGCCCCCGGCCCTCCTGTATTACTACTGCGGAATGCGGGGGACCCCGCAGACAGCCAGGCTCCCAGGACGGGGCACCCTTGGGGCTTCAGTTTCCCTCGCATCTCCAAGCTCGCTCTGCGGGCGATTTGCCAGGAGAGGGGTCCATGGAGAGAGCGGGAGACGAGGGGCGCCCGGCTGAGGAATAGGGCTTGCCTCCTAGCGAGTGTCGAGGTCCCCGGGTCCGTGCGTCGGTCTGTCCGTCCGTTTGTGTGTTCTCGCGGTGAACGCGGGCGGACCCCCAGTCTCTCCGGGAGAAACTTGGGTCTGCGGCTGGCACGAGGTCTTTGTGTCCGGGTGTCTCTCCGGCTGCGAGTGGTTTTCCGCGTCTCCGCTGGGGGGCGGGGGACAGGGGGCGGGGTGGGGGAGGGTATGAGGGTGTTGCGGCGTCCTTCCCCCACCCCCTCTCGCCCCTATAACTCGCTCCCTCCGTCCCTCTCGGACTCGGACTCGGGGCCGGTGCGCGACTGAGCTGGCGCCTCTAGCCGACTTTGCCAAGAGGGCGCCTCCTGCCCGATCCGCGCTGACCCTGCGCGGGACGCAGCCCCAGGCGGCTGCCTAGCCGAGGCGGGAGCCCGAGCTGAGTCGAGCTCGCCGGAGCGGGTGAGTCCCGAGCCCGATCCCCGCCGGGCTGGACCCTGGCGCGCAGCTGCGGCGTCTCCGGGGAGTCGCGGCAGGGGGAATGGCGTGTCGCGCCCTGGCGGCGGGAGCTGCGGGAGGGTCGGCGACGTGGCGGCCGGCCCAGGGTATTTACCTGCTGCACCAGTGCCCGGCAGCCACGCTCGCCGGCTGCCGCGGGGCTTCTTTGTCCCGATATCTGGAGGGTCCGGGGCGGGAGGGAGTACTGGGTCGCGTCCCCTCCATGGGGGAGGGGCTGGGGGAGTGAGAGGCCTGGAGATAATGCGGAGTGGGGGTGGGGAGATCCTGCAAGGACCAGGACGCCGGGGTTCCAGGAGACTCTGCAGGCTCCATCCCTCCTTATTCCCCCACCCCGACCCCAGTAGCGCTGGGCCTAGGAGCACTCGGGAGTTGCTCAGTGGCTCTGCACCGCTGGCGCGGGAAGGGGAGAAAGGGGCTGCCAGAGGCGGGAATTTGGTCCCCACGCGCTGCTCCAGGGACGAGAAGCCAGGGACCGGCGGTTCTGGGAGCAGGTACAGGTGGGGTAAACTCCCCAGCGGCTGCAGGTCCCAGGGTCCTGTTTTCTTTCACTTGAGGTTAAAGGTCGTATATAGAGGTAGATACCCGTGAGGAGCAGTTCGGGGGAGGGGGCGGTGGGCCAAGGGGAGGCTTGTGTGTGTGAGGGGGCTGTATCCAGCCTTGGGGTGAGCGGAGCCCACCTGAGCCCTGTGAGGGTCGTAGGAGGCGCTGCTGTCCCTAGTTGTGGCAATGTTTAGTCAATGGTTTGATCACTGCAGCAGAAGGGACTGAGGTTAGACATAAAGAACTTTTAGAGGGTGGTACAGAGATGGAGGTTGGGGAAGTTGATTCCCTGCCTTGGAGATTCGCAGAACACATTAGGCCTAACAAGTTATTATTATAAGACTCTGGTTCTCTGGTGCCATCCCCTCCTACACCACGCATACACACCAGACACAGAATTTTCCCTATCAGGGAGCCTCTTCCTGCCTCTCCCTACTCCCCAGCTCCCTTCCGTCTTTTCCACCAATGATCCATCTCCAGTGGAGCCTTAATGCTGGTCCTGACCCTCAGAGCCTAGAGGGTGAGAACATACCTGTGGAGTTCCATCTGGGATGGAAGCTGACTCTCCTGTCTGTTCAGGGCAGAAATGCTGGGGGTGACGGTGGAAGTTGCTGGAAGTGGGGCAGGGCTGTATGTGTGCAGCACATCTTGGTAGGGGGAGGCACAGGTGTTCTGACTCCACAGAGATACCCATAATCTGGAATGACAGGTGCCTGGATGGCCAGGTTGAGGGTGAGAAAAGCCTGAGGGGTGAGAGTCGGCAGGCCCAGATGAATTACTATGCCTTCCCTGCAGGCTGCATCAGAAGATGAGTTCTAGTTGTTAGCTCAGGAAAACTTTAACTTTGGCTGCTGAGTCACAAGTCCCAGGAAGCCCAGGGTCCAAGCTGAGAGGCTGAAAGGGATATGGGGAGGCAGGAGCAGACCCTTTGATCATAGCAAGAGAAAGATAGTGGTTGAGAGTGGCCTTGGGATTTTGAGAATTTAGGTGACCAGAGGGTCTGGGGAGATGCCATGGAGTTCAGGACCAGGCCCCAGCTGTTCCGCCTCCCAGCCTGCTCTCTGGGTCCAGATTCTCCAACCAGCACAATGCTAGAGCTTTTCATTTGTTGCAGTTTTATGAAAAATGCAAGTGGCTAGAGCAGGCCCAGCTCTGTTTACCATTTTATGTTTTCCCTTGACTTCTTCCTGTTCTAAGTCTCTAGCTTACAGATTTCTAGTAACACCCTGAGACTGAGATTCAGACTCCACTGTCATTTGCTGAGACTCCTCTATAGGCTAGAGTCTGTGCTAGGAATTGCACAGGAAGTCTCAGTTAATCAGACCCTGACTTGGAAACACCTGTACACAAACTGTCCAAACTAAAAGCAAGTTTCCCCTTTTTCTTTAAAAACTCTGAAGCCATAGGCCTGCTATTCTCCTTAATACACCCCAAGTGAACACTAATAAGCAGTTCTCCACCTTTCATTGTGTCATTTGCCTTGTAGAAATGAATGAACTTTTTCCATAAGCCAAGCTGCAGAGGTTTAGGTATGGTCAGCATGGGTTCTGGACTTAAGGTAGCAAGCAGAGGTCCAGAAGTGCTCCAGCAAATGCAGAAACCTGACAGGAGACCTCAAGCTTCCCTGTTTTTCTTAGGCTGGCAGCCGGGAGTGGTTAACTCCAGTTTACTTGTGGCCATGAAATTTATGTGATGTTTGTCCTTCTCACTGGAAGGATGGAATTCTGCAGATTTTGCCCTTTTTGAGGAAAGGTACAATGCACAATCCTTTAGAACCCAAGGAGATGATATTCTGACTAGTGTGTTTTGAGCTTTAGAGTTCTAGAAGCAGGGTCCAGTATCTAAGAGTTGTAGAGCCCTTAGATTTATAGTTCTAGAAGTTTTCTTCTCCCTCTGACTTTGATGAGAACGTCAAGTAGGGATGGTGGTTTCAGTATGTGTCATCCCTCTAAGCTCTGTACAAAAGACATGTTCTCTTCTAACTGTCTGAAGTTTATCTTCCCTGTCCACAGAGTTAGGGGTATAACATGTGGCTGCAAATAGTGAGGAGTGGCATTGAGGCATCTGGATCAAACCAGGTTTCTTTATGGTCTGTATAGGGTTGTCTGGAGTGGGGAAAGCATGCTAAGACAAAGTTCCGACTAAACTGGGTGGCACCCTTTCTATTCTTGCTTAGGAAAAGAAGCCTCTAAGGACTGAGTCACACTTAGGAACTGAAATCAGAGGAGTCTCTGAAAGTAGAAATAAACAGGGGCATCCAGATCTGGACCCTCCAAGTATAATGACACAACCTCATCCCTCCCTTCTTTCTTCTAGGAGCACTGAACTCTTTCTTGCTCCCCGAGGACCCAGGCAGACCCCTCCTCTCACTAGTTGCAGGTACAAACAGGGAGAGAAGCATAGAGGGAAAAGAATTTCTGGCTGTCTGCCCTCCACCTCCATCACTCCAGCCTTGATCCCACATTCAGAAGGGCCACATGCCCTGACCCCTCAAGCAGAAAGGTACAGTTACCATCCACCAAACTAATAATATTAATAATTGTTAAATTAGTGCCAATGTTCTGTTAGCTGTAACACTCCACATTAGTCTCCGATTTAGCTCTGAATCCCCTAATGATGGTGGAAGTGAGCGCCCAGTCATAAAGCTTGGTGCGGCCGTAATTAGCTTGGCATTGTCTCTCCTCATCACAGCTTTTTCAGGAGCATTAATTCCTTCTCTGTTTGGACTCTGCTAATTATCCCCATTGGTAGCTCAGTCTGGATCTCTGAAAGAAGCAAAGGAAGCAAAAGCCCTCTGCTCCCCTCCCCCCAGCCCTGAATTTTAATTACACCGGTTCTCCTAATAAACTTACAAGCCCTGGCAGAGCTTATTATTAATTATTAATGGGCCACGTCTGAGCCTCAGTACAGAATAGCTCTGTTCTCCCAACACACACACACACACACACACAATCTCTCTCTCTCTCTCTCTCTCAGATATTCCTCAGGTACACCTTTTCCAGAGGCCACTGGTTACTTGCCTGGTGGCTGGTGGGCAACCTGAAGTGTCAGCTTTCCAGGGAAGAAGATGGGGCAGGTGGTCACCAGGCTGGTCATAATCTGAGTCTCTGGGGCTCTGTCCAGGTTCATAGGGTCAGGCCAAAAAGTGGGAGTATCCCTCCCATCCTCTCCTGAGTACAACTAAGAAATGCCTGCCCCCACTCCAACTTCTCTGTCCAGCCTGGGACTCCACAGCTCAATCTGTAGTCCTCCCAGATACGTGATTCAAGAGCCCAGATTTGGGCATCAGCAAGTCCTAGGTTCAAATCCCAGCTCTTCTCCTTAATGCACTGTACCCTTGAACAAGTTACCTGGTTAACATCTCTATGCTTAGTTTCTTTATCTTTAAGGGTGTATACCAATTTCTTAGGGAGGCTAGAAAGGTTAAATTAGATAATGTAAAGGGCATAATGCTCACTATGTATTAATAAATAAATAAATAAATAAATAAATAAATAAATGATATTATTAGTATTTTATGAGTGGTTCTGCCCAGAATCTCTTCTCTTCCCAGGCTAAACGCTCTTCTTCCAAGCTCCTGGGCCTCTGCGTCACTTGCTCCCTGGCCTCTGGGCTGTGCTTTGTCTATGTCTCTGTCTGTGTCTGCACGAGAGCTCCTTGGCCGAGGCAGCTCCTGCTCTCCCCAGCCTGAGCACTGACCGTTTCTGAGGGTCCACCACCAATTCCAGGCCCTGAAGCCAGCCTTCTCTGGCTTTGGGGTGAGTAGGGAAAATGGTTCTTTCTTTTTGCTTCCTCTTCCCAGTTTATCTCTTCAATTACAATCTGTTAGCAAGAACGCCTGTTACTGTTACAAAATGGATTTTTCTGATGTGGGAGCCCATTAGAAAAATGGGAACAATAGCAAGCAATAAGAATTGCTGATGAATTCTAACACTATGGGTGGAGAAGAGGGGAGGGGGCACTAGGGCTGTCTTTGGAGAAAGAAGTGTCAGTGGGGGAAGATAAGAAAGCCCTGAGCTGCTATTTAATAACCCAGCATTTTCTGGAAGAGGAGGGAGACCATGGGCCATCACCCCAACCAGACAGTCTCATTTAAGGTGACAAGCAGATCCTATCCTGATGGCCTTGAAGGGGATCTCAACTTCCCAGGAGAGAAGAGGGGCCTGACGTCCCTCAGATTCTTTGTCCTCTGATCTGGAGTCTCCCTTCCCTGCCTCAAAGACTTAGCTTAGCTTTGTGTCTGTTCTGTATACACAGTCAACTGTTATCCTCCACCAAAAAACAAAACATGAAGAATAACAGCAGCTTACATTTTGGGGACATTCACTGTGTACCAGGGCCTGTGCTCAAAGTCTTAGCTTATTTAATATTCACAATGATTCTGCAAAGTAGGAATAATTCGAATCCTGACTAAATAAAAGAGAAAACTAAGATTTGGACAGGTTAAATAACTTGCTCAAGGTCACGCAATTAGAAAGCAATGAAGATGATACATGCTGTGCTGTCGGTCATTCTGGCACTGCCGCCCACCTGAGATGTCCATCCTGTGTCTGAGCACCTGTGAGTTCAGTTTCACAGCCAGGGCTAGAAGCCATGTGCCCCTGTACAAGGCTATGTCACTGGGGTGTGATCCCAAAGCCTAGTTCCATAGCTGTTTTCTCTCCCATGAGACTGCTGGAGAGTTGGCTACTATGGTTTACCAAATCAGGTGCCCATGAAATACTAGAGCTCCTCTGATGCCTGAATGAAAACATTTTACAATGAATATTGAGCAATAGGCTTCTTTTCCCCAAATTTCAAGAAATTTTTCAAGAACATAGGATGTTCTCAATTATAGGTTTTTCTTCCATGATCTTCTTCTTACTTCTTTGGAATTCATTCCTGTTCACCAGCTGGCTGGTGATGGTAACAACAAAACAACTGAGGAGGCAGCAAGCAAATGAGTATTAGCAGGAAAAGCCTGGAGATGTGTGATCTGAACCATAGTTTGTGTTACGTCTCAAGATACAGACGGACCTGGCTATGTCCAAAACCATTATATTATTTCTGCTAGTAAGATTGTTCTTGGTTTGTAAAGACAAGGTTAAAGCTATCTCTGTTGATTAATGTTCAATGGTTTTCAGGTGTTCTGCCCATTAAACAAATTTCAAAACTAAGGACTGTTTCAAATTGGGCTGGGCATAACTAATTCTAATAAAAATAGGTGATATTTATTATATTGCTTATTACATCTTAGGCACTATCCTCAACAGTTTTGGTCTCATTTAAACCTCACAATGACCCTAAAGGTAGATACTATTATTACCCCCAATTTATAGATGAGGAAACTGAGGCTGAGAAGTGTTACATAGTTTGCCAAGGTCACAGTTTAAAACTAGTAGAGGTAGACTGTTAGTGAGGCCAGTCTGACTTCAGGGCAATGCTTCCTTCTCTCTAAGCTGAAGAAGAAGTAAAGAAGAAGACAGGGAAGAAGCATCCAAATACCTAGGAGGTACTTTCTCTTTTTCAGTGCTGGGCTGAGCCCTCTCTCCCTTACTGGAGGCTTACTTCTAGCTTTTCCTGAAGTGAACGTGTGGTGTAAATTGGAAGAGCACTGGATCAGGACTCAGAAACTGGCAGAGTTGCCCATCAAAGTTCTAGCTGCCTCAAGGGGTCAAAGTTCAAACAAGATGTGAATGGGAAAAGGGTTTTGAAGGCTATTTGTGCACCTGTGATTTCCTAGGGGACATGTCCCAGTGGGTTGGCCCCAGCAAGCCCAGAGTGGGAAGGCATACAGCTTAGGTTATCTGGGCCTTTATGCAGCCCTTAGGCTGTACAGAAGCCTACAGCCCTTTCTAATCTCAATGTAACTTAAACTAGGAGATGAGGGATGTCTGAGTTCAAGGCCACATACAGTGATTTTAAATGAGCTGAATCTTCTACAGTCACCTCCTCCCTGCTGCCTGCTTCTGGTCTTACTAGCCTTGCTCACCAACCTTGCATCTCCTGTGAAGACAAACCCACTCAGTGTTTGAGACCTAATTCTCCTTGCACTGCCTGCCAGTGAGATGTCAAAAGCCCAGGCTCCTCTAGTCCTGCAATAAGATTCTTCAGGCATAGGACGGGCCTCCTGGTCTCATATAACCAGTATTGAGTGCTGGGTGCTGATTCCAAAAAACCATGCCCTCTGCCTCCCCTAATCACAGCTCTGAGGGAACAGCAGCTGGGGGTCACATGGAGAGGCAATCTAAATAGCAACCACACCAAGGAAAACCTCATTGTCCTGCCCCACCCCCTTCTCCTACCTCTCTTTTCATTTACGAATTCAATTATTTGTCAGGCTGAACATTTAAATGCACTCTATGCTCTCTAGATTCCCCCTACTCCCCTTCTCATTAAAATTCTAATTATTACCAGAACAAGTAAGATGTATGATCAAAGGAAAGCAAAGCCCTAGAAACACCTTTTGTTTTGAGGTGACTCATATTGCAGAGAATGCATCCAGAACAGCTGTAACAGAGAACAGATGTGAAGGGCTAGAGATGGCCAGATATGTAGAATAAGGACACATATAGCTGTGGTGACTTCCCTGGTGAGCCCACTAGGATAAAGACCTGAAGAAAGAGTCTCCAAATTATTTAGATCATGAACTCATAACAGGTTAAAAAAAAAAAAAAAAAAAAAAAACTTAATACCTCCAATATATGTTTTTTTGTTCCCAAGTTACATACATGTTCCACAGAGGTGATACTTCAGAACCAGACTGGCTGGGTTGTAGCCCAGTTTCACCACCCACTAGTTGTGTGACCTGGGAAATCTATTTAACCTTCTGTGCCTCAGTTTCCACATCTGCAAAATGAGGATAATAATCATACCTTTTTCATTGGAGAGGATTAAATGAGTGAATAGATATAAAGCTCTTTGAACCTTAGACATAGTAATGTTGAATAAATTGCCTAAATCTAATAACATGCTATTATTCCTATCAACCTGTATATTAAAAATTTGATTTCTTTTAAAGATTATAAATATTAAAATGGCTTGGTTTTTTTCTCTTGTGTCCACCTGCCCCGAGCTTCACCCCATTGGAGACACCACCACATTGGAGACCTTTAGTATAGAAGTTGACTTAGAATGAGCTTTCCCGGTGTCTGGCAGTCTCCAGGTGAAGGACTACCTCCAGCTCCTTTGGCCAGGGAAAGGCTCTAATGTCCCTGTGCAGGGAGCCAGGTGTTGGGAAGGCTTGGGAAGGGGGTGGTGGTAGGTGGCTCAGGACTTGAGGATTCTCTGCTATTATTACCTATTCTCGGAGGTGATAACTGATCTAGGCAAGTAACTTGCAGCAAAGGAATCAAAAGGCAGTGCTGGCTTCCCAGAGAGAGTGGCTGATATCCTCAACTCCTTCTTGGCCCCTGATGTGGGATCTCTTTCCCTGGAGCCTATGTGCTGTGGGAGTACCTGGATCCCCTTAGCAGGGGACTGGGCATTCAAGCCTTGCTCAGAACTTGGCACATGGCAAGTACTCAGTAAATGTTGCTTGACCTTAATTGAAATGAGAGCTAATTACAGCCTTCTCATACATCATTCTTTCAGTCACTCATTCATTCCATGTGCCAGTTTCTATGTGAGGCCCTGAATCAGACAAAGAGGAAAAACACGTGTCATAGTAGCCTACAGTTTAACCAGAGACAGACAGGTCAGGGCAGAGGAAAGAGTGCCAGCCTGGGTGGTGGACATCTGGACCCTAGTCCAGGTTCTGTGTCTGACCAACCTGTGACTCCAAGCAAGTCCCTTCTGTGAACCACTGCTGCCATCTTTAAAGGCACAGCCTGGCCTCACTACTTGTGGGGTCATTTCTTACCTTAAATAGTAAGATTTTTAAGGCATTTGGACAGGCTAATACAGAGGCTTCAAACTTACAAGCTTTCAGGGGCCAGACAGGGAACAGGAAGTGGAGGGTTGAGCTGGTGAGGACATATCCTTACAAAGAGAGTCACCAGTTCCCACCATGTGGGAGCCCATGTTCAATTACCAAGTCATTGGTCTTTTCCAGTGAATTCAGAAGTCTGGGGTGACGATGATGATGGAATTTCTTAACGTTTCAATCATTAAGCAAGCCAAACAAAACTCTTCTGCTAGTTTGTCCACAGTAACCTTTTTGCAAACCCTGCAAAGTATGCCCTTGGTTCAGAGCCTTCTAACTTCTCTACTCCGAGCAAGAAGAGGCCTTGGGCTCAAAGGTTCATTCCCAAATTTGGAGAGGGAAGTGGGATGGGAGGTCTGCTTAATAATTTCTCACAAAGAGGGGCATCCCTCATAGGGGCATACCCCTTTCTTGGGATAATGGGCATCCCTGGGGTCAGGGGTGGGCTGGGGGTGGGGGAGTGAGAGCCCACCTCCAAACCAATCACAACATTTAAAATACCAGTTTTACAGCAAAGCTCTTGAATAGCCACAGGAATGGAGGAGGACAGCTCTAGGAATCATTTGTACACAAATACCTTGGAGATATTGTAGGTTCAGTTACAGACTACTGCAATAAAGCACATATCAAAATAAAGCAAGTCACACAAATTTTTTGGTTTCCCAGTGCATATAAAAGTTATATATATATACACACACACACACACATGCACATAAGTTATATATAACTTATATGTATATATACACATATAAGTTATATATAACTTATACATATATACATATGTATGTATGTATATATAGATATATATAACTTTTAAACTGTGCTACTTTTATACTATATATGTATATATACACACATAACTTTTATACTATACTACTTTTATACTATATATACATATATGTATCTAAAACTTTTATACATATAAGTATATGTAATTTATATATGTACACATGTAAACATATATATAACTTTGTGTAATTCTATTGTACACTTAATAGACTAAAGTATATTTTATAAAAAGAAATAGAATTATTAGAATAGCACAATAGAATTAAATAAAATATATATAGTATAAAATATACTGTAGTCTATTAAGTGTATACAGTATATACATATATGTATATATACATATATGTGAATATATACATATACACACAGTATAAAATATACTGTAATATACTGTAAATATAATGGCATCAAGAATGGTGAATCCTATTCATATGGTTTTCAATTTACTTTGCCCAGATCCATCAGAGGAATCACTATCCATGGCAGCTAAAGCCTTACAAAAAGTATACATTGTAATATATTTACCTATATATATACACATATACAGTGTAAAATATACTGTAGCCTATTAAGTGTGCAATAAAATTACACCCAAAAACAATATATACACCTTAATTTTAAAAGCTTGATTGCTAAAAAATGCTAAATTGCTAAAAATGAGCCTTCAGTGAGTCTTAATCTCTTTTTGCTGGTGGAGGGTCTTGCTTCGATGTTGATGGCTGCTGACTGACCAGTTTGGTGGTTGCTGGTGGCTGGAGTGGCTGTGGCAATTTCTTAAAATAAGACAACGGTGAGTTTGCTGCGTCAATGGACTTTTCCTTTCACTAAAGATATCTCTGTAGCATGCACCGCTGTCTGATAGCATTTTATCCATAGTAGAACTTCTTTCAAAATTGGAGTCAATCCTCTCAACCCCTGCCACTGCTTTATCAACTAAGGTTATGTAATATTCTAAGTCCTTTGTGGTCATTTCAGCAATGTTCACAGCATCTTTACCTGGAGTATATTTTATCTCAAGAAGATAAAATATTTACTCATCCACAATTTATTTACTCATCCACAAGAAGCAACTCCTCATCCATTCTTCAGGCTCCACTTCTAATTCTGGTTCTCTTGCTATTTCCACCACATCTGCAGTTATTTCCTTCACTGAGGTCTTGAACCCCTCAAAGCCATTCACGATGTTTGGAATCAACTTCTTTTAAATTTCAGTTAATGTTGATATTTTGACCTTTTCCCCTGAATTATGAATGTTCTTAATGGCATCAAGAATGGTGAATCCTATTCAGACAGTTTTCAATTTACTTTGCCCAGATCCATCAGAGGAATCACTGTCTATGACAGCTAAAGCCTAAGATTTGAAAGTTGAAATTACTCCTTGATCCATGGGCTGCAGAATGGACGTTGTTTTAGCTGGCATGAAAACAACATTTATCTCCTTGTACATCTGCATCAGAGCCTTTGGGTGACTAGGTGCATAGTCAATGAGCAGTAATATTTTGAAAGGAATCATTTCTTCTGAGCAGTAAGTCTCAACAGTGGGCTTAAAATATTCAGTAAACCATTCTTAAACAGATATGCTATTATCCAGGTTTTGTTTTTCCATTTTTAGAGCATAGGCAGAGTAGATTGAGCATAATTCTTAAGGGCCGTAGGATTTTTGGAATGGTAAATAAGCACTGGGTTCATCTTAAAGTCATCAGCTGTGTTAGCCCCTAAAAAGAGAGTCAGCCTGTCCTTTGAAATTTTGAAGCCAGGCATTGACTTCCCCTTTCTAGCTATGAAAGCCCTAGGTGGCATCTTCTTCCAATATAAGGCTATTTCTTCTACTCTGAAAATGTGTTGTTTAGTGTAGTCACCTTCATCAATTATCTTAGTTAGATCTTCTGAATCACTTACTGCAGTTTCTACATCAGCACTTGCTGCTTCATCTTTGAACTTTTGCATTATGGAGAGGACTTCTTTCCTTAAACCTCAAGAACCAACCTCTGCTAGATTCAAACGTTTCTTCTGCAGCTTCCTCTCCTTTTTCAGTCTTCATAGAATGAAAGAAAGGTACTGTCTTGCTCTGGATTAGGCTTTGGCTTAAGAGAATGTTGGGGCTGGTTTGATCTTCTGTCCAGACCACTAAAGCTCTCTTCACATCAGCAATAAGACTGTTTTGCTTTCTTATCATTTGTGTGTTTGCTGGAGTAACACTTCTGATTTCCTTTAAGATCTTTTTCTTTGCATTCACAACTTGGCTGTGAGGCACAAAATGCCTCGCTTTTGGCCTGTCTTGGCTTTTGATATGCCATCCTCACTAAGCTTCATTATTTCTAGCTTTTGATTTAAAATGAGAGTCATGTGACACTTTCTTTGACCTGAACACTTAGAAGTCAAAGTAAGGTTATCAATTGGCCTAATTTCAATATTGTTGTGCCTCAGCAAATAGAGAGGCCTAAGGAGAGGAATGGCCAGCCAGGGGAGCAGCCAGAACACACACAACATTTATCAATTAGGTTGGCCATCTTACATGGATGCAGCTCAGGACGCCTCAAAACAATGACGATAGGAATATCCAAGATCACTGATCACAGATCATAGATCACCATAACAACCATAATAGTAATTTAAAAGTTTGAAATAATGTGAGAATTAACAAAACGTGACAGACACAAAATGTGCACATGCTGTTGGAAAACTGGCACAGAAAGACTTGTTCAAGGCAGGGTGGCCACAAATCTTCAATTTGTAAAAAATACAGGATCTGTGAAGCACAATAAAGTGAAGCATAGCAAAATGAAGTGTGCCTCTATTTAGCTTTGAAGTGCACTGTGTAGATCAGATTCCAACTTAATAGAAGTATTTATTGAGCCTACTATGCACAGAGTTCTGGGAGTACAGAAGAACATAATCCTTGCCCTTAAAGAGATTATGCTCAATCTCATTCACTTGAAGTCAACTCAATGTTTATTGAGTTCCTGTCTTGGGCTCAGTGGGGATGGGATAAAGAAGAAAAGAGGATGAGTTAGCCAGCCTCTGCCCCCCAAGGTATCACACCCTGTTAAGGAAGTGGGCTGTAGACAAAAATGACTCTAAGTCTGGCCATAGTAGCAGCTTTAATAGAAATTCAAACAGCATCTCAACATGAATCCTTCACAAATTTGCACATTTGCTTAGGCTGCTATTTAAATTATTTTCATTTCCCTGTGCACGTGCCAATAGCCAGTAGAGAGGACAGCCCAGGTGCTCCCCAAGCTGGCTGGGGGGATAGGGGTGGGGGCGGGAGAGAGGATGATGCTGGAAGAATCAGATTGAGGTGAACACAAGGCTGTACATACTCCACCAAGTGGACAATCAAGAGTCAACCCTGAAACCACCTCTCCCTCTGACCTGGCAGCTTTCTCATGACCATTCTTCTCTCTTCTTCCGTCTTTGTCCCTTCCGTGTGCCCCCTCCTCCAACACCCTCACCCGCTTCTCCCCGCCTCTGTCTGTCTGTCCCTCCCTGCCTGGCTCATGCCGAGGGCAGGCACCTCTGTCAGCCTCCTCGCAGTTGTAGTTATTGTGTGTGGCGTGGCCCTGGTGGCAGTTTTTCTCTTTCTCTTTTGGAAGCTGTGCTGGATGCCCTGGAGGAACAAGGAGGCCTCCAGTCCCTCTTCTGCTAATCCCCCCTTGGAAGCCCTCCAGAGCCCCAGCTTCAGAGGCAACATGGCGGACAAGCTGAAGGACCCCAGCACCCTGGGCTTCCTGGAGGCGGCCGTGAAGATCAGCCACACGTCCCCAGATATCCCAGCTGAGGTGCAGATGTCGGTCAAGGAGCACATCATGCGTCACACCCGGCTGCAGCGGCAAACTACAGAGCCAGCGTCATCCACCAGGTGAGGAGTGGACCACTCCCTTCCCTGACCCCCACACCTCCACACTCCCTTAATACATCTATGGGATTCCAGCCTGTGGGGATCACAGACCAGAAATAATAACACATATCCTTTGATTGACAAATATGTCAGATGATGTGAGCCATGATGGGTGATCAATGAGGAGGTGGGCACCAGGAAAGACTTCATGAAAGGGAAACCTTTGAGGCGGGTTGCTGTATATGTGGTTTGCACTTGGGGTGTGTGTGGGTGTGAGGGGAATGGAATAGTGGAATAGGGGAGTGTTGGATGTTTGGAAGGAAAGACTTCAGGCAGAAGGAAGAGAACAGTAAAGGCCTAGAGATGTAAGAGTTCATGGTGTGTTTAGGGATATGTCAGTAAAGCCTGATAGCTACAGTCTGCAGTACATGGCAGATAAGGCAAGGGAATCTTAATAGTTTGAGAATCAGGATTCCTTTAAAGCCTTTCAGAGTTCCCTGCATGACAACAACTGTAAATACATACAGCATCCTTTAACTGAAAATAGCAACAAGAAAAACATAACGACAAAAACCTACCCTAAATTCAGAAGCACTTTTAAAAGATGTGGTGCAAGCATGCGTAAGGCATTGTATTTACTCAAAACTTAGGGCTCTGATGGACTCCTAGGTCCCTGCAACGGCTCTCCAGGCCCTCAGGGGACCAACAAAAGAGAACGAGGCCTGGTCTTCAGACTGGAGGCCAGGAATGAACATGCTGGGAGGTCACACTGACAGTCTGTCATATGGCCTTGGGCAAGTTCCTCACCTTCCCTTAGACTCACTTTTTCCAACTGTAAAATAAGGCTGATGACTTTTATATGGCAGTTGTGAGGAGCCAATGGAAGAATCAATGTGATTGATAAGGAGAGCTAACACATATATTGCTTATGATTATGCTTGGCTCTATTCTAAGCACTTCATATGTAATCAATTCATTTCACAGCAATCCTATGCAGCTGTTACTTTTATTATCCTCGTTTTTATGGCACAGAGAGGTTAAATAACTTTCCCAAGATCTCAGCTAGAAAGTGACAGAGCCAAAATTAACCTATGCAGGCTAACTCCAAAGCCCATGCTTTTACCACTCTGCTGCCTGCCGTATAGCAAATGCTTAACAAATGGTGATGGTGATGATGGTGATGAAGTGGGTGCCACATTGAGGATAAGAAGGGATGGTCCTTCTCTTAAGGAATCTCATGATTTAATAAGGAAACCAGAGTCATGTCTACTAGGAAGTAAACCTAGAAAGCAGGTAACAGAAAAGCAGGAAAAAGTGATTATGATAACAATGGCTAAAGTTTATTGAGCTTACTATATATCAGGCACCATTCCAACTACTTTACATATATTAAGACATGTAATGCTCACCACAACCTTGCACACAAAGTGTATGCAGAGCAAAAGTGGGGTCAAGAAGAGGAAGGAAAAGGGGGCTCAACAAGGGATAAGATGAGCCAGGGCCTCCAGGCTCGTGTTTGCCTTCATCCCCCTTCCCCTGAGCCCTGACCACACTCCCTCTGCCCCCTCCTGCCCTCTACCAGGCACACGTCCTTCAAGCGCCACCTGCCAAGGCAGATGCATGTCTCCAGTGTAGACTATGGCAATGAGCTTCCACCAGCAGCAGAGCAGCCCACCAGCATTGGCCGCATCAAGCCTGAGCTCTACAAGCAGAAGTCGGTGGATGGGGAGGATGCCAAGTCTGAGGCCACCAAGAGCTGCGGGAAGATCAACTTCAGCCTACGCTACGATTACGAGACCGAGACCCTGATTGTGCGTATCCTGAAGGCTTTTGACCTCCCTGCCAAGGACTTTTGTGGAAGCTCTGACCCTTATGTCAAGATCTACCTCCTGCCTGACCGCAAATGCAAGCTGCAGACCCGGGTGCACCGCAAGACCCTGAACCCCACCTTTGATGAGAACTTCCACTTCCCTGTGCCCTATGAGGAGCTGGCTGACCGCAAGCTGCATCTCAGTGTCTTCGACTTTGACCGCTTCTCCCGCCATGACATGATTGGCGAGGTCATCCTGGACAACCTCTTTGAGGCCTCTGACCTGTCTCGGGAAACCTCCATCTGGAAGGATATCCAATATGCCACAAGTGTAAGTACAGCCCTGTTCCTTGGCTTCTTGAGGATTTGTGGTTCTGGGTTGGGTGGGACATGTCCCCAAACCCTCACTTCCTAGAGACAAATGGGCCTTTGCCATTTGGGATGTGAAGAGGGACTCTGGAAACTGCCCAGTGGCCCAGTCTACCCTTGCACTCTGCCCCAGGTTGGGATGGCAGAGAGCAGAGTCCCCATGTAGCTAGGAAGGGAAGGGAATTTTTATCTGTGGCTTCTGGTTGCATGTTCTGGGGTGGTTCTTTCTACTGAGAGTACTGATGTGCATTAGAAACTTGGCATAGGCAATTGAAACAGGCCATATCAATCAGACTGAACTAGGCTATGCTGCAGCAGCAAACAGTCCGAGGATTTTGTGGCTTTAGACAACCAAAGTTTATGCCTTGTTCATGTTTCATGTGCTTTGCAGCTGGACTGGGGACTCTGCTCCACCTTGTTACCTGGGGACCCAAGCCAACAGAGGCTGCATTTAGACACGGGCCCCCACAGTTAAACATCAGGAGGAAGAGGAAGTGGCAAATCACGCACTGTTTATTAAAACTTCCACGCAGAAGTGACACATGTCACTTCCACTCCCATTAGAACAAGACACGCGGTAACTCCTAATATCAAGGGAGAAGGGGCAAAGTAATCCTACCGAGTGCCCAGAAGGAGAGCTGGACATATGTAATGAACAGCACGAATGACGACACACAGCAGAGTCCCTTTGCTTGGGCATTGTTTTCCCAGTCAGGTATGGGAGATGGGGGAGGCCAGCCCAAAAGGAGACCTGACTAACACCTACACAGGAGGTGGGTGCTGGGCTGTTTGCAACCAGCTGGAATTAATCAGGGAAGGTTTCAAGGAGCTGGGGCTCAAGTTGGCTTTTAAGAGAAGGGAGCACAGGTTTGGCACAGAGAACTGGAGAGGACACATCTGGAGCCCTTCGGTCTGGCATAGCCCTTCGCTCCAGTCCCCTGGGTTGAGGAAGCTGTGTAGCTGCATCCTGCAGGTATAGCTAGTGTCCTCTCTCTAAGCACCCCCAGGCAGCTGAGAGCTCAGTGGGGGCATTCCCTCCAAGCTCCAGTGGCCTTGCATCTGCTCTCTTGAGTGCTAACAGGTTGAGGGGCAACCTGGATATTTCCTCCACTATATCTCTGAGGAGGGGCAACCCCACTCTGTCTGCAGACTCCCGCTTGGATAGTCAATACTCAATATCTCTGTGTTGAGCCTGTGAAGAGAGGGGCTGGGAAAATCAGCCCTGCTCTGGTGTGCAAAGGGCATAAATCTTGTTTTGTTCAAAGAGAGAAAGCTTAGTGGGCTCTGCTTACACCCCAGGAAGGGTCTGGGGGACACGCCATTCTCATAGCTTGTGCTGACTTTGACCAGTCCAGCCCAATGGCTCAGTACCTCCCCCACCTTTGCTTTCCTGAAATGTCATCCCTAAGAAGAACATAAGTAGCCGGCTGGCCAGCAGGCAGACGGGGCGAGCAGACAGGGCGGATTGGAACAGCAGCTCTGTGGCAGCCCCAGGCCCGAGCGCTCCACTCCATAAATCACTCTGAAGTTTACATTTGGTGCAGCTCTTCCCTGTGGTCTCCTTAGGCTGTGGCTTCATTATGGTAACTGGACAGGTAGAGAAAAGCAGCTCAGTCCTCCTCACAGTGAGGTTGCCACCCAGGGAGAGGGGTGAGGGCCAGGGGCTGCAGGAAGCAGAGCTCAGCCCAGCCCTTCTAGGAGCCTCCTTTGCTCCTTGCCAGAGCCCACCATCTGGTGTCTTTGGCTCCAGGCATGAATGGAAGCCTCATGCCTGGGGCAGGCAGTCTGTGCCCAAGCACACTCCTCACCTGGATGCACCTTTCCATATCCAAGAACCCCGTGGCTGTCCTGCCCTTGTCCCATCCCCACTTCCCCCACCTGGCTTCTGAAAAGGGCAGATCAACCAAAGAGCATAGGACAAATCACCATCATCCTCATCATCCTCAACTAGTATCATTATAGCCCTCCTCCATCTCCTCCTCCTAAGAACACTGTGCCAGGCATGGGGTTGAGGGTGGGGCTGGGGTAGAAAACAGCTTCTTTGACCCACAGAAACTTGTCATGTAATTACAGAGACAGGAAAAGTCCATGCAGTAGCTGGTAGTGCAAAGCAGCAAATACGATCCTCTGGGTATGGTTGCAGGATCCTTAGAGTTAGGACAGCTGGTGAAGGTCTCCTTGATGAGGAGAACTAAATCAGGTGGGGAAGGACAGTTATAAATAACTCGACAGGACAAGAGGAAGGGGGAGCATTCCAGCCAGTTGCAGAGGGAGTCCAGGTGCAGGAGTTTCCCAAGCTGCAGAGCCCCACCCATGCTCAGACAGCCTGTCTTACCGTCTGTCTGAGCTGGATGTTCCTTCTCAAGTGAGTCCCCTGCCACCCTCCAACCCACAGCCCCACCAGCAGGTAGAGTTCTCAGGAGCAGGCTCATCACCCTGCCAGGTAAGGACTCAAGCAAAAGAGGGGGAAGAGGTGCGAGAAGGCTGATGCTTGTACCTATATGTGGTGCTGTCAAATTTTAATTATTTGGGGGCCAAGGAGACCCAAGTCATCACAGTCACCAGGAATGACAGAGCACTAAGCATATATGAATTCCCATACCAGCACAATGGGGGACAGTACTGATGAGATGAGCGCAGCCAACAGCCAGCTCCCATCTCTCCCATGTGTCTGATTCCATTCCCAGAGCTGCCCTTTGGACCTGAGCTCAGGAATCTGGCAGCTTCTGAAAAACACCTGACATTTCTGCCTCTTGCCTTTGCCAACAAGGTTCTCCATGTCAGGCAGATCTGTTCCCACCTCTCTGCCTGGTGCAAACCAATCCACCTTTCAGAGCCTACCTGCCGTCATCCTCCATGTGGCCTCCTGGTCTCACAGCAGCTGCCTCTCCCGTGTGTTCTCTGTATCCCCGAGTTATATCCTGAGTCATATTCTATCTTGTAAAGTCCTCCCAATGGCTCAGGAATGGCTTGTGACCCACATTTGACTTTCTCTTGTATTTTCCCTCAGGGCTGAGTGTAAGAACCCAGTACTTTCTTGTTAAATGACCAGTGGCTTACTTAATTCAATTAAAACTATATATGGGTACCCAAGGAAAAGACTATTAAAGAAGCAGTTGGAATTGAATGGGGTTAACCTGGGAAGGCTTCTTGGAGGAGAAGCAGCTCAAGTAGTATTTAGAAAATGGCTTAGAGCCAGGCTTGGTGGGGAGAGACCCAGCCTGTGCATGTGTTCAGAGGTGAATGGGATGGTTTGTGTCTGGGGTAACCAGCCCGATCAGGTAGTCTGGACCAAAGCAGAGAGCCTGTGACCCGCATGCTGAGCAGAAGGAAAGGCACCGTGAGAAAGGGGACTTGGAGGTTGCTCTGTGCTCACCAAAGTGATGTGAATGCTGCCTGTGTTGCTCCTTGAGTTTGTGCAGGAGAGTCGGATTCGGCCCTGGCAGGTGGCACCAGGCAGGTCCCTTGTTCCCACCCCCACCCTGGTGCTTGACTTGAAGTACCAAAGCCTGAAACATTTGCATTGTTTTCTCACAGCCACAGAACCCTGAGCTCAAGGCTAGTGGAGGGGAGGTACACATCCGAGGAGTCTAGCTCTTTGTTAATTGCAAATCTTAAGCCTCAAGGGACACTCACCTCCCCAGCCCAGATTGTTCCAGAGGGAAGTCTGGGCAGCACAGCAGCTAACATGCCCCACTGGCTGGAGAGCCAGAGCAAACCGGGCCTGCAGGGCAGTCGGAGGCCTCGTGCATTGCATGGAATTAAGAAACTCAGGCCTAGGATGGAAATTTTGGGAGTTCACTGCACCCATTCCAGCCCTGGGAAGCACTGCCCTGCTGTTTCCCCCATCTCTCCTTCTGCCTGGCTTGCCCAAGGGCCCCTGATAGTCTCCTGGGCATTCCCAGAGGTTTGCCACTGTCTCTCCAACCAGAGCTTCAATTGGCTAAGATCACCATGCTCTTCCCTCCTAGCATCTTCTGCCCCCAGTCTCATTATTTCTAAATAAAGCTGTAGATTTATCATTATAATAGAGCTGCCGTCACCCGGGTTTGCTAACATCTCTAATCTTGTAGTTATTGCTACAGAGGACTCAGACCCCACCGCACACAACTATTCCTGTCGCTATTCCCTCTCCTTCACTGTGGCAGGAGACAAAGGCTGTAACTGGGGCCATAAATATGTGCTGTGCTTGGTAATGCTAATGGATTCGGCCATCTTCCTGCCTTACCAGGTCCCTACTAGTTTAGAGTATGCGTGTGTGTGTGTGCATGTGTGTTGTTTTTGGACTAGGATAGAGTGTGTGTGTGCATGCATGTGTATGTGCGTGGGCATGCATTTGTGTGTGTGTGTGTTTTAGGGGTGATGAAGTGTTCCATATACTTCCAGAGAGCCTGGACTGAGGGTATGCAGGGAGGAAGGGAGGCCTTAAATGGTAGAATAGCCTCTGGCTTGGAAATGAGCAGAGTTGTGCAGAAGGAGTGCAGGCTTTATTGTCAACCCAACCTGAATTGCATTCTAGCTTCCTTACTTTCTAGCTTTAAAACCTTGGGACATTATCTAAACTGTGCCTCAGGTTTGACATCAGCAAGATGGGGATTAATAATGGCTTCTAGTCCTATTGTTATTATATGTAGTAAATGAAACAGAGTACACAGCCACCCAGGACAGCACTGTCACAGAGCAGCTTGCTGAGCCCTATTCCTCTGGTGCCCTTCCTGCTGGCTTAGCCCATGTGTCACTTCTGTACCACTCCCAGGCCTGACCTTCCCCTTCAGTCCAGGTCATCTGTTCTGACTGGTTGTTGGACATTATTATTCATTTTTTATTTCTTGTCTTGGCTATGCCATGTGTTTTCTGTGTGACCTTGAAAAAGTGACTTTCCATCTCTGGGCTGCATTTTCCTCAGTATTAAACCATCTCTAGAATCCTGTAATTCTCAGCTTCTCCCATGGAGAAGTTCTTGGCTCTCATGCTTTCACAGAACAGAGCTACCCATTCTCCGGGAGTGTGGTCTCCACAGCAGAGGCCGAAACCCCACAGTGATAAGCCACTGGGCAGAATTTCCAGACATCCCCACTCTTTCCTTAAATATCAAAGAGTCAGGCCTCTCTTCAAGCCCGTGGGGAATGTCCTCTAGGAGGTTTCTGCCACAGGGGAGGCCCCATCAACAACCCTTCCTCCTCTTTTTCCCATGAGCCACATTCCTATGCTGGCACTCAGCTCCCTCCCTTCCATCTCCTTTCTGATCCCCATTTACTGGGATGCGCTGGTCATTACTTATTGAGCTCCTGCTAGCTGCCAAGGGCACAACCTGCTTTGCCATGTTTCATCCTCACCACAACACTTATGGTCATCCCCCATATGTAAATAAACAAACGAAGGTTTGAGGTTAGGTGACTTACCCATTGTCACCCAAACAGAAATAATAAAGCCAAGATTTGAACTCATGATCCTTGCACCGCCAGAGGGAAGCATGGTTACATTGTTTCTTGGGACAGAAAATAAACACTGAAATTGTGCAGCTCATCAGGGGATCCAGAAGAGTGTTTTGTTCTGTTTTTTCTTTGTGGACTTGTTAGGTTCTCTCACTCATCTCAAAATCTGGTCATTTCTGGGAGTGGGTTTGGTGCTGACATTGGATTCCTTTACCCTTTCCCCCATTTCCTTTCTGTGAGCAGTGGGTTTGACATTGTTTCTTTTTAGTTTAATAGCTATTCATTGAATGCTGACTATGTGCCGGTCAGTGCATCATTGGGCACTTGTTGAATGCAGAGCCATGGGCTGGGCTATGGAAAGGAAGGTAAAGCAAGAGCCCTCCATATCAGGGTGCCCAGGCTGACAAGGACTGTAGGGGATGCCCTGTGCCCCCAAGTCCCCAAGCCCCTCATACACAAGGCACACACCTGGGGACAGACCAGTTCAGGATGCTTACAACACAATTATGCAAGCTGCTGCACTGCAAGAGATGTGCAGAAGTGTTAGGAGACATGAAGAAAAGAAATCAGAGTCAGATGAGATTGCTCTAGAAAAGCTGCTTCTAGAAAAGAAAAGTTTTAGGCCAGGCTATGTTGATGACAGTGAAGGACAGAGCATGATAAAAGAGGAAGTCAGAGGAGGGCGAGTATGTTCCTCTGTTCTCTTTGGACTTGGGGAAGGATCTAGAGAGATTTTCTCTCACATAAGATTGGGTTTCTTTTCTTTGTATAATAACTACTTGCAGAGTAATTACTATGTACCAGGCACCAGGCTGGGAATATGACTTCAACTCCAGTCCTGCCCTCAAGACCTCGCAGTCTGATGGGGGAGGCAGGAAACCAGTTCTGCTGTCTTGGGGACATGCAGGTCCCTCACTGGCCCAGCATGTTGGGGGAAGGCAGGCCTCCTGAAATGAAATTGCTTGCTTGCTTGAAAAAAATTTCAGTTGCATCCTCTTCTCACGCCCACACACTCAAGTCGAATGAGATCCCAGAGTGGCCACAAAAGGCTTTTTCAAGTAGAGCCAAAGAATCAGCTAATTGATCCACTGTGACTCATTAAATCACCCGGGGGTGAAGCCTCCCAAAGCCTCATTGACTAGCAGTTTGAGACAACGCCTTCGAAGTGTCCATCTTGGATCTCAGGTTTCTAGGTCTGTCCTGGGCAGGAGTAAGAGGTAAGCATATTGAATCTTCATCCACTAAGCAGGTCTTCAACGAGCCCTCAAAGAACATACTTGGGTCCTAGAACAACTAACTGGGTATTGAAGGGGCAAACATAGTCCTTGCTTTCAAGGAACTCACAGTTGAACAGAGGTTTCAGAGCAAGTAAAAAGCTAATGAAAGGAACACAATTATTTACATTACATTAAAAGGAAAAAGGGGAGATGGAGGTGAGTATTGAAGCGAGGAGAGTGAGTGAGTGGGATGAGGGATACAGATGGCAGAAGGAGAATTCAGGAACAAGAACCGAGCTTTGGGGAACGCCCACAGCCAGGATGAAGGAGAAAGAGGGTCAGGCAGCAAAGAGCACCTAGCAGGAGGAGATCAAGAGAAAGGAAAAAGAGGAAGTCAAAGGAGGAATCACTCGGGAATTATTCATTCAGCAATGACCTGTTTGAGCATCTGCTAAGTGCCAAGCATGGTCCTAGATGCTGAGGATGCAGCAGTCAACAAAGTCCCTGCTCTTGTGGAGCTTATGCTCTAGTGGAAGAAGGCAAATGACTAAGATAAATAGTATGTCTGAGAGTCATAAATGGCATGGAGAAGATGAAGCAGGGAAATGTGATAGGAAAGTTGGGTTGGGGAGGGTGGGTTGAAGGGAGGACAGCAGGGCAAAACAGGGTGGGCAGGGGAGACCTCCCTGAGAGGGTGCCCTTTGAGTAGACCTGAAATATGGGAGAGAACCCTGCAGATATTTGCAGGAAGAGAGGTCCAGGCAGAGAGAAAAGACCCTGCAGTGGGATGGCATCTGGCATGATCAAAGAACAGGAAAGAGGCCAGGCACAGTGGCTCACTCCTGTACTCCTAGCACTTCGGGAGGCCGAGGCAGGAGGATTATGTGAGGCCAGGATTTTGAGACCAGCCCCTGGCAAAACAAGGAGACCTCGTCTCTACAAAAAATTAAAAAAAAAAAAAAAAAACAGGTGTGGTGGTGCATGCCTGTAATCCCAGCAACTCAGAGGCTGAGGTGGGACAATCGCTTGAGCCTGGGAGATCAAGGCTGCAGTGAGCCATGATTACACCACTGCACTGTGATCCATCAGACTGGCCAACAGAGCAAGACTCTGTCAAGAAAGAAAGAAAAAGAAAGAAAGAAAGAAAGAAAAAGAAAGAAAGAGAAAGAAAGAAAGAAAGAAAGAAAGGAAAGAAAGAAAGAAAGAAAGAAAGAAAGAAAGAAAGAAAGAAAGAAAGAAAAGAAAGAAAAAAAGACAGAAAAAAAAGAAAGAAAGAAAGAGAAAAACAAAGAACAGCAAGAGGACCAGTGAGTGTGGCAGAAGCAGAAACAGGGCTGGGGAGGGGAAAGAGTGAAAGATGAAGTGGGAGAGGTAAGAGGCGGGAGAGGTAAGAGGCGGGAGAGGTTAATATGGTTCCACAACCAAAAGTTTAAAAGGATCACTGCAGCTGATGGGCGGGGACTAGACTACTGTACACAGTCAGAGGAAAGGCAGGAAGTCAGTGGGGATGTGATTGTCTTAAAAAAGAGATGAAAATAGGTTGAACAAATATGGTGGTAGATATGTAAGATGTGGCTAGTCTCTGAATATATTTTGAAAGCACAGCCAGCAGTATTTGATGACAGACTGGGTGGAGGGTCTAAGGTGTAGAGAAAGAGAAGAATCAAGATTTTCAGTCCGAGCAACTTGGGATGCTGAGTTGGGAAATCTTGGAGGAAGAACCCATATGGGGAGGAAGATTAGGAGCTCAGATTTGGACATGTCATATTTGAGATACCTTTTGGACATCCAAGTGGCGATGCTACATAGGAAGCTGGATATAAAGTCTGGAGTCCAGGAGTGAGGTCTTGGCTAAAGAAACAGATTTTGGAGATGTCGGCATATAAATGGTGTCAAGAGGCATGAAACTAATTGAGATCCCAGTGGAATAAGTTTAGATAGAAAAGAGGAAAGGAACAGGATTTAACCATGAGGTACTCTAACAATTTATGTGGGGCTATGAAGAAAACCCAGCAAAGGAGACTAACAGCAGGGAAAAGAGGAAAGCCAGGAGGGTACAGTGTCTCAGGAAACAAAGGAAGTGTTTCCAGAGGATGGGGGTAAGGCTCAGCTGTATTAGATGCTATGACCAATCAAGTAAGATGCAGACTGAGAACTGGCCAGTTTGTTCAGCATCAAGGAGCTTATCATCGGCCTTGACAAGGGCCGCTTTGGTGGAACCCGAGTGGGGAAGATCAACTGTGGAACGGGGACACGGGCCGTGTTATTCTGGGGGAATTTTCTGGAGGGTGCAACTCTTGAAATGGGTTTTTAAAGGTCTAGGAGGGTTGGTTTGGCAGTATGCCAAGAGGCTGGTTCCATATATGGGCCATAGCTTAGGGAAAAGTTGGGGCTGGGACAGGGAGGTAGAGTGAGCAGCCCTGACTGAGAGCAACTCAGAGCAATTCAGGCCAAGACTACCCTTTCCATCAGAAATTTGCAGAAAGGCTCAGTATCCCTAGTATTCTGCCTTAAATTCCCAAGTGTCTGGACTCCCGCATGCAGGTCCAAGCCAGGATGGAAGCAGAGAGGGAGAGTTTTCTGAAAGAGGCCAGCAGGGCAAATCAGGGTTACACGGAAGCCCCAGTGGGTGTAAAGGTGTGCCTGAGTCTGGGGGCCTGGGTGGCCTGCCCAAACCCATGAAGACTGCTCCCCAGGCCAAACCATGCAGCCGGAGCACTCTGAATAATGCATGAAGATGGCCAGTCCTGTGGCCCTCTTTGAGCAGTCCAAGTGAGCCCAGCAGTGGCCCTCCCAGCTGCCTGGCCCCCACCCACCTGAGTCAGAAGCCACCGGGTCCTTGGTAGGGCTGCAAGGCTCCCTTGTGTGTTTGCTGCTCAACGGGAGCTGTGCAGCTCCCCGGTTGTCTTTGCTGGATGTTCATTTGCCCCCATGCTCCCCTGGGCCTGGTCTCATCATCCTTGTTATTCTCTGGCACCCCCTCCCTTGGGCCAATCGCTGGAAATGTCCAGTGCATCCTACTCACAGTTTATTCCTTCCACTCCTGCCAATGCAGAGATGGGTGGGACCTCTCCTTTGTACCTCTCACCAAAGAGGGGAGGAGGTGAAGAGCTTGGTTGCCTCCCTGGAAGGATTTCTTGGTCAGATGGGAACATCAAGCAAGGAGCAGCTTTTCCTGCTCCAGAATAGTAACAGCAGCCCTAACCTCAGACCTCATGTCCTATAGTGACTAGGAGGAAATTGGGGGTTGGAGGGTGCAGGGAGGGGTCCCTCCATGCTCAAAGCTCAGATCCTGAGAATGTGCCTCACTGTGTCCAGCCCCAGGTTCTAAAGCCAACAGGACCTTGACTTTTCTGGGACTGCCCAAGGGGCCAAGGCTCCTCTAGAGAAGGATTGCTGAAAATCCACCAAGAACCCAGAAAGGAAAGAGGAGAGGTGTGGGTTCCACCCTCCATCCCACGGGCAGCCTTCACTAGGGCCTCCATGGTCAATCCAGGAGTCAAGTCACACACTCCCACAGCTGAGCAGCAGCAGGCCCCTTCCACCACAGGTGAGGACTCCAAGTCCACAAACTGTTCCTGCTGCAGAGGTGACCCTTCCACACACTCTCACTTGAGCCAAAATTAGGACCTGTAGCTGTTCTTGGCTCCAGGGGGCTAAAGGTTTCCCATGTGATGCTGGAAAACAAAGCTAATGGTCCAGACAGGGCTCTGACCTGCAGTAAGCAGAGCTACTCAGCTCTGCTGGCCTTGGGTGTTCTTATTTAAGTTGTTTCTAAACTTGGCCTTTCACAAAAGATCCTTCTCTGCTGCTTCAGAAGAAATGGCCTTACAAAGCTGCCAGAGGCCCAGACAGTGGAGACAGTTCCACTTTCACTCTTGATGAGTTCCCTAGCCTCCAGACAGCCCCATTGCCCACTCAGGCCAGCTTCCTGTAGGGTACGGCTCTCACTGGCAACCAGACCGCAGCCCTGTCTTCCCTCCCTCCCTCTGCTCGCAGCCTGCTTCAGCACAGAGCTGGTGGGCAAGCCGAACCTGCCCCCGGCCAAATGTGCCCCTCATTAGTATGCTGTGCCTTTGGATGGAATAAATATCTAATCTTTCCCTTACAAGAGGATGAATGGGAAATCATTAGGCAACAAGCTCATGCATCAACAAAAAGCGATTTCTCCAACACAGATGTACTTCCCGTTGCTTCCCCCCACCTTGCTCCCAGAGCATATGCACTTGCTTAGTGCTTCCACCACCTAATAGCACACAGTGACATTTTCTCCTGGAGAGAGACTATTTGGTCGCAAGGAAAGCAACAGCCAAACATCCCCTCTGGGCACTGTCACAGACTTTTGAACTCCAGGATTCATCCAGGAGGAAGGGAATGCAGTTTCCTAGATCAGCAGCAATTCAGAGAGACTAGGGTCATGGGGTGTAACTATGACCAGAATAGCAACCAACTTGGGAGAATTGGAGCAGTCCCTGAGGGACTTCACATTTTCCCGCGGACCATGGTGTTATGACTCCATATTTTCATGGACTTGGGGGTGGTCAGAGCTAGAAAGAGCCTCGGAGATGACCTGGCTCAACCTCCTCCTGCCATAGATGAGCAATTTCAGACCAAAGAAGTCTCACACCTTGCTTGGGGTGGTTGGGAGTCAATGCAAATCTGGGCTCCAAATCAGGTCTCATGAGACCCAGCCCATGCCCTTCCTAGTCTCTGGGTTTTTATAGGAAATTCTCTTGCCTTGTTTTCACTCTTTCCTTCCCAGGCCCCTGCCCACTCACTGCCTTCATCCTGTGCCTGTGAGCCTCTCTATACTGTAGGGAAGAGGTGAAAGACAGAATTTGGAGTTAAAGGCATTAAATGTCAAAGGGCACAGAGCAAAGACCCCCTCCCCTCTCCCAAAAGTTAGTCTTTTCCATGCAAGGAAGATCTAAGACCAGAAATAGGCAAACCAACAAGCAACATCAGCAGGAAAACCAAGGAAAAAAGAGGCCGTTTATCAAAGTGTTTTGATCCTGAGCCAATTAACCCCCACCCAAAATCTCCCCATGGTACATAAATATTTCTACCTTAGAGGAGGAAGGAGACAAGGTGAGCTGTAGAGTATAGGTCAGCCTTGTCCAGTTGCTATCATATGTTTATGGTGTTTTAGTGTCAGCAGCAACACAGAAAAATTTGGTCTCTACAGCAGCCATCCTCCCCCTCCCTCCAGCCCCCACGCCACTGCCAACCCCGAGCCCATCTGGCCCTCATTCATCCTCATCAGCCATCCACTGTAGCCACATTTTCCTCTCATGTCTGAATTGACACCTACTCATTCTCCATGAATATTTAATATCTTCCTTTCTGGATAAAGTCCCTGAGACCTTGAGGGCCTCTCTAGGGCTGCACTGAAATCTGAGTAGAGAGCTTTCCATGAAGTCCACTTGGCCTTGGGATGAGGGAATTAGAGAGACAGCCCCTGGGACAGGATGAGCCACAGCAAGATGTTCATCCATGTCTGGCCAGCACAGGCTGGCATTGCCCTCCATCTTGATGGCCTGAAAAACACCAATAATTGCTTCAAAAGACTGTCATTTTAGAGTCCTACCCTGCTGATCGTCTGGATTTGACACAACTTGGAGTTCACCAACATCCTCGACCATGGGTCGGGTTTCCCTAGGAGATATTTTATGTTTTCTTCACAAAACCTGTGTCTGATGCACTTGAGGTGGGAGGGAACAGAGGTGAGATCAGGAATGGGTGCAAAAACAGGCCTCAGATGACAATTTATGTGCAGAATTCCAACTGCACGTTAAGCAGGGTGTCCACCAGAGCTTCTTGGCCTCCTGTGTGCCAGGCTGTAAGTGCATTGTTTATTCATTCCTCACCCCTGCCTTGCAGGGTAGGTACTGGTGTTATCCCCAGTTTCCAGATGAAGCAACTCAGGCAATCTGCTCAAGGTCACCAGGCCAGTGAGCGGCAGTCCACCTGGGCCAGCCGGTTGCATGTGCTCCGAGCCCTCCCCCATGTTGCCACTCAGGAACTGGCTAACAGGGGCTCTCTCCATGCGTCCTGCCTCTTCCTGGGTTGGGGAGAGCATATATGATCATAGTCCCTTCTGCCACCAACGTTCCACCTCTTCTGAAATGTCATCCTCCTCTTGGTCTCCGATGGCTCTTCCTTCATTGACCCAGTCATGGAACACGGGTCTAGCTCCACCACACTCCAAGCAACACAAAGTGAGGAGCAGCACTTAACTGAAGGTCTGTTGTGATGGAAAGTGCCACTTCCCAGTGGCACAGCAGACTGCTGGTGGGCACCTGCCCCCAGCTCCCCACCACTCCCATCATTCTATCGTCTTCCCTCTCCCTTCCCCACAAGTTCTAGGCCTCAAATCCAAACCACCACCACACGTCCCTCTTTAAATTGCCTGACTTCTGTCCAGCCCCAGCCCCATCCCCAGGTGTAGCTCAGTTCCGGCCCCATCTTCTCACATTTAAAACCCAACAAGATTTCTAACTGAATAACTGGCCATCATTTCCAGGAGCAGTGGGGACCCTAAGATTGTTATATTGCCTTTACCAGGCTCCACCCTCCATAGAAGGTTTTTGTGGTTTCAAATGGCATTTGCTTTCTCTGTTTCCTAAGAATTGCTATGGCCATTGGCATTTCTGTGGGGCTTGTAAAGCCATTTTCCTATATATGCAGAGAGAGGCCCCTCCTTAGGGCTTGGGTGGAGTTGCCACCTGAGATAGGAAGGGGGAAGCCACTTCTATCTCAACCCTCCCAGTTCTGCAAGTCTCCTGAGAATGAACCAGTCCTTCCATTCAAAATGAGAAGGAGGCCCCAGCCGGATGGGGTCTCAGCCAGAAAAGAGACAGAGTGTTAGAGGTAAATGTCCATAAAACAGAGGATGCCACTCCACAGGGACAGGCAGAGGGCTGCCAGGGAAAGAGCCGGGGAGGGGCCTGTGCAAGTGTCCTGGCCACCTGGGGCTGGAGACCCTGAGGCAGTGTTGTTTGCTTTGTCTGTGGTTATTTCCTTTTGCTCACCCTTAGTATTTGAAGAAGTTCTTTTTTATATTACCAGGCTCTTTCAGGGATGTGATGGGAACCAGGAGCAGGGTTGGGTCTACACTTGAGTTGGAGCTTTAAAGAGAATGCAGGGACAGAACATGAAGGAGCACCTAGAACCAGAAAGAAAACCCAAAAGGAAAGACGGAGAATGTGCAGGGGGAGAGACAGAGGGTCCAGCTTCAGCCACCCTGGCCACCTGCCAGCCTTCTCCAGGGCTCCTCTCTGCTGCCCCCAAAAGGCTTTGCACTTTGTTTGAATAAAAGAGGTCACTGCTTTGTAGAAGGAGAGGGGAGAGGACAGCCCCTTGAGCCACCCCTGCACCCACATGCATGGGAACAGCACTGGCCTGGGGCTCTTTCCCAGGGTGAGTCCATCCCTCCTCGAGCCTTTGGTTGACTCACATCTCTGTAGTGACACATTGGACCATGTGCTAGGAACAGTCCAACTTCCAGAGAGAAAAAAACAGCTCTGGTGGTGTGTCATGACAACATGATAAGCATTTCCCTTCTTGAGAAGTTGGGGACAGGGCTAGCTTTGTGACTTGAGGCACCTGCTTGAAAATGCCTCCTCCACATTGTCAGAGCCATCTCCAGCTGAGTCACTCCTGCAGGGCCCTGTGAGACACTGCCGGGAGCCCTGCCCAGCCCCTCACAGGATCAATACATCAGAGGAACTAGCTGAAAGTCAGCTGGAAGCAAAAAGGCAGGAAGGAGGGCACGCGGAACAGCCAAGCTCAGAGTGCCTCGCGGGCCCCGGAGAAAAGGAGGTGTGAGTCAGGATTCTAATGCTGACAAGCTGTGCTGGGCGGGCAGGGCCCGGACAGGCATTTTGAAAGTAGGGGATTAGGGCTCAAGGTGACTTTGATGGGGAAAATTTTGAGAACCAACCTTTCTTGGTGCTGCTGGGCCTTTTTGGTAGGTTTGTGGAGAAAAAGAGGCCAGGGGGAAAGGCTGGCAGTGAAGGCCTTTGTAACTCCAACTCCTGCTGAAAGGGCGTTTTTAGTGAATCCTATCCAAGTGCAGGCAGCCATCCAGCTCTTTTTAGGGAGTGGGTGTTCCCTAGGAAAGTATTCCCCCAACCCTATTTGGAGAATTTTTACCAGAGAAACTCTGGCTGCGCTCCTCTCTGCCTCCTGCAAGAGATAGGGAAGTAGAATCTCAGCAGAGCCCTCTGCCACCCACCCTGAGTCTGGCCAGACCCCAGGCAGCCCCACGTGTGTGTGTGCATATGCTCATGTGCGCGCACACACACACACACACACACACACAAATGTACATGCTGTGTCCATCACACGCCAGGGAAGCAGCAAAGTGCTCATTCCTGTTCCATCTTGTTTGATTGGCTTTCTGTCAACCCTCCTCCCCCTGGAGGACTCCAGTCCCCAAGAGAGGGACATTTTTTGGTTCCGCTAAGAAATTCTGTTTGGAAAAGAATTTCGAGGAGACCTTGCAGCCTGAAGATGATGCGCTTAGGAATAACCTTAAGTGTGATTATAATAAAACCCAAACCACTTCCATGTCAGGTTGCATCTCTCATGTGTTGAGAAGGGAGAACAAAGATTTCACTCACAGGGAAGCTGAGGCCCTGATAATGGTGCAGCACCTTCAAGGCCACGCAGTCAGCTCTGCGCTGTCAGTCAGGATCCATGAGACCCTGCAAGGGGCACGGATCCAACGGCAGACTTGGTTCCAGGCCCCAAGAGCCTGCAGGTAAGCAAGAGTTGGAGTCAGGAGGCTGGGGCTTGAAGGTGGCTCCACTGTGTGGCCTGTCAAACCACTTCACCTCTCGCTTTCCCCCTTAGCCAAATGTGGACAACAATCTCTACCACAGGGCTGTGACTAGGGTGCAATACAATTTCAATGAGACAAGGGCCTTCCTAGGTTCTTGCCATGGTTTATTGCTCTTGAATCTAACAACAACAATAACTAATGTGTTTATAAGTAAATTTCCAAAGACGTGTTCTCATTTAACCTCAATATAGGAAGATATCAGTATTTCCATTTTATAGATGGGGAAACTGAGGCAATTCCTTGAAGTCACACAGTTTTAAAATGATAGAGCAGAGAACCAAAACTGATATCATTTTCCTTACACACTATATAACTAATATATTTTACCCTTCTTTGCCTCAAGGTAAAGTATTACATTCTTATTTTAGATAAGTTAGAAAATACAGAAAGCCACAAAAAATACGTTTCACTATAAGCCCATTCTCCCAAGAATACTGCAACTCCCATTTCGATGAGCCCCAGGGTCCTCCTGTTGCTTAGAAAACAATGTGAATGCAGTGAAGGGAGAGGACTACCATGGAGGCTGTGAGGGGTTGATGCACTGGCTGGGTTGGGCCTGCAAATGTTCAGGATTAAGGCATTTTGGAGGAATGCTGGAAAGAAGGGAAGATGTGGAGTGAAGAACAGGAGGGAGGAGAGTGCGAGGTGTGCAGGGCCAAGGCTCCAAGGAGGGATAGTGAGGACAGGCCTGAAGATCTGGCAGGCCCCAAGCCAGCCTTCTCACCAAAGACCAAGGCCACTGCCCATCTCATATCAGCAAGTCCCTGAGCATTCTGAGATGTTAGGAGTAGGAGGGGCCATGGTCTTCTCAGATGATGAGGTTGAGATCCCAGAAGACTCTCTGGAGAGTCCTACAACCTCACAGGGACTGCCAACCTCCCCCTGGGGGCCTTGGTGGCTATGGAGACATCGCCTGTCCCTCTCTGGCCAGTTAGCTGCCCAGTGGGCAGGGCGGTAGGGACAGCTTCAATGAAGGCCCTGCCTCTAGGCACGGACAGCGTGAGGTTTGATGCAGCTCTGTTCTCCAGCCAGGGCAGCATCAGCAGCTCCTTCAAGCCACACAACCCTGGGTGTCTTTCCAGTGACGTAGGAGGGGGTCCTAGCCAGCCACACCCTCTTTACCAATCCCTGAGTGCAGGTGCCCCAGGGGCAGGGACCCCATCTTGTTACTAATAACAACAATATTGGTAACAAGTCACCTTGCCTTTATATACCACTGTTGAATTTACAGAGCCTTTTTGCACACATTGTCTCACTTAATCCTCAGCAGGTAGGAGGAATTATCCTAATTCTGTAGATAGAGAAAATTAAGCTAAGAGAGACTAAGTGAATTATCTGAGGTTGCACAGCAAGTAATAAAAACGTTTATTTATTTTGCTTGTCACTTTGTGTTGCTCCAGAAAAGATTTAGCTAGCTCATAGGACATGCGACAAGATTAAAAATAAGTTTGAAACATCATTAAAGAGTAGCAAAAAAATAAGTGAAAGAATGTGAAATTCTGGAATCCAGCGAGTCCCCTACACAATGTGCACGCCCTGCCCTCCAAACCTGCCACACAACTGACTTGAAGCATTCTGGCAGATAACACAATAAGGGAAAGATAGTCACAGAATTCAGCGTCCATTAAGTAAAGACAAACCAGAGGCTTAGGAAACACTAAGCTATTCCTGGTTCTAAGACAAGAGGAAATTTTCTACCGAGGGCATCACACAGTGAACACCATCACAAGGAGAGATCATAGTGTGGTCTTTGAATTCTGAGACCTCATCAACACCTCTATGCCTTCGGTTTTTCAACTGCAAAGTGGGGGTAATTATAAAACCTAGCTCACAAATTTGTTTTGACAAATACATGAGAATCTTTAAAAGAGATTTTTTTTTTTTTTTTTGAGACAGAGTCTCTCTCTGTCGCCCAGGCTGGAGTGCAGTGGTGCGATCTCGGCTCACTGCAAGTTCCGCCTCCCAGGTTCAGGCCGTTCTCCTGCCTCAGCCGCCCGAGTAGCTGGGACTACAGGTGCCTGCCACCATGCCTGGCTAATTTTTTGTATTTTTAGTAGAGACAGCGTTCCACTGTGCTAGCCAGGATGGTCTCGATCTCCTGACCTCGTGATCCGCCTGCCTCCGCCTCCCAAAGTGCTGGGATTACAGGCGTGAGCCACCGTGCCCGGCCTGAGAGAGGTTTTTGAAAACAAGTTACTGAGAGAATGTGTAAAGCCCCGTCAAACCCTGCTCAGTCAGAGCTCCAGAAGCATTGGGTGAACAATTCTCAGGGACAACCTTTCAGAAAACCAAGCTGGCTTGGCATGGTGGCTGAGGTAGACCCTGGGGTCTGGCTGCCTGGGTTCAAGCCATATCTCCCCACTCTTTAACGTAATATCTCCATGCTTGTTCTCTCATCTGTAAAGTGTGGGTAAAAATAACCCTTTTCCATAAGGTTATTGTGAGGATTAAAGAAGAGAATTCACACAAATCTCAGCCAAGTGCCCATCGGCACACAGCAAGTGCTCAATGAATGCCAGCTATGTGTAGTATCTTTAAAGTTCTTCCTTATCGTCATCCAGTGTTAGAGGTAGGTAGTTCCTGGAATTTGGGACTGTCCATGTGCCCTGGAGCCCTGAACCCTGGCCTTGCATCCAGTAGGTACTCAATTTATACTTGTGGGATGGAATTGGAAAGTAAGAGAAAGGGATTCCAGCTTAGCCTGGGAGCTGGAAAACTCCAAGTAGAATCACCAGGGGCACACAGCCCTTCCAAGCCTCTGTTTTCTGATATGTGAAATGAACAGGGGCCTGTAATCTCTTGGGACCCTTGAGTTCTCACAGTGATCACCAGAGAGGGCTTTACACTTCAACTACTAACTGCAGAAGGGGCTTGGCTGGGAATCCTTTAAAGAGAGACGTCAGGCCGACCCGATTCCCACCTTTATCTCTAGGAAGGACTGGGCTGGGACTGAGTTGCTGGATGCCCTGCAGAACAATGGTGTGCACGGAGGGCAGTGATCACGGAGACATAGGAGCCACCCCAGGTCCAGGAATCTGTGATTTCTCGCTGCTGGACCTGGAAGAAAGGGGCCTGGGTATGCCTGGGAATGGGCTATTTCCACTCCCGTTTGGGACCCTGCCCCCTTGAGGAAGCGTTGCCTCAGCTGACACCGACAGGAGATGGCTCTGTCTGGTGTGAGAGGAGAGGCAGATGGGGGTGGGGGAGGATGGAAGAGGTGAGAGAGGAAATGCTGACTGCTGTGTGGGAAGCCAGAGAAAGCTGGGCATCGCCTGGGAGAAGGAACCTGAGCCGCGGGGACAGCCGGGGAGCAGCAGGCCCCTCTGCAGCAGCAGCAGGAGCCCCAGGGACACCCCGCCGGAGGGCCTGGCATGGCCTGCGTGCTGTGGCCTCCCCAGATGCCAGGCAGCGCCATTCCTGAGCAGGGAGGTCTCCAGGTTCATACAGTGCAAAGAGGCAGTTTAAGCCAAAGGGAGGATCTGCAAACTTCTGCTGTGGCACTCAGGCGACCCCTGGCACCAGGGCCGTCCAGTGCCTCGGCTTCTCCCTGGGCCTCTCTCCTCCCAGCCTGAGCCTCACTCTGTTTCTGCCACTCTGCACTTGGTGCCTGGAAGGGAGGAAATAACTATTAGTGTCACCTGCTTACCAATGAGAGACATTAGCTGGCTCTGGCAGAACATGCGGCCTGTAATTTTTGGAGGAGTTACAATAATGGAGCTAATTTGGCGCTTTATCATCGTGCTCCTGGGTGAGCAGGGGGAAGGGAGGCCTGGGGCCTGGTTTATAGCAACCTCCCAGCAAAGAGCTCTGTACTTCCTGGGAAATCTCTGGGATCCTGGCCCCATGCTCCCTCCTTCCTGTCCCCCTCTCCCACACCGCTTGCTTCTCCTTCCAGTGAGGCATTGTCAGGATGCAGTTTGGAGATGGCTGAAGCCAACCCACTAGCGGCCAGAGGCCGCTCCACAGCAGGATGGAACAGGAAGGGGCCCGAAAGTGTCTGAAGAGTTTGCTCTGCACTAGATCCCTGTGAGGCGTCTTCAGTGCATACACTCATTGGGCTTCACGGTTCACCCTATTTTACTAATGAGGAGGTGAGGTCATCTGGTACAATGCTCTCATTTTACGGCTGAGGATGCACAGCTCAGGGAGGCACAGTGACTTGCCCCATATCATTCTACTGATTCGCAGCAGAACCGGGATTTGAACCCAGACCTCTGAGAGCCAGCTTAATTTTTCCCTTAAGTTCTCTTACTGGGAACATCTGAACTGGAGCCTGAGAAGACACAGGATGCCCTCCCCAATCCTACTGATTGAAGGCGCTGCTGGGTAGGGAAGCCCAGGGCTGGGAGGGAAGAAAGAGCCAGCAAATCAGCTCAGCTTCCATGGGGCCCTGCAGGCAGGAGCTGGGGCCTCTGAAATCCAGGCTAGAAGATGTGTCGTTCCCACCCTCTACCCAGGAACAACTCCAAGGCAGCTGCCTCTTCCTCCAACTTTTGCTGACTTAGACATCCATGGGGCACACCTGGCCCCTCAGCCCACCAGGCAGGCAGTGGGGACTGCACACCCAGTGGGCTTAGTGCCACCACCTGCCTCCATGTGGCAGGAGAATGAAAGGCTTACAAACAGATTGTATTCTTGCTATATGCACGTCTCGGTTTTCCTACTAGCAGCTGGCCGTGCTCTCCCCGTGGTTTCCTCTTATGCCTGTAAATCAGGGCGAAAGGCACCTGCTTCACAGGTAGCCACCTCAAGCATGACAATACTGCCCATCATCAGAAAGGGTCAGAGACCTTCAGTGAGTTTTACAGTCACACAGCTGGAAAGCAGCAGGGCAGGGATTCGAACCCCAGGTTCTGTGCCCAACTCCATGCATCGCTCCTTGGAACTGTTTATACTAAAACTCCTGTAGCAGACTCATGGTTCTTCCCTTCTGGAATCATGAATCAGGAGTTCTTCGTTGATGATTAGTCGTGGGTCTAGATGAAGGCCACCAAAATGCCTAAAACATGAGGCCAAGGGAAGGTTCTTGGTTTTGGTGAAGAGAAGGTGGAGTCAAAACTGATACAGTCTTAGAAGGCATAACCTCTAAATTATGATGTAATAGTAGGTGGGAACTAGGAGGGAAGGCATAGATGCCCCAGGAACTGGGTCAGCCATTTGGGGGGACTTCCTGAGTTCCGGGCGGGGGTGGAACACTGGAAAAGAGGCATTGATTGTTAAGCTGAATGTGGTCTTGCTGGGAAGCTGGGACTGGGTAAGTTGGCTGATCACTTGGGGCCTCTTGCTTCCTAGTGGCATGTGATGGGAGTTGCTTTGCTCTGATCCTTAAATATCCCGCACCAAGGGAATGAATTTTGAGATCTGACACCTTCAACTCTCCCAAGAAGCCTGTAGAGATCACAGACCATCTCCTCACCCTTCCTCAAGACCTAAGGAAGCAAGGAAATAACAGTGAGGAATATAACTACACCTTTACAGGAGACAGGGGAAACACTTCACTGGCTCAAAACTTTTTCATATGTGGGTTTCCTCCTCCCAGTCCTGGTGGCTGCTCCCCAGAGACCTCAGGTACAAAGATCTGTGCAGAGAGGGCCCGGGGTTCTTCCACTGAACTGCCGCGTTGGGGACAAGAATTTTGGCCCAGGGGTTCTGCCCCTGCTGGCCTAGCTTCTCCCCCTCCCTCCTTCCCCTGAGGCAGTGTCTGCTGCAGCAGTTTGGCACTTGGTGAGAGAATGACTTAACAGGTGACTTTCGTGAGAAATGACGGGCTGAGGCCAGGGTGCTGCACTAGCAGGTTTAAGTGAGCAGGATGTATCCTCTCATAGTCTGTAACGCAGGGTGACACCATCCATTCATCTTCTTTCAAGAGAGGCAGGTGGGGGCAGGCAGAAGGGAGGTAATATTCTAAGTCTCAGAGCTTTCTCTCTCATGCTTCTTGCTTCCAGAACACCAAGAAATTTCACCTTCAAAACCTACACGGTCCTCGGCAGCCCTAACCCTCAATAACCAGGGACAGAAGGTGGGGTGGAGTGGGGTGGAGCATGGACAGTCCCAGAGGAGGCTGGGTGGGATGGAGGAGAAGAGCAACACCTTCAGAGTCAACAAACCTGAGTCCAAAGCCAAGCTTAGCACATGAGACCCTAGGCAAGTTATTTAACCTCTATGAGTTTCAGTACAATGTAGAGATGATTATGCGCTCCTCCCAGGCATAGAGTATGAGTAAAATGAACGTAATATGTGTTAAGAGCTGGGTGCAGTGGCTCATGCCTGTAATCCCAGCACTTAGGGAGGCCGAGGCGGGCAGATCATGAAGTCGGGAGTTTGAGACCAGCCTGGCCAACATGATAAAACCCCGTCTCTACCAAAAATACAAAAATCAGCCCGGCATGGTGGCATGCACCTGTAATCCCAGCTACTCGGGAGGCTGAGGCAGGAGAATTGCTTGAATCCAGGAAGCCGAGGTTGCAGTGAGCCGAGATCGCACCACTGCAGTCCAGCCTGGGCGACAGAGCGAGACACTCAAAAAAAAAAAAAAAAGTGTTAAGTACCCAACATAGTGCCTACAAACTAGTAGATGCTCCATAACTGTTAATCTCCTCCTCTCTTGACTTTGGCTTTAATCACCAAAATAAATAGATTCAAAGAAGTGGAAGAAACTTCAAAATCCTGTCCAGAGTATTCGTGTTCAATTGGTTCTTCCAACTAGACAAAAGCAATGGTTGTCAGTTCCTGAGACTTCCCTGGGGCATGTTAAACATAGATTATTGGCCCTGCCTTCTGGTGAGGGTAGGGCCCAAGAATTTGTGTTTCTGATTAGTTCCAAGTGATGCTGATCTTATTGGTCAGGAACACATCCTTGGAGATCTATGGCAATAAGGAATATTTACAGAGTGGTGTCAGATATCTTTGAAACACTGTCTTTGCTTAATACCTAATTTTCTTAAACCCTGTAAATTTGGATAAGGCAGCTTCTTTCTAAAATATACCCAGTGTGCCATGTGGTGCACAGGAAAAAGGCAAAGGGAAGTAAGTGGTGAGGGCCAGGACCAGTCCAGCAGCCCACATGGCTTCGATCCTTCAGAACCCTTGCTTGTGCCTAAAAAAAGAGAAGAGGCCTTTTATGCCTTAACTTTTGCTTGGCAGCTCTGATATTTAATGACTTCAGTTGCATTAGGACATGTTCCATGTCACAGAGATTCTAATAGGGTCTGACCTGGGGCAACCTCAGAATCTCTCGCCTTATATCACGAACTGAGGCTATGTAACACTCATCTGGGAAGCCTGTCAATAATGCAAACATCCAGGCCCCGCCTCCAGAGATGATGACTCAGTAGATCTTGGGCGCAGCTCAGGAATCAAGTCTCCACCTCCCAAGCTTCTAATGCAGGGAATATTCAGCCCACCCGCTGAGGAACACCTATGAGGCTCCACCCTGACACCATCTCAATAACCACAGCAACCCTCCTGGGGAGACCAGAGGCTGAGGCTGAGGTTAAGCAAGGGCCTACTCTTGTCACCCATTCATTTTGCCACCTTAACCAGGTGAGCCCCACAAAGCTGAGTTGCTCATTAATTCAACAAATACTTGTCAGCATCTGTTATACACCAGGCACCGTGCTCAGTACTGAGAATACAGTGGTGAGTAAAATATGAGGTTGAGATTAGGGTGAGGCGAGTGAAGTACCCAGGGGGCAGAATGGAAGGGGACACTCACTCTTGGATACATGCATGAACCTGACAGTGAGCACTTCCTTCACTTTTGTACCTGGGCACCTGCTTTGCCTCACCCTTGTCCTGGCCCTGGCAAAACAGACCCAGATCTGTCCTTCGGGAACACAGTTGGCAGCAGAGGGAGGCGCTGGAGGAAGTGGCCTGAGATGAGTGGGTCTCTGCCATGTGAAGAGCTGGGGAAAGAACGGTCAATCAGAGGAAGAGAAAGTGCAAAGTCATGGGGCAGGAAGAGCCTGGGGCATTTGAGGAAGCCTGTGAGGAGAGCCCTGGCACGGGGGGAGGCTGAAGAGTCAGCCCCGTTCGTGGAGGGCCCTGTAGATCTTGATAAGTGCTTTTGTTTTTATTCCTAGTGAAAGGGGATGCCATTGGAGGTTTTAAACAAGGAGTGGTACAATCCATTTTCCATCTGGGGAAGAGCACTCTGGCTGCTGTGTGGAGAATGGGGCGGGAGAGCAAGGGAAGCAGGGAAGGCAGATAGGAGGCGGCTGTATGCTGGCAGGGGGGTAGGCTTTGGCCTCCGTGTGGCACTGGAGATGGAGAGAGGTGGGTGGACTTGAGATGGAATTTGGAGTTAGAATTATCAGGGCTTGATGATGATCTAAATCCAAAAGAGGAAGGCAGATGTCCACAAAGATGTCTCATTTCTGGCTTGAGCAACTGGGTGGATGGATGGGCCAGGTTGGGGAAAATTAGAGGAGAATGTAAACAGAAAAGGGCAACTTTGAGCCTCTGAGAAGTTTTAGATTTCCAGCCACATGGCCATGTCATTTTGGATATATGAGTCTGGAGTCTAGAAGAGATGTCTGCGGAGGGGCCATAAACTCAGGAGCCATGAGTGGGGAGATGGATATTAACATTATGGCTGAGTGAGGAGAGAAAAAGCTTGACAAACTTCACTGTTTAGAGGCAGGGATGGGAGAAGAGGCTGGCACAGGAAACCTGAAAAAGGCAGCCAGAGAGGTGGGAGAAGAACCGGAAGGAAGTGGAGTTGTCAAGAGCAGGGCAGTCAACTCTGTGAAAGGCTGGAAAGAGCTTCTCTATGGAGCACCTTGCCATGGCAAGACCCAGAGATTCTGGAGTGTGGGGAGCAGGAGGTGGGGAAAGATCTTAATCTTCAGGGTGACTGTCCCCAAAGAGATGATGAAGCTAAAGCCACTGTCACGCAGTGCAGGCCTGTGCCTTTGGCTGAGACCAAAGCCCTGCCTATTTGGCATCCCCCTCAGGGCACTTGTTTGCAAGAAACATTCCTCAGCTGCCCCAGGAGACTCATCAGGAAACCAGGACCAAGGTATCTTCCCTCCTGCTGAGAGTCCCAGCCCCCACAGCCCTGCGAGGGGCAGAGAGCAGATCTCTCACCACGGGGAGATGTCTGCCCTCTCCCCAGGAGAAACTGGCAGCTATTTGACAGCCACTCGGCAAGACAACTTGTGACAAGAAATTAAGATGGATTTTCATCATTAACTTCATTAATGTACCCTTTACTACCCCCACCACCCCTGTGGTTAATGAAGATGACAGTGGAAGGACCAGATCTGAAGTGAGGTCCTCGGCTCTGGGCTCTCAGGCACAAGCACCCTACGGCACAGACTTCCTGGCTTGACCAGGCATTACTGCCATCTCTTCTAAAATTTCTCCAAACTCCACTCCTCTCAAGCTCCTTTCCACTCTCTCAGCCCCTCTTCTTCTCCACCCTCACTTTAAAAAGTCATTAGGAAGAGATCTGCACCTCCCAGTGTGTTCTGACTCACGGATATTTGCCCAAAAGTAATGGTGCGTGTGAAATACTAAGCCTCTTTTCAAGGGCAGGTTCACGAAGGGGAGGCTGAGAAAAAGTTTCCTAAATAAGACCATCTGTTTCTCTGAAGATGCTCAGATGCTGAAACATTTGCTTCCCGCTGATGTGCTTTAGTCTCAATGGGTCCCTAGGACAAACCCAGACTCAAGGATCTCACCCACGTCCTCCGTGCACCGCTGCTCCACACCGGCTTGGGGGTGCCCGCTTCTCCATGGGGCAGTCCTTAGCTCTGTGTCCACACTGCAGGGTGAAGCTGGAGTATACTGAGTTCGTATAAGGAGCCTCAATTCTGGTTGATCATTTATTCATAATGCTGCAAGGCCCTTGGGGCAGAGAAGCACTTGAGAGTAAAAGCAGGCATGGAACTCAGAACAAACAGAACCTGCCCCAGCACCCAGCAGGAAGCCCCGAGCGTCACAACAGACACATCCCACCCTTCCACCCCAGACACCCCCAGCATTCTTGCTGAAGCCCTAGGAGCCCGGGCCTGAGGCGGAGCAGGGAATCAACTCACGTCACCCAGGCCGGTGTTCACAGCAGGGGCCCCCTCTCGGCACCCTAGGAAGGAGTGCCCACTCCCACAGCTCCTCTCTCCCAGGCGAGAGCTGAGCCAGCTGTGGGAACGTGGGGCGGGCAGAGCGTCAGTCTCCACTCTCCTCCTGCAGCCCCTCACCCGGCAGTTTAGCACATCCTGCCGGGTTCCTCTCGGAAGTCCTGACTTTGCCTTGGGGCAGTTGTAAGATTTCTCCCTTGGCCTTTACCACCCAAGGGCAATGGGAGCACAACCCCAGGCCAGACCAAGGGAGTCAGAGGAGGTGACCCAAGAGGGGGTGACAGGACAGCTGGCCTGGAAAGATCAGAGTTGTCCAGGATGGTCAGAGGGATGGAGAGGTTATTTCAGGTGGTAGAAAGAACAAGATGAAGTCATGAAGGTGGGAAAGATCTTGGAGCATTTAGTGAGGAGGTGTCATCAAGAGGCAGGATGGTGTCATGGCTGAAAGTGGGGGCTCTCAAGCTTCCGTCCACATCCTGGCTGTGCCATTTAGTAGCTGTGTGCCCTTGGGCCACTTGCATAACCTCTCCGTACTTCAGTGTCCCCAGGTAAAAAGTGGTGATAATAGTAGTAGCCATCTCCCAAGGCTTTTGTGAAGATTATATGACATCATACGTATAAGCACTTAGGGCAGGACAGCACATAGTAAACACTCAATGTTATGGTTATTATGGCTGGAGTGTACGGCACCTGGGGCAGAACAGTGGAAGGTGAGGCTGGCTAGAAAGGCGAGGGCCACCCGGTGAAGAAGCTTGAATGCCATGTGATTCTGTGGATTAGTGATTTTTCATGCCGACTCCTAAAAGTTCCAAGGAGGGAGCCCGAGGTGTTGAAGGTACTCTGGATGCCCTGTTTCTGAGCCACTCTTCAGCTGCTGTATATGATTGGGCTTTTGGATGATACTTCATTTGAAGAAGAGGCTTTCCAACTACAAAACAAGTGTGAAATGAGAAGCCACTGAAGAATTCTGAGCAGGAGACCAACCACCTGGTTACAGCAAGGAGGATGGATTGGAGGGAGTGGGCAGGGGGAGTTAGAAAACTGCAAGGATCTGGCAGAGATGGTGCAGGCCAGAGCTGAGGTAGTGCAGCGAGGATGGGAGGAGAGGGCCTCAGAGTTTGGGGACACTCAGAAGGGAGAAGCTGTGCAGCTTGGGAACTGAGTAGCTGTGGAGGCCGTAGCATCTGAACTCATGCTCACTTTCTCCCGGCCCCTGCCACCCATTCTTTACAAGCTGCTGAAGTCCCAAACTGCTGCAAGTCCTCAAAGGGCTCTGCTTTTCATAGGAAGCAAAATCCAAGCACTTGCAAGTCCTCCCTTAACCTCCCTCTTACCCTTTGCTTACTCTGGTATCATAGCCACCATCCGCTTCCCCCAGCCAGACCCACAGCACTCTTTGCTAGCCTCTGCTGAGAGCTCTCCTTCCATTCTTGGCTGCTCCTCCCCATCTTTCAGGACCACTATGAATAAAGCGGCCGCACACCCACTCACTACCCTTGGTCAGGTCCCTGGCTCCCTCGCTGCCCTTGGGTACCATCTTGCTTAGTGTACTTTTGTCTTCCTCCCTTAGAATACAAGTTCCTGGAGGGCTGGGACTTTGTCTTATCATTACTATCTCTCCAGATCCTCCAACATTTAGTGGGTGTGTGACAAATGAATGACACACATGAAAATGGTCTCTGGTGTGGGTGTCTGGGTTGAAGGTGACACAGTGGACTGAGTAGGAAGTAAAGCAGGAAGGGCAGGGGTAGAGCCAGTCTCCCATTGTCTGCAGAATCAAGGACAAACTCCCAAGTATGGGCTAAGAGGCAGGCAAGGCTGGCCCTTGCCTGGGGCCCTGTTTCTAGCCTCATCTGGGAGCTCTCCGCCCCTGTCATCACCATGCTGTCAGCCACAGGGAACCTCTCATGCGCCCCGAACACTCCCTGCCCCTTCTGTGTCTTTAGGCACTGTTGATCCCTCTCCAGAGAAAAAAAGCAAAAGCGCTTGCTTACTTTTTTCTGCTAGAAATCTACTTTTACTGACCTGTCTAGATCCTATCAAATATCACCCTCTTTGGGAAGCCTAGCTTGAAATCTGGGGCTGAATTCCTTCTTCCTTGCTCTGCATGCCCACGTCTTGTCCACACCTCTATTACTGCACCGACCAAACCAAACAGTACTACCTACTGACATGCCTTTCCCTGCCCCTGTTCCAAGACCGTGAGCTCTTTATAACAGTAGTAATAATTATAATAGTTGCCAATACTTACTAAGCACCTACTCTGTGCCAGCCACTGTGCTAAGTAAGCACTTTGCACAAATTACCTCATTTAATCTCTGCGGCAACCCTAAGAGGTGGGTCCTATATTCATCCCACTGTACAGTGTACAGGTTAGGAAGCCAAGATTATGAAAGGTTAAGTAAGCCATACTACTCTCTTAGGAGTACTTAAGCTTTCATAGTCTTAAGAGCTGGAAGCTGGATCTGCCTGACCCCAAATCCACATTCTCAACCATTTGTTCATTAGCCAGTATTTGCTGAGCACTTACTACACATCAGGCACTGGGCTACACATGAGAGGTATAAGGATGAATAAAACCAGACCCCATTCGTGCCTTCAAAGAGCATACAATCTGGTGAGAAACACAGGCATTCATCATGTAGTCCCCAGATCAACATAAAAGTTAGAGTTGTAGTGTGTGCTATGAAGAGGAGGCCTGTGTTGCTATGGGAGGAGATATCACAGGGGCTGGCTCAGCTCCAGGTATCTGGCTTCCACATCTGACTCATCTCTGTACCCCCAACACAGAGCCCCAGGCCTACAATGCGGGGTTTCTTTAGCCATTGGAGTCCAACTGGCTTCTACCTCATCTCTCTTCCAGCCCCCCTACCCTCCCACAACCCCTGGGGAACTTAACAGCACTTCCTGCCCAGTGCTTCTGAGATCTTTTTAGGTCTCCTATGGCTTTCCTGAAAGTATAGCGGATGCTTCTCTGCTGATGATGAGAGATTCAGACAAGCCACTTAATGACTAAGAGACTAGAAGTGCTCTGTAAGAAATGGGGAAGCATTGTTCTTGCTTTGCTTAGCCTGCATTCCCAAGATGGACTCACAGGCACTGACGCCACTCGCTGCTTATTCAGGAGGAAACATGACTGGCCTTGGAGAAGAACAAAACATTTGAGGGGCAATGGGAACTTAAAAAATGGGAGCATTTGGATTTCAAAACGAAATTGCTAGATTCCCTGAGGCAGGCGATAGACACCACTTAAGCATCCTTGGGTCGTCTCAGTTGGTGATGGCTGATAGATTTTCCAGTTGGAATCTTGGGTTCTCATGGCTGACAGGGACCTTGAGGATAGAGCATCTCATCTAGAACAACCCCTTCATTTTATAGCCCAAGGACCAGAGATGGGAAATGATTTGCTCAAGGTCTCACAGCTAACTGGGGGTAGAGGGTCTAAAGTCCAGGTCTCCTGATTCATGGTTCACTGCTCTTTCATGGGCAGCCCACAAATAGGATCTCTTTTTCTATGCCCAGGACTATGTGACTGCATCAAGTAGAGAGAAGTGCTTTAATCAGTTGTTGCAGATGGGCCTCTGGGAAGCCAGGGAGCACAGTGTTGTGCTATAGATAGGTGAGCCTTTAAGAATCTTACTCTCCAGATGCCCTGTGCACTGCAGCCAAGGAGAATGCTACTAATATGGGCAGCGACATCAGGTGGACAAGTTGCACTAAAGGACAGATTTCTCCAGAAGCCAACATCCTGGCTTCCCCTCCCCTGCCAGCAGGTCCACCTCCTGCAAGCACTAGCCAAGACTTTCAGCCAGCTGCTACTGAGCTCAGATCTACCCTATCAGCTCCTAGGTTAGAAGTCTAGAGGGCTACGCTGGTTTCTGCTGCTTTCTGGACAGCAGTGACCTCTCCTGCACCAGAGAGCTCATTACCAGTCAGGGGCCCTAAGGCAGCCTCTCCTGACAGCAGGTGAAGATGAAAGCAATAATGTGCTAGCTGTTCTGAAGCCCCTGGTCACCCCTTGTTTTATTGAAGTCCAAAGTCTCAAACACCTCTAATGAGGATAAAAGGCTGGTAAGCCATGTGGGATCTGACTGAAACCGCCTGAGAGAGGGTAGTGCAGAGAGAGGACCTGGTGAGGGCCGAGCTGGGGCCTGGCTTTCCAGAGAGAGAGAGTGACTACCAGGAGATGCTGACCCTCTCTGTTTAGCTCTCATCTCTTATTTACTCAAAATTAACCTGTTTAATTTCCTTTATTAAATAATCCAGTCCTCCGCTGCTTGTGTGTGCAGGGGAACAGTGAACCAAGAGCTGCTGACTTGCCACCAGGCACAGTGAGGGCCAGCCACTCCCCCGTGCGAAGCCTGGAGCCAGGCTTTTGTCTTCTGGCCCTGGTTTCCTCCCTGCCTCCAGGTCATAGTGGGATCTTGAGCCAGTCCTTTCACCTGGCTGCGCCCATGGATGGAGGGTGCAGTTCATTTTTGGGTGCACGGGCCACACCACACTGCAGACTCAGCACCTGCATGTCGCCAGCTGCCACGGTCCTATGAGAAAGAGCAGGGGTCCTGCAAAAACCAGGGAGGTCTGCGGGTCACTGCTCCCCTGGAGGGAGCCATCCTGACAGCAGTTCATAGAGCCTGGGGCAATGCTGTTTACCCCGAGGGACCCCTCATATCCCCAGGCAAGCCTCCCAGGTCCATAACAAATCAACTCAGACTCCCCCAAAAGAGACAGCCTGTGAAAGCGCAGGCAACTCCGCATCTGTAGGACTTGGTGGTGGGGAAATGGTGACAGTGGCCTTTTGTTTGCTCCCTCTCAGAGGGGCCACAGGAGCTTCCAGAGTTCTTCCCAGGGCCCTAACTTGATCATAACACTGCGTGAAGAACCACTCCTTCCAGAGTTCTTTTACTAAAATGTGAGCACCCCTTTCTGCAAGCATTTCTGTAGCTGCTTTTGTGTCCTGCTGGGCATGCTGAAGCACAAGCAGGTGCAAGGCAAGGACCCTGTCCCAAAAGGGGCTCTCGTCACTAGATGCTGGGGGGCACAGCTGCAGGGCAAAGGGGACTTGGTGACTCCTGTGAGCTGTTCGAGGACAGGAAGCCCTGCAGGGGTGTTCGGGAGAGATGCTTACTGTGGGCTGGACCCTGGGCAAGGGTCCATGGGGGTGTGGTGTGGGGGCATGATGTAGGTATAGGAGTATCCAAGCAAAGAGGAGAAGGGGAGGCATTTTGACAAGAAGGACCAACAATATACCAGCCATGTGGAGCAGAGGGTTGGCACAGAGAAGGGAGAGAGCAGCAGGTGAGGAGGTAGGACAGGGCCCAGTTGCTGAAAGCCCCAAGTGCAAGCTAAGAAGATGAGCCTTGATCCCAGAAGCCAAACAAGGGGAACCACTGAAGGGGTTTGAGCAGTGGCAAGGATATATGAAAATCTGGCACCAAAGCACTCACTAGTCACACAGCCTTGGGCCAGTTATTTAACTTCACCAAACACTAATTTTCTCCTGTGTGCAATAGGGATGATGAGAGAGAGAGCACCTACCTCGCAGGGCTGAGGTAAGACTCACCGAGATAATCTAGCAAAGTACTTAGCAGAGGCCTGGCACACAGTCCATGTGCAATGGGTTGGTTCCTAGTACTGTGCTCACTGAATCTAAAGAGTTTCAGTAACTTGGGGCTTGAAGGGTTATTAAGGGAAATAAAGGGGCTTCTCTTTACACCTCAGTGCCTATGTGAGACATGGAATATTTAGCCAGATGTGATGCTGATCTGCCCCCTGCCGCAGGACCCATGCCAGGGCACAGGGCACTTGCTATGTGTCTCTCTCTTGACTAGGGGACTAGGGAGCCAGGAGATGCACCTGAGTGAGATGGGGACTCCAGCACCTTCTTTTAACTGGTTACGCCCCGCTAGACCATCTGCATGTCGAGGGTGGGGACTGCATACTCTCCACAAAGCATGGTGCCTCTGGCAGGCACTCTGTAAATACGAATGGAAACAAAAATGAACAAGTGGATGGAATGTAAGCCAAGGTGCAGAAGGGTGAGGGTTCCCTTGAGCAGCTTCCTAGATGAGCTGGAAGGGCATTGCTCAAAAGCGGAGTGCAAGGACCACTCTCTCGAGAGTCACGAGTCCAAGCAGCTGGCAAGGCTTGTAAACCTGAGCAAGTTATTCGTCCGTGAAATGGAGGGGAAAATGCCAACAAGCCTGCCTCGCAGAGTTGCTGAGAGCCTCACAGCTGGAAGTGATCTTCATGGAGGCGCTTCACAGGGGCTGGTGTGGGATGGCTGGCTCTGCGGAGGCCACGTGGTTCTGTGTGCAGGAGGGGTGGCTGTCTCCACAGTGTGCCCCGCCCTGGCCCCAGCCAGGCCCTTCCTGGGAAGCTGGGGGTATTCACCTTCTGCTGTTCCTAGAATTTGATTTGGGGGGTGACTTTTTTCGGGGGCCTGGACAAAAAGACAAATCTAGGGCTAGGAAAAGAGGGTGAGGGTGTCAGGGCTGCCTAGAGGAGAGTGCGGTGAGCGCAGGCTCTGGAGGTAGGGGGAGACAGGGCCTTGGCTTATTCTCCAGGGGGGGAACAGGGCTGTAGGAGTCTCCAGGAGAGGGTGGCTCTTTGCAAGGAGAATGGACAAAAACCCTGGTGTCACCCTCGACTCTTCTCTCTCCCAGAAGTCATTATCTCCTTAGAGAGGTCTTCTCTAGCTAAACATTCAACAACTGTAGCCTCCTGCTGGTCATTTTATATTCCACTTCTCTGCCTTTTGTTCTCCTTGATACTTTTGACTATCTAACTTATATACTTACCTCCTTTATTGTCCTTTGCCCTAATAAAATGTAAGCTCCACTCGTAAAGATGGCAACAATAGACACTGGGGACTACTAGAGTCGGGAGGGAGGGAGGGGGCAAGGTTTGAAAAGCTAACTGTTGGGTGCTATGCTCACTACCTGGGTGGCAGGATCATCTGTACCCCAAACCTCAGCATCATGCAATATACCCATGTTACAAACCTCTATATGTACCCTCTGAATCTGAACCTAAAATAAAAGGTGGAATTTTTTTTAAGTTGAAATTTATTTTTTAAGTTCCATGAAAACAGGGATTTTTGTCTGTTTTGTTCTCTCCTATATCCTTAGCACTCAGATCAACACTTAGCACATAACAGGTGCTCAATAAATAGTTGTTAACTGACTGAATTACTGAATGGATGGATGGATGGAGGGCCTCATCTGAAATCACCCTAAACGCTGACCTCTTCCTCCTCAAACCTGACTCTGGAAGCCCTATGGGAGGAAATGTCTCCATATCTTGGAGTCCCTCCTCAAACCTGTGGGAGGAGGCTTCACCGTGACAGCGCCCTCCTTCATCAAATGGAGGAAGCAACCTGGCAAGGCACTGTTTAATGCCACAGATGGGTGTGCTTACTGTCTTTGAGGTTTTCCTGTTCTCTCAGAAACTCCCAGGAATCCCTGGCCATGACAATTCTGGGGTTAGGAGAGGCAGCAGAGCGTGTGCTCTGTGCTGGGTTTATTTTTAAAGGATGACCACATTTAAGGAGAAAAGAGAAAGTGGACCTGAGGCCTGGCATCAAACACTTGCCATCAGATGGGATGGAAAGTGTTTGTCTCCTTGGTTGGCTGTGATTGACAAAGAACAACTGCACTGAGGGGCAGAAGAAGAAAAGAATCATGGACCTGCTGGGAGAGGGGACAGCTGAAGTCTAGAGCATGTGTCTTGTCCAGGACACTGTCATGACCACATGCCTGGATGGGCAGGAAGTCAAGGGGGTCAGTGACTGAGAAGGGTGGGCTGGAGGAGAACAGGAAGAGGCCACAAAGGGGCTGGTGGTTTGAGGCTGCAGCCAAGGGGCGCATGGAGATCAAGTCAGGCCAAAAGCAGAACAGCAAGGACCAGGGTCAGAATGTGGTTGACATTGAGAGGGAATATTGGAAGGGGCAAATTGTACTGAAGAGGCAATATTGTTTCCATTGCCTTTTATACCCTGTTACTTGCAGCATGGAGGCCAGTCCCTTAGTCTTAAAAACACAGCACAGTGTCTCCAAGAGCCTCCTCCTGACCCCAGAGCGCCCCAGCAGATACTGCACTGGACATGAGGCCCATGGTCTGCAAGCCCCTCATCTGCCCTCTTGTGTGCTTCTTTGCAGGAAAGCGTGGACTTGGGAGAGATCATGTTCTCCCTTTGCTACCTGCCCACTGCAGGCAGGCTCACCCTCACAGTGATTAAGTGTCGGAACCTCAAGGCGATGGACATCACAGGCTATTCAGGTACCTCTCTTAACCCAAGTGGCCTGCCAGCAGCCCAGACATTAGGATTTGGAAGGGTGTTCGGGGAGAAGGAGAAAGAATTGTCAGCATTCTTAGAATAGAAGCACCAGCTCTGGACACAAACTGCCTGGATTCGAATTCCAGTTCTGCCACTTCTTTGCTGTGTAAATGATTTGGTTTTCTAGTCTGAAAAGTGGGAGTAATAATATCTTACATGGGTTGCTTTCAGGAGAAATGAGTTAATTCATGTAAATGTTCAGAATGGTGCCTTACACATATAAGCACTCAGTAGATATCATCTGTTGCTGTCATTCTTTCTCTTAGAAGAGGGAGATAACAAGAAGTAAATATATAGGATTTAAAAATTAAGGATAAGTTTTCTTATTTATGTGAGGCCCCAGGGTTATGTCGTTTGAGTGTGTAAATGTTTGCCGGTCTATGCAGGCTTATGGCAGCAATTCTGTGCACTGAGCCAAGGAAACAAATCCACTGAAAAGCAAAATGCATTTGTATTTGAGGCTTTGCTGCAGGCCTCCTGGCCTCAGCCTCAGCACCAAGAGAGCTGCTAGGTACAGCAGGAACATAGAAATATAGTCTTATTCTAGCGACAGAGGAAATGCTTGTTTGGGGGCAGCTGCACAGAGACCTGCAGGATGGACGTAGTGTCAGAGGTTTGAGTCTTTCCCCACAATTCTGCAAGTTGTGGAAGGAGGTATTTGAGTTTGGAAATAACAGAGGAGTAGCTTGAGTCTTGGGAGCCTCCTTCCCTCATCAGCTCAGACTGCTCTGAGGAGTGAAATGGGGTGAAGCCTCTTGGTCTGGGCTGCACTCAGAATTGCAAATGTGGAAAAAAGCTCAGTTTGTTTCCCTAGATCCCCTGTCCTCCTGCTCAAGAGACTCTCGATGATTCAGATTACCAACGTAAAACCACTCAGGAGGTGCTTCTGAACTTAGCTGGGAATATATTAAAGATTTTTCCTCATATTTGCTTTGTATTCTTTATTTATTTGCTGGAAACCCCCTAAGTTGTGGAAGAAGGTATTTGAGTTTGGAAATAACAGAGGAGTAGCTTGAGTCTTGGGTATAATCAGTTGCTGGAAAGAGGTGATGGCCCAGCCGAAAACACCTGGGCTCAGGTGTAACCTGGTGCAACTGGAAGAAGAGGAGGTATCAGGCCTTGAAAACTGAAGTTTCAGGACAAGGTGCTCAGGAAACCCTAGAGTAACATGTGTTTGTTGCAGCTCTGAGTCCCTCAGAGCTACCCACACACATCAGGATGTGGGGAAGAGATTAACGGACCTCTTCTGGCCTGGGAAAAGCTTAGGCAGCAGCAAGTCAGCTTCCCCTAAAATACAGCCAATGTAGATTTCATTTTAATACCAAAATAAGTGCATAACAGGGAAGAAAATTCACTGAAGACTCTCAAGGCTGCTGAGGGAAATAGGATTTTGCTGCCTAAGTCCCCACACTATCTTCTCTGGTGTAATTAAATTGATGTGCTGGAGAGAAAGCCTATGGTGAAGCTGCTGAGGTCATCACAAAAGCTGCTCTGAATCAGAGGGTTTGGGGTGTGAGATTTTGTTCTTGCTAAGTTCTAACCTCCCTTTCACAATTGCCCCTCTTTTTGACCTGGGTTTGGAACCTGTTATTAAACCTTGGCTTGATTCCGAAGATCCAGGGGTCTTCTTTTCATTACAAGTTTCTGTCTATTTTGTTCATTGATGTAAGCAAGTATCTGGAACAGTGGATAAAACACAGTAAGCATTCAATAAATAGATACCGAATGAATGGATGGTTGAATTTACAGCATGAGGAACCTGGCCCAAGGGTGAAGCAGTGGGGGTGTACTTGCTAGGAGCCTCTCGAACTAGATCTCCTGTTCTTGAGGATGAGTTTGAGGTTTCCCTCAGCCCAGACTTATTCGATGTTGGACTAAGCTAGGTATTGAATGGAGCTTATTAATTGCCTATTCTTGAATTGTGTGGCATTGATGTCTAAAACCCAGGATCTTCCTATTCTCAATGATCTAAACTAGCCCTGAATCAATTCTCTAAGCCTATCTGCTAGAACCATGACACTAAAAATAGCACAAAATAATAATAAGGACCAGTATGCTACAAAGGGGTGGTGAGCACATTCTAAATGCTGGATTTTGATTGCTCCCATGACAATGAGGCTGAAATACACTGCTGGTCTTTGTGTCCCCTCCCTCAGCTGCGTAGAGCATCATAGGCTGTTAGAGAGGAAAGGACCTCCAAGATCATCTGGGGCCAGCATTCCACTAGAAACCGCAGACTTTTGCCCCAGAAAAGCCTAGGGAACGGTCATCTGTCTGCTTGGCTTCATGGATGCTGGTGAAAGTGTTGGTTCCTGCAAGGGAAATATGTGCACTGAATTTTATAAATTTCATATCAGCCAGGCACAGTAGCTCATGCCTGTAATCCCAGCTACTCGGGAGGGTGAGGTGGAAGAATCACTTGAGCCCAGAAGTTCAAGACCAGACTGGGCAAAACAGCAAGACCTTGTCTCTTAAAAAAAAATGGATATGCCTTGTAAGGATGAACAGAGTTGGGGAAGGTTGCTAAGACATTTGCTCAGTGGCCCATGGGACAAGTGGCTCTGCCTCTATTTTTCCAAGCCTCATGATATGGAAATCTGCCCTGATGTGGGAGTGTATGGAAATAGGTAGAGCAGGGGAATGAGGCGGCACCTGAGCAACCTCAAGTCTGGAGCCACTTTGCAAGAAAAGGTACATCCTTATGGATTTTGCAAGCTGCTGTGTTAAAGACAGGTATTGGGGCTAGCTCTGCCCATCTGTCTACCTGAACCTGAATAATGTCCTGGGGCATATCCATAGAGAATGGAATCTGTGGAAACCAGAGCCTCATGCCGGTTCTCAAAACTCTTACTTCCATTTTACTGAAAATCCCTAAGAGAGGGTCCTTTCAAATGTGTAGTTTGAGACAGCAGGTTGATTAAACACCTCATGGTCTCTCCATAAACCCAACCTCATCTCCCCATGGTTAAGGCATAGCTACTGCTGCCACATGGATTAGTCGGCAGCTCATTTAGGTGTCTACAAAAATGCCTTTCAGGCTTGGAGTTTCTGATCAGGTGTCACAGTTCTCCCTAATTTCCACCAGGGATGTGTGCCTCATCTGCCATCTGAATGATGCCAGGGAGTACAGGGCCCTAGTGGGTGCTCGATGTCCAGGAGATAGAACCATATGCCTATGAATCACAGAGCTGGGGAGCAGCTGCTTGGCTGGCACCTCCTGACAGATTCACAGGAGCCCTGGCTTCTGGGCAACAAGGTGTCTCAGCACATCAGCGTCTCGAAAGCTATTATTACCTGTGAGCCGCCCTCCCATTTCTTGAGCTGTGCAGCATAAATAACAATTATGATGGTGACCGAGACACCTGTGCTATGAGATACACTAGGTTTCACTTCACTTGGGTGAGTAGAAAATTTCAGGGTAGAAAGATGACCATGAAATACCCATTCAGAAAACTAAAGAAAACAAAAGGATGGGAGGCACATGGAAGTTCAATAAAAGCATCTCTTTGCAGGATGGAGAGAATCCAAGATCCCACTGAGAAAGGAAATGTCAACCAGCTGCCCTGAGTCTCCCCGGGCCACAGCTCCCTCATTCTCCACTGTCCAGAAGTGGGCAGGAAATGGCTTCCAGGGAAGCAGAGAGCAGGGCCACTTCACGCCTTCTAGATGCCAAATGGAAATGGGATTATTGAGACAATGGGACCCAAAATTATGTTGTCAGGTGGGGAGGACATGAACAGCATTGTGATTGTTGCTGTTCATTTCACTCTGACACATTGTGTCTCCCTGGCCATTGTTGAGTCCTATTTTTACCCCGCCCCAAAACCTTTATCCTTTGGTTTGTAATTCTGGTAAAACAAAAAAGCCACTCAAAGAATAGTACTCCACATAGGTAAAAGAAATAGTGTCATTGTTCAGCCTCATCACCTTTTTGAGTCAGCCAGGGATTGACGAGCTGAGATTTAGGGCTGTGAACTGCATACCTATCGGCAGGTGTCATGTCTGATATGGGGCCAGCTTCCCCATTAGTAAAAGTCCATTAGGCGCTCTCCCAAGAATACTGAGGTAGCTAAAGACTCTGCATTTATTAAGCACAGAGTGTCCTCAGAGACAGGTGTGCTACATAAATACAAGGTGGTTTAATTATTTTAACAACCCACTGATACCATCTGATGAGCAGCAGTAGGTCTAGGGCTTCGGTCCCTTTGCTGCAAATGATGTTTGCAGACATCTGTTTAACATACTCCATTCCC